>NT_187660.1:1817598-2130300 GCF_000001405.40 Homo sapiens | reverse complement strand
GGTCTCTTAAAGATCAGTTGAGTGCAGTGTAGAGAATGCATTGGAGGGGTCAGGAGGCAAGAGAAGAAAGACGCAAAGATAGGAGTTAAGTGTGTGTGGTTAGGAGGTGTGAGTGCAGTGAGTTGGGGGAGGAGGCAGTTTGGGATGATGGAGAAGTCCCTTGTGTGCCCATGCATATGTGTAGCTGAGAGGGAATGGAGATAAGACTGGGAATTGAGAAGCTCATGGTAATCCATGTGAATGTTGACCTCCCCCTGGCCACTGGTGAGCCAGCACTCTCTGCTGCCTTGTAATAGAATAGTGAAAACTATGTTAGATTATTAGTACAACTTTTTAATTTAATTTTATTTATTTATTGAGATGGAGTCTCGCCCTGTCACCAGGCTGGAGTGCAGTGGCGCTATATCAGCTCACTATAAGCTCCGCCTCCCGGTTTCACGCCATTCTCCTGCCTCAGCCTCCCGACAGCTGGGGCTACAGGCGCCTGCCACCACGCCCGGCTAATTTTTGTTTTTTTTCAGTAGAGATGGGGTTTCACCATGTTGGCCAGATGGTCTCGATCTCTTGCCCTCGTGATCTGCCCGCCTCTGCCTCCCAAAGTGCTGGGATTACAGGTGTGATCCTCTGCGCCCAGCCAGTACAATTTATTTTGTAAATTGACATTTGTCTTCTTTATTTTGCTTGACTTTTTATGTGTGTCTTCTTGTCACTCCACCTATATTGTTATCTCCTCACAAACCTGCTGGAGTCCTGGGAGGTTTCGTATTTCCTTTTGTATCTCTGGGGCTTCCATTCCTCTGGATTTCCTGGGATGAATAGTCAGTTTAAGCTGGAAAATCCATCTTTGAATTAATCCCAGCATCTGTTTAGAGTTTAGGGAAGAGAGAGGAAGAGACATAGCCTGACCAATATTGTCTTTATCCTTTCTTATTTTTAGGGTCATTTTAGTGAGATTTAGGAGAGGATATAAATATTTGTGCAAATTCTCATCTTAAACTTAAGACCTTATTAAAACATTAAAAACTGCTTTAGCATACTTTGTTTGAGGGCTTGGGAGTATCCATTTTGGTCATTTTTCTGTTATCATCTTCTTAGCCTAACAATAGCATTTGACACAGGTCACGGTCAATCAGTTCCTTTTTCAAACATGTTCTGCAGTTGGCTTCCAAGATGCCATACTCTGTCTTACTGTCCACTCAAACTTAGTCACCATTGCCACTTCTCCCAAACCTCTTACCATTGGCATGCCCAAAGCCTGGTCTTGGATCTCTTCTTGGTATCTACACCCTGCTTTGTGAGCTAGCCCCTCCTCATGGCTTCAAATAGCATCTTAAATTGATGATTATTTGTACCTCCAACCTGAATATTTCTCCTTAAGTCCAGATTGATCTCACCAATTGCCTACTCAACATTTCTAGGTGGATATGTAATACATGACTCACATATAACGTGCCCCAAACTTGCTCCTGACATCAGCCTCCAAAACCTGCTTTTCCAGAAGTCTTTACCATCTTACTAGATGGCTGTGCTGTCCTTCTAGTTGCTCAGATAAAAAATCTTGACTCCCCGCTTTCTCCATACCATGCATCCAGTCTACCCTCGCATCTTGTCAGCTCTGCCTTCACCATGTGTCTGGAGTCCAGCAGCACATCCACTGATGCTGTCTGGTCCAGGCTGCTATGACCTCATCCCTGGGTCACTGCTGGTGCCACCTCACTGGCCTGTGTCCACCCTTGCTCTTGCCTTCCTTCTCTGCACAGCAGCAGCGTTTCTGTTAGAACAGCCACTGTGGGCCGGGTGCAGTGGCTCATGCCTGTAATCCCAGAACTTTGGGAGGCTGAGGAGGGTAGATCACTTGAGGTCAGGTGTTCGAGATCAGCCTGGCCAACATGATGAAACCCTGTCTCTACTAAAATACAAAAATCCGCCGGCGTGGTGATGCATGCCTGTAGTCCCAGCTACTCGGGAGGCTGAGGCAGGAGAAGCGCTTCAACCCGAGATGAGGAGGTTGCAGTGAGCCGCACACTGCAGCCTGGGAGACAGAGGGAGACTCCGTCTCAAGGCTCCAGCCTGGGCGACAGAGCAAGACTCTGTTTCAAAACAACACACAAAAAAACAGTCACTCTGGTGCTCTGCCCACCCTAGCCCAGCTCTGCTGCTTCTTTGCTCTCCTCCCCTTCAATTCTCACTCTGCTTCAGCCCACTGATCTCCAGCTGTCCTCAGATACATCAAGGCCTCTCCCACCTTGTGGTTACTGTCCCTTCTGCCTGGAAGCATTTTCCTGGATGTACATGTGACTCACTCCCTGGCCTCTTCCAGCCCACACACCCACACTCACACTGGGAGCACGCAGACCACACCCTTCCTGAATCCATAGATTGAGCCGTCCCCTGCCTTCCCCACAGATGCCCTATCCTCCTCCTTCACTTTCTTCACTTAGTTTTTCCTCTCTAGCACTTACTACCATTGAACATTTCACATATTTTTCTTATTTGTTTTATTTGTTGTCTGTGTTTTTCTAGTACAATGGAAGCTGTGGGGCAGGGGAAGAGGATTTTTTGTCTGTTCCTTACTGCTGAAAATTGAATTTGGTCTAGAAGATAACTTTCTTCATCTTAGGAATGGTTGCTTAACTCCTCCAACTTTGCATTGATAGAAAAATCAAAGGTAGGCTGGGCACGGTGGCTCACGCCTGTAATCCCAGCATTTTGGGAGGCTGAGGCTGGCGGATCACCTGAGGTTGGGAGTTCGAGACCAGCCTGACCAACATAGAGAAACCCCGTCTCTACTACAAATACAAAATTAGCCAGGTGTGGTGGTGGGCACCTGTAATCCCAGCTAACTCAGGAGGCTGAGTCAGGAAAATCGCTTGAACCCGGGAGGCGGATGTTGCAGTGAGCCGAGATTGCGCCATTGCACTCCAGCCTGGGCAACAAGAGCGAAACTCCGTCTCAAAAAAAGAAAAAAAAAAAGAAAAGAAAAAAGAAAAAAAACAGAAAGAAAAGTCAAAGATAGGAACAGCAATCAATAGCAAATAGCAGGACAAAATAAAAGGGACATAAAGAATCATTTGGTTACAAAATGAGCATTTTTACTCATATTTTTTAGTGGTTTTATTTACTTTCTCATACAGGAGTTCGTTTTAATCTTTATAGCAATGACTTTTTAAAAAAATCAGTGATTATCCCATTTTTATTGGTAAGGACACAGAAATAGGCATTTTGTCCACCTGTAGACACCATGTAGCTGGCAAAGCCAAGACCATTATGCAACTTTGCTTGCGTGAAAACAGGATAATTCAACATTTCAAAAGTGAAATTTCCTTCTTCTATGTGGAAAAGAAAGGGGTAACTGAAGGAAACTTACTATTGTTACCTGGGGGCAGCAGGGTTAAGGGAAAGCAAAATGGCTCTTCCTGATTTCTTCATTAGAGATGTGCACTTCTGATCATATATTGGCCTTCCTTTACAGCAGGTTCTTGAATAACATCATTTCATTCAATGTCATTTTCTTACAACATTGACTAGAAAGCAATTCCTGGCGCGGGGCCACTGTCTGTGTGGAGTTTGCATGGTCTCCCCATGTCTCTGTAGGTTTCTGCAGGTACTCTGGTTTCCTCCCACATTGCAAAGCCGTGCATGTGAGGTGAACCATGGTGTCTGCTTGGTCCCAGTGTGAGTGTGGGTGTGTGTGGGTGCACCTGCGGTGGGGATGGCATACTGTCCAGGGTTGGTTCCCTCCTTGCACCCTGAGCTGTTGGGACACGATCTGGCAGACTCAATTAATTATTCCTGATAATGGAAGAATTGAGTAAATAGCTATCTTACTTGTTCTTATTAATCTTACTTAAATGTATGTATAGCTCACATTTATTTCAATGCTTAATAGTTAGAAGCGTTTGGGGCTTTTATTTAGAAGTTTGGTGATGTTTTCATGGCCAGAAATATGCTCCAGGAACTTAACTCTTGTTTATATCAATGAACCTATGATACAACTGCTTTTGTTATACGTCGTTTCACTTAAAGTGGCAGTTTCTAAGACTCTATCAATGATGTTAAGTGAGGACTTACTGTATCTGGAAGCTATCATTTGCTCAAATTTTCATCGCTCTTTCAAAATAAAATAGCCTAAGTGGGTATCCCCGTCAGCGTTTACCAGCAGATCAAAAAATCTTACTGTACCCTACCACTTCTGGAAATGTTCCTACTTATGGGAATTCTTGATGGGGTTCTGGCTTTAAAAAGCCCCAGTTATGATGATGAACCAACTTTATTATGTATAGTACATACAAGATATTGGAAGACAGAGACCACAAACTCTAATTCGATGCTTCTCAATCACATGTAAGTTATGGTCAAGAAATATATAGGTTGTATTTTTTATGATAAATGTTACTAAAAATCAGGGAAGAAAGGAAGGAAAAAGGAGGGGAGGGAGGGAGGAGGAGGAAGGAAGGAAAAAAACAGGGGCTCCAATTTTGATCTTTTAAAAATCTTGAGAATTTATTAATCCTGCTATTCTGACTGGCAAGTTGAGAAACAGCATCAGGATTTTATAGCCTATACATGACAAGACATCACTAAATCAGACTAATTGAGGGCAGAGAAAGTTAGAATCATCACAAAGTAAAATTATAGCATATAAAGAAATGCAGCCTTTTCATATTTTTGCTTATACTGTATCTCCAATTAAATAGTAACTAAGTGTTGCAAAGTATAGGTCCTGAAGGGTGGGCCTCCTTTTAATGAGTAGTTAAGAGCCATTTTAATCAGCAGGTTGTTTGTAAACATATGAACAAGTATAAATTATTTTCAGTGGGTTAAATATTTTTGCTGAAATATTTTCCCCCTGAATTTCTGCTTGGTAAGCTTTTGGCCGTAGCCTAGCCCAACTAAACTGCAGCCTCGTCTAGGTTACATAAGGACACGGGGTTTCAGCTTGAACCCTAGCCTTTCACATTTGCTAAGGCCCAGACTTCCAGGCTGGTGGGGAGAATGTCAGGCTTGCTTCCCCTTGTTGTCAGCCTTATCCAGTCACATTCCACCTTCTTGTGAGTTCTTGTTGCTCATGGGAAATGCCAGTGTCCTATTTTTAGAAGAGCAGCCCTCAAACTGGTACCCTTTGAAATCTACTTCAAGGACTTTGAAATGCAGGAACTCTTATTCTCTGGTTCACAGTTTGCAATTTCAGATAGCCACACATCTACAGTGCTATCTCCTAGGAAAGCCTTCCCGAAGTCTCAGTTATGCTCCCCTTTTCTGCTTCTCTCTCCTACCTGTACCCTTAGCCCTTGCTCTCTTCTTTCTTATTTTGTGTCCTTCTCTGGACTGTAGGTTCTTTGAATACTGAGACCTTCCAGTTATTCTTTCTTCTATCCCAAACACCTGGCATAGTGAGTGGCATCCTATCTAAGCAAACCACTGGGACCCACTGGATACAGCAGCTGGTCTCTTTCCAGAAGCTGAAGCTGACAACTACCTAGACCCCCTTTGGCCACATAAAGATGGAGGCTGCCTGGCCTCAGGAGGCGTGTCCTGGGGCAGTGTTGTGGGCAGGATGGGCGGGGATGGGGTAGGGAGAATCCATGCCCAAGATTCAGCTCCTGGAGGAACAGGGTGCTGTCTGGAGCATTTCTCTCACGGGAAAGTCTGCCGAGCCTGTCTTCCGTCACCCTTTCTTATCGCCCCTTCGTCTATCCTCACCTACATTTCTTCCCTCTTGCCCAACCTGAGAAAGAGACGTTTAACTTAATAACATCTCTTCAGAGTGTTTAAAAATGATGGACAAACTTACATGTGAAACTATAAAACTTCTAGAAAATTCATAAGAGAGAGGACTTAGGACTGGGTGAAGACCTGTTAGACTTGATGCCAAAAACAATCCATAAGAGGAAAAACTGATCAATTAGAACACATCAGAATCAACCTTTGCTCTGGGAAAGAGTCTGCTGAAAGGATGAAAAAACAAACTAGATGAGAGAAAATACTGCATTCGCAAATCGCATATTCAACAAAGTCCTTGCACATAAATATATAAAGACCTCTCAAAACTCAATAGTTTAAAAAAATCTGATTAGAAACTGGACAAAAGACACACACACCTCATCAAGGGGACATGCAGGTGGCAAGTAAGCCCATGAAAAGCTGTTCAATGTCATTAGCTTTTGAAGAAATGCAAATTCTTAATAAAACCACAAGGTATCATTACACACAAATCAGAATGGCTAGAGTGAAAAAATAGTGAAAACATCATATGTTGGCAAGGATGCAAAGAAACTGGATCACTCCTACATTGGTGGTAGGAATATAAAATGAGACAGCCACACTGGAAAACAATTTGGTAGTTCCTTTCAAAACTAAAAATGAATTTACCATACAACTTATCATTTCAATTCTTAGGCATTTATTCCAGAGAAATGAAGAGTTATTTTCACATGGGGATTTGTACAGGAATGTTCATAACAGTTTCACGGTTTTCGTATAATATTTTTCTTGTTATTTTATTATTTATATTTTTAGAGACAAGTTCTCTCTCTGTCACCAAAGATGGAGTAAAGTGTCACAGTCATAGCTCACTGTAGCCTCTACCTCCTAGGCTCAATCCTCCCACCTCAGCCTCCTGAGTAGCTGGGACTACAGGTGCACACCACCACACCCTGCTAATTTTTAAACTGTTAAATGTAGAGATGAGGTCTCACTATGTTGCCCAGGCTAGTCTTGAATTCCTGGGCTCAAGTGATCCTCTTACCTTGGCATCTTAAAGTGTTGGGATTACAGGCATGAGCTACTGTACCCAGCCACTATTTTTATAATAGCAAGAAATTTGGAAACCACTCAAATGTCCTTCAATAGGTGAATTTAGGCCGGGTGCGGTGGCTCACACCTGTAATCCCAGCACTTTGGAAGGCTGAGGCGGGCAGATCACGAGGTCAGGAAATCAAGACCATCCTGGCTAACACAGGGAAACCTCGTCTCTAGTAAAAATACAAAAGATTAGCCGGGCATGGTGGTGGGCTCCTGTAGTCCCAGCTACTCGGGAGGCTGAGGCAGGAGAATGGCGTGAACCCGGGAGGCGGAGCTTGCAGTGAGCCGAGATGGCACCACTGCACTCCAGCCTGGGTGACAGAGCCAGACTCCGTCTCAAAAAAAAAAAAAAAAAAAAAAAAAGGTGAATTTTTACTGTGGATTACTATTCTGATAAAAAGGAAGGAACCATTGATACATGCAACAACTTGTATAAACCTCAAGGAAGTTACGGTGATGAACAAACATAATTCCAGCAGGTTACGTACTGTATGGTTCCATTTATGTAATGTTCATGAAGTAACATAATTATAGAGAGGGAGAACAGGTTAGTAGTTGCCAGGGGTTAGGGACTGGGGAGAGAGGATGGGTGTAGGCTGTAAGGAGTAACATGAGAGAGTCTTGTGGTGAAGGCATAGTTAAATCCCTCAGTGGTGGTGGTGGTTATGGTTATACAAGAAAGACTACATTGTGATAAAGTTGCAGAGAGCTGTGCACACTACACACACACACACACACACAGACACACAGAGTACATGTATAACAGGTGAAATCTGAATAACATGTTTGGAATGTACCAATGTCAATTTCTTGGTTTGAATATTGTTCTAGAGTTATGTAAGGTATTCTTCACATTGGAGGGGCTGGGTGTGGGTAGCTTGTACTACCCTGTACATTTCTTTGCAACTTCTTGTTTTATTTTCTTTTTTGAGACACAGTCTTACTCCATCACCCAGGCTGGAGTGCGGTGGTGCAATCTCAGCTCACTGCAACCTCTGCCTCCTGGGTTCAAGCAATTCTTATGCCTCAGCCTCCCAAGTAGCTGGAATTATAGATGTGCACCACCACACCTGGCTAATTTTTGTATTTTTAGTAGAGACAGGGTTTTGCCATATTGGCCAGACTAGTCTTGAACTCATGGCCTCCAGTGATCCACCTGCCTCAGCCTCCCAAAATGCTGGGATTACAGGCGTGAGCTACCACGCCTGGCCAACTTCTTGTTAATCTACGATTGTTTCAAAATAAAAGGTTTTATAGAACAGTGGATATTTTATATATGTGTAGCCTATATGATGAATTTATAGATGCTAACAACCTAATTAACAAAGGGATGGACATTTTTGGAGAGCTGGAAATGAATCCTCCTAAGTCTAAAATCCTATTCTTGCTAGGAAATAAAATTATAGGTATTCCACACTCAGATGCTTTTGAGAGGATATTTAGCTTGATGTCATCACATTGGATTGATACCAGGAATCAGTGTATTGTGCGCTTGAGAAGAGCAGAGGTGCAAGTCAAAAGAGATATGTCTTACCACTGCAGGCAGTTCAAAGAAGTGTTATTGGAAAAGGAAACAGAAAGAGTAAAGATATCCCACTGTGTCATGGGGCAGAAAGAAACAGGACATGATCTTTTGCTGTTGTTACTAAATATAGGTACTATCTTTTAAATTAGCCATGTTGTATTTATGTTTTCTTTGTAAAAGTCGTACATTTATATGTGTTAAGAATACACAACATATAAAGCCTACAAAATTTAAATAACAAATAGAGACTTTTTGTTTTTAATTTTTTTTGAGACGGAGTTTCTCTTTTGTTGCCTAGGCTGGAGTGCAAGGGCGCCATCTTGGCTCACCACAACCTCCGCCTCCCGGGTTCAAGTGATTCTCCTGCCTCAGCCTCCTGAGTAGCTAGGATTACAGGCACCCACTGCCACTCCCAGCTAATTTTGTATTTTTAGTAGAGATGGGGTTTCTCCATGTTGGTCAGGCTGGTCTTGAAGTCCCGACCTCAGGTGATCCACCCGCATCAGCCTACCAAAGTGCTAGGAAGACTTTTTAAAAAAATAGTTAAAATAAACTCCTGTATCAGAGAACAGAAAGAAACATTTAAAAGTATTGTTATATTTTTCTCACACATTGCTTAATTTGTTCTACTATTAATTACTATCATTAACTAGTTCTATTGTTGTTCTGTTTAAATAATAACATTTATGTTACAGAAAAGTAAATAATACGGAATAATATATTTCACCTCCACATCTTTTCTGTGTTAAAGCAGTAACACGTGTGTAATTACTTCTTTTATGTTTGTCTTAGTCCATTTGTGTTGCTATAGCAAAATATCATAGATTGGGTAATTCATGGACAGTATAAATTTATTTCTCACTGTTTTGGAAGCTGCAAGGTCCAAGGGGGCTGCGCCAGTGGGTTTGGTGTCTTTGAGGGCTGCTCTCTGCTTCCAAGTTGGCACTTTGTGGCTGTATCCTCTAGAGGGGAGGAAGACTGTTTTCTTACATGACAGAGGCAGAAAAATGATGGATGGGTAAAAAGGGGTGATCTCTCTCCCTCCAGCCCTTTTATCAGGTCAGTAATCTCATTCATGAGGGCTCTGTCTCCATGACTTAGTTGCCTCTGAAGGCCCCACTTCATAATACTATGACATTGGTGATTAAGTTTCAACTCATGAATTTGGGGGGATATTCAGACCATAGCAATGTTATGTTGTTATGGTTTTTGTCATTATCACTGTGTCCCAGGTTGACTCTTTAAAAGTTGATCATCCCGGCTGGGCGCAGTGGCTCAGGCCTGTAATCTCAGTACTTGGGAGGCTGAGGCAGGTGGTTCACGAGGTCAGGAGATGGAGACCATCCTGGCCAACACGGTGAAACCCCGTCTCTACTAAAATACAAAAAATTAGCCAGGCGTGGTGGCGGGTGCCTGTAGTCCCAGCTACTCGGGAGGCTGAGGCAGGTGAATGGCGTGAACCCGGGAGGCGGAGCTTGCAGTGAGCTGAGATTGTGCAACTGCACTCCAGCCTGGCGACAGAGCAAGACTCTGTCTCTCAAAAAAAAAAAAAAAGTTGATCATCCCACAGATAACGTAACAATAGTGTCAGCAAGAAGCAGCAGTAAGTCCAGTTGAAACTGGCTTCCTGATCCACCTCTGTATTTCCTTTGAGGTGAGGATAGTGAAGAGTGTACCAAGCTGCTCACACATTTACTTCCTCCTCCTGACACCACAGTGGTTGTGTTTTCTCCCTATTAGAGAGTGCTCTGGATTTAGTGCCACAAGTTAAATGTATTCTTGAATAATCATACCCAACAAAGACAGGAGACAAAGGGAGTATGAAGTTAAAGAAGAAAAAAACTGGAAAAATTTTAAAAGAAATTGTTTCTGGCATGTAGTAAGAGGTATCTATCTCCTCTCTCTCTCTCTGTCTCTCTCTGTCTCTCTCTCTCTCTCTTTCCCCGTCCATCTATTTACCTATTTGTTGAATAGTTAAAAAAAGAATGAATGAATATGTGACCGAAAAGTATGCTAAATGTTGCTAAGTTTTCCAGTCCAGCTAATTGTGGAGACTCTCTCAAAAGGATTTAGAGAATACAGATTTGAAATCTTTTGGGTGTTTATCACATTTCTTAGTTGACTTAAACTGATTCTACATGTTAGAGTATCATGTTTTGTGCTTTTTGTTTTTTTTTTTGCAGCTAGGGTCTCGCCCTGTGGCCTAGGCTGGAGTGCAGTGGCGCGATCATAGCTCACTGCAGCCTCAACCTCCTGGGGTCAGGTGATCCTCCCACCTCAGCCTCGCCAGTAGCTGGGACTACAGGCAATTTTGTGCTATTTTAGGCACCAGTTCCTTGCTGCATTCAGGATATCAGTGAAATGAATTTGGCTTTGTCAGAATGTTTCCAAACAATCCAGAGACAGGAAGCCCCACCCTTTGAAAACACACACTCTTGCAACCATATACTTAAGCTGAGCTGGGATTTTGTATGTTTTTAAATGTGCCCAGCTTTTATAAAACTTTTGATTTTCATATAATATGCACTCCGTTATGGAAATATTAATCACATTTAAAATTACACACATTTAAAATTAGAGCTTTTCATGGAAACAAAGTATTAATATATAGTTTTATAATAAGCACTGTAAGACCTACAGATAACCACATCTCACATTGGCCTCATAGTCAGGGATGAAAAAGATCTTCAGCTTTTAACCTAGATCACTGAAAGTTATAGCTATAAAGGATCTTGGAATTCATCCAGCCCACTTCTCCTGGCCCCCAACAAGCCCCTCTCATTACCCCTCCTCCATTCTGCAGATGAGGAAACTTCATTCCCAAAAGACCTTTTCCAGATTATTTCCATCAGGTTCTTTCTGATGCCTTCGCCATGTGTGTCCACACTTTGTTAAGAGAACATTATTTTATTATTAGGTAGAATGATAATGAATCTATTGGCTTTTCCTCAGCTCTTTGTGTTGCCTTTTCAGAAAGACAAAACAGGACAAAACAGGAGCAGAAGAACAGAAGTTCTCCCCAAAGCGCAGAATCCCTGTGGGGACCCTGGTTTCTGCCGGTTTTTGCTGCACTTGAAGCTCAGCTGCAAGTTTTAATTTGTCCCCTTCAAGTTTAGTTTCACAAATAATGAAGCTGCCACCAATTTTTCTTAGCTTTTACTGTCCATTCTTTCCGTTCACCATATTTAATTATCTTTTTGTGTCATTAACCTCATTGAATAATGTTAACTCCAAAGTCATGGTTCAAAAAGATACTTGAAACATTTACTGGATAGAAGTTTGCTACTGCAAAATAGTATAAAACATCTCAGGCCGGCTGTGCGGTGGCTCATGCCTGTAATCCCAGCACTCTGGGAGGCCAAGGCAGGTGGATTGCGAGGTCAGGAGTTCAAGAACAGCCTGGCCACGATGGTGAAACTCTGTCTCTACCAAAAACACAAAAATTAGCTGGGCGGGTGGTGCCCGCCTGTAATCCCAGCTACTCTGGAGGCTGAGGCAGAGAATTGCTTGAACCTGGGAGGTGGAGGATGCAGTGAGCCGAGATCTCGCCACTGCACTCCAGCCTGGCAACAGAGTGAGACTTTGTCTCAAAAAAAAAAAAAATCCCTATTTACTCACAAGATTCTTAAGCTTTAAAAAATATACTTACGGCCGGGCCCAGTGGCTCATGCCTGTAATCCCAGCACATTGGGAAGCCGAGGTGGGCCGATCACGAGGTCAGGAGATTGAGACCATCGTGGCTAACATGGTGAAACCCTGTCTCTACTAAAAATACAAAAAATTAGCCGGGCGTGGTGGCAGGCGCCTGTAGTCCCAGCTACTCAGGAGGCTGAGGCAGGAGAATGGCATGAACCCGGGAGGTGGAGCTTGCAGTGAGCCGAGATCGCGCCACTGCACTCCAGCCTGGGGACAGAGCAAGACTCCGTCTCAAAAAAAAAAAAAAAAAAAAAAAAAAAAAAAAAATATATATATATATATATATATATATATATATACTTACAAAAATTATATTGCATCTTTAAAAATATAAATGAGGAGGTTGGATAAATTAGCATGTAAATGTGGGTGGCGTTGTGTGAGTAGTCATTTTAATATACTGAGAATAGCTATATTCATCAAAGATTAAAGTATCAATTAATTTAAAAATACTTTCCAAGTAGGCCGGGTGTGGTGGTTCACACCTGTAATCCTAGCAATTTTGGGAGGTTAGAGCAGGCAGGTCACTTGAGGTCAGGAGTTCAAGATTAGCCTCCCAACATGGCCAAATCCCATCTCTACTAAAAATACAAACATTAGCAGGATGTGGTGGTGTGCACCTGTAATTCCAGCTACTCGGGAGGCTGAGACATGAGAATTGCTTGAACCCGGGAGGCAGAGGTTGCAGTGAGCTGAGACTATGCCACTGCACTCCAGCCTGGGTGACAGAGCGAGACTGTCTCAAAGAAAACAAAAAATTTTCCAATTAAATAGCTACTATTATGGAGAAATATTTAACTATCTTGAATTTTTCTTTTACAAGTATAGTATTTTGCTAATGATACTAAGATTAACTACACAATCCTTATACGTATATTATTACAAATTATGTGATTCTGCTAAATTGATCAGATTTACTTGAGCTTTTTAAGATGAAAATGTTTTGGTATTTTCTTTTAGTAAAAAATACCTCTACTAGAAGATCCACATGTACTTCTGTGGCTTCTATATAGAACTTTTTTTTTGTGGCACTCTAAATATTCCCTCATTAATCCTTATACCTGGATCCAACATTTGCAAGCAAAAACCTTTGGCAAGGAGGAAACATGATTTGTTCTCAGAGTACACAGAGTGGAATCTGCTTTGCAGGAAAGTGTGCCAGCCAAGTTGATGTGTGCTAGGGTGGCCCAGTGTGGCCCTTAGGGGAGGAAAAGCTAGGCGGCCTCTCACAGGGATGTGTGTTCTCTCCACACACTGGCCACTTGGGTTGCAGAATTGTGTCAGGGGAGAAAGGCCAGGCCATCTGCCAGCAATCTCAATGACTGTTTCCGTAGTGTCTGGTCATAGTTGACCAGCGGCAAAGCCAGACCTTTTTAGTCTTCCAAGGAAAAAAAGTTCTACATAGTTTATCTTCCCACATCTGCCTCTATCAGTGGAGTAACTACTTGGTTTGATAGTACTTCATATACACAAAAGGAAGTAGTCTACCTAAGCCTTCCATTGCCTTTAGACAGTTTCCATATATACCATTTTCTAGTGACATGGAATTCCCATTCAGACATCCTTATTGAGTACATGGCATGTCCCTCACAGTGCTAAGAAGCTAAGACAGTTTTCTGCATATGTGTATAGTACTTCTATAGGTTTATCCTTATGTATCAGTCAGTCATTGCCATGTAACAAACCACCTCAGTATTTAGCATATTAAAAAACAATCATGATTCTGTGCGTCGGCAAATCTGGCTCAGACAGCTAGACTTGCCTGGGCTGACTCTGCAGATGCAGTCAGTTTGTGGCTTGGCTGGGGCTGTGTGGTCTACAATTCCCTCACTCATATGTCTACAGGTTGGCAGACCCTCAGCCAGGGTCTCATTTCTTTTCCACATGACCTCTCCAGCAAGCTAGTCTGAACTTCTCCTGTGGTAGGCCCAGGGCTCT
Source organism: Homo sapiens (assembly GCF_000001405.40). Classification (NCBI taxonomy): domain Eukaryota; kingdom Metazoa; phylum Chordata; class Mammalia; order Primates; family Hominidae; genus Homo; species Homo sapiens. The sequence goes on along the minus strand of NT_187660.1, from coordinate 2,116,337 downwards.
CAGCCGCCCCAATGCCCTAGTGCTTTTCAAGCCTCTGCTTGTGTCATGTTTACCCTTTAACTAAAGCAGTTCTCACTGCTGACCAGATTCAAGGGATGGAAGAAAAGACTCCATCTGTTGATGAGAAGAGCCACAGTGGCACATCCAAACAGGGACAGGAATAATGTATGGCAATTATTTACAGTCTACCTATTTTAGCTGACAGAAATATTTCAGTTTTTATGTTATTGTTGATTTGCGTGATAAAGAACTGTCAAATGTACACCAACATTTAAACATACTCCAAAGAAAGATGAATAATACAATAAACCCTCCATGTGCTCATCGCCTGATTCACCAATTTTGAATATTTTGCCGCATTTGCTGCCTCTATTTTTTATTTTTCTCTTTGCTGAAGTATTTAAAAGCAAATCCCAAACATGTCATTTCAACTGTAAATATTTCAACATGTATCTCCTAAAAAGGGGTCCCTTCCTTATGTAGTCATGATGCCATTGTCACATCTAGGTCCCATCTAACACTCAGTCCATAATCAAATTTCTCTAGTTGTCTTTAAAATGTCGTTTTACAGTGAGTAGATTTGAAAAGAAATCCACATAAAATCCACAGCAGTCCCATTTTCCTTTTCTTTTTTATTAACTTGTTTTTAAAATGGGGTCTCTTTTCCTATATAGGCCCTCCCACATCCGTCTGTAAAGCTTGCCTTTGGAGTCATTTAACTTGTACCTCCTTCCCTTGTATTTCTGTTTATGCACATTAGCCCTGTAGACTGGATTTCATTCAGGTTTCACTTTTTGGCAGGAATCCTTCATAGATACTACTGTGTGCTTCCAATTGCCTCACATGGGAGGCATAAATGTTTGCTTGTCTTGCCTTCAGTGATGCTAAGATTGATCATTTGATCCTTTGATGATCACTGCCTGAATCTATTATTTCATTAAGTAGTACAGGATGATGATTTTCTATAATTCCTTCCAGATTTATTAAGAAAAACTTTCCCTCAGCAATTAGAGTTATTTGGCTATCTGAAATAAAGTTCATACAAAATATATTCTCCTCTTTCTCCTCTTTTAATTGACAGCTTACAGAGTACGGACTTGGTTCCCAAGTTTTATCCAGGGGTGTTCAATAGGTTATTGTTTGTTTTGGGGGCTCTCTTGCTTTCCTGCTCTTTTTTGTTATTGTGAATTAATGGGTTTTAGATATTCAGGGTTTTTCAGTCAGGTGCATTCTTTTTCTTTTCTTCCTTTGTTTGTTTCTTTTCTTTTGAGGATCAAATTGTATCATCTTTGGCCAATAAGAGCTACTTGTTGTTGGCTTCTGTATCCTTTTGACTCATTATTCTTTGAGAACTTCCTTGCTTTCTGGCCCAAAATGTCCCAATATTATCTTGTATATTTCTTGCTCCAGACCTGTAATCAGCTGTTCCTAGTTGGAGATTACAATACGGACATTAGGAGTACTCCTTGCTATTGAATTTCCATTACTCCCAGTCCTTTTCAATGGCCAGAGCTAGGCATTATATTAAAAAAAAATTAATGCTGAGTTTTTCAACTTAAACTAGAATTGCAAAATCTTAACTTTTTTTATTTTATACTTGTTTCTCTTTTCTCTTAAACAGAAAATCTTGGTTTCTAACAACATTAACACACATTAATATATATTAGTGTAATAATATGTAATATTAGCATTATTATACACTAATATATAATAATGTTAATATTACTTTGAAATTCTTATATATTTATATGTAGCTTCAAAACTATTATATACATAGTATGGTAATGTTCATATAAATTGATGTGTGTTAATTGCTAATAGACGTAAAATGTACTAATATATATTACATCATATATTAGACAATACATTATATATAATTATTATACATTTATCATATAAATAATATTATTCTGACATGTGTAATTACATATTAGATGACATGCTAATGAATATGTAACAGTTTTAGTTGATGTACACATACACACATATAGAGCAGTTTCAGAGTAATAGTGTTATTACTAAAAGACTACTGAATTAAATTTAAGATTTTTTTACAGTGCCACTTTCATTAGAATATGCTAGTATCATTGGAAATAATTCTTTTATCTATTTAGTTAGGTCACTGATTTAATGTAAATTAATTTTCTTTCTTCAATTTGTTTTCAGCTTTTAGAGATGGCTTTTTTTTTAAATTTCATTGTATTTTTTTTTTAATGTAAGAATTTTTGTTTCCAGAGCCAAAGTGGTTTATAGGGCATATCTAGAAAAGTCTCATATCATTGCTGCCCTCTGTCTCCTCTAAAAGTAACCATTATTACTTGTTCTTAGTTTTCCTTCCAGTGTTTCTTTTTACAGATGTGTATTTATCGTCCTTTAAAACATTTTTAAAATAAAAAGTATGCTTACCTCTTTTTAAAATGCAGTGTTTTAGCAAGTTCTACTAATTTTTCTGTATTTTACATTTATTTGTTTTGAAAGACTTATTATAAAGGTTTTATAACACACACATTGTAAAAAAATGCAAACATTATACTCTGGGGGAGTCTTCTGCTGCTTTTAAGAAATCTTTTTTTTTTTTTTCTTTTTTTTAAGGCAATGAATTTGGCACTCCCTGCCATCTTGGGAGGACAGACTAATCTAAAGAGCTGTAAATTTCTTCTACTCTCCCCTTAGTGTTTGAGGCTCAGAAATGTCTCACAGCAGTTCTTTCATAAAGGTGAGCATGAGGAAAAAAGTTTCCTGAACTGAATCAGAAATGTGAAACTCCACGTGGACCCTCTATGTGACTTTGTATTTATGCTCTCTGCCTCCTCCAGGCACCCTCGCACACCTAAGCTTATGAAAGTCCAGAGGCTCGAAAGTAACATGTCCAAAATAGTTTTCACATTTGGAAAGTAGGAGGAATTGGCAAAATTGGAAGCATATAAGAGAAATTAAAGAGTTAAAACAGGCAGAACTTGATGCAATTTAATTATACTGTACCCACGTTAATCGTTTAGTTTTCAACAAATGTCCCATAGTTATGCAAGATATTAATATTAGGGGAAGTCAGCAGGAACTCTCTGTACTATCTTTGCAACTTTTCTGTAAAGCTAAACTTATTCTGAAACAAATTGTACTTAACACACACACATAGAGCCGGCCAAGAGCCAAGACTTAGAATTGGGGCCCGGCATGGTGGCTCATGCCTGTAATCTCAGCACTTAGGGAGGCCAAGGCGGTGGATCACTTAAGGTCAGGAGTTCGAGACCAGCCTGGCCAACATGGTGAAACCCCGTCTCTACTAAAAATACCAAACAAACAAACAAACAAAAAACCTAGCCAGGCATTGTGGTAGGCTTCTGTAATCCCAGCTACTGAGGAGGCTGAGGCAGGAGAATCTCTTGAACCCGTGAAGTGGAGGTTGCAGTGAGCAGAGATCAAGCCACTGGACTCCAGCCTGGGCAACAGAGCAAGACTCTACCTCAAAAAAAAAAAAAAAGACTCAATTCATTCAGTTCCAAAGAACACATTAACAAATTAAAAGAAATAACCTGAGAGAGCAAAATGGGTAAGTGATGTAATAGGCAAATGATATACCATTGTTGTCTACCAGATAGGTGAAACTATAAAAGATTAATATTATCAAGTGTTCATATGGGGGGAGAGGAGGAAACAAAATAAGCTGATCTGGTTTTCTTAGACGGCAATTTGGCAGTATCAGTGAAATTTTTTTTTAAGTAAGCATATTCTTTAATCCAGAAAATAATTCCTTTTTGGATGTCTCTCCTAGAGAAATACTTATACATGTATACAAAAAGATATATATATATTTTTTTGTTGTTGTTGTGACATTATAATAGAAATAATCTTAGTTTGATAAACTATAATGCACCCATATTATGGAATACTAAACAGCCATTTTAAAATGATGAAGCAGATTTTCATTATTTGATATAATCTCCAAGGTGAAATATTACATTAAAAAGTTATGGAATATAAATATTATCTATCATTAGTTTAAAACACACAAAACCATACATTCTTATATTCATATATTCTCTCTCTCCTCTGTCTCCACACATACATATCACGTAAATAAATATACAGAAAGTGATCTAGAAATACACTCTCTAGTTAGGCTTAGATCATGGTATTCCTGGGTAATTATAGGAATGGGAATGCAGTGGATGTTGTTCTGTTGGACTTTAAAAAATATATCAATTGCATGAATCTTTTACAGAAGGACTGTATGCCAGTATTACTTGTGAAATTAAAGTGGGGAGGGGGAAGAATGCCAAAAGACCTGGGCATGCATTCACAACAGAAAGACCTAGTTGTGGCAGACGACTCTTGAGAAGCTTGTCACAAACTGACAGAACAGTATCTGCAGGAAGAGGTGGACTCAGAGCTGCCTCTATAATCTAGGGGCCCTTTGTTTCAAAGGGAGGAAAAAAGTGTCATTAAAGGTACACCTAAAGCTTTTTCTTTTCTTCCAGGGTTTCCATCCTGACTTGTCATGTTTTTTATGCACTATTTCATGTTCAGAGTAAAGAACAATTAAAAATGTGAATTATCAGCATGAATTTTACTGTTTATATTGTGCAACACCAGTTTTAAATGCAAATTTCAGAATATTTAACTCATGTGGAGTCACTGAAATTACACAGTTTATATTCTGTGGCTTGTCCCTGGAGGATGCCTCAAGCCGGCTAGAAGAGACTGAACACAGCCAGACTCGGGAAGGCTGGAAGGAGGGAGAGGATCCCATCCCCAGGCAGGGAAACAGCCCAGAGAACACTCTGGCCCTGGGGCCCTAGAGGATTAGGGGTGGGTAATCAGAGCAAATACAGACGGTCAGAGGGCCCTGGGGTCCCACTAATGTGTGCTGGGCCTGATAGCTTGCTGTGATGACATTCATGCAAACCTCCTGACCTGAATGCCCTGCTGGGGACAGGGTTTGGGGACTTTGAGCCACGGGCCTATTGCTCCAACCCACAGCAGATGGTAACCACCAAGGATCCTTAAACCTCCATGACTGGATCTGGAATCCGGGCTGGGCCAAAGGCTCACCCTCACCAAGAGATTGCCTCCAGCCAGGCAGCCACCAGACAGAAAGTGATACTGCCCGTTTGGGGCTTTTGTGCACTCAAGATGCTGTGGGTATGCATACTTAAACCCCACACCTTGCTTGGATCCCTTTCAGCAGTGGCAGTGGAGCAGAGTGGGAGAGGACCAGCAGGGGTATCAAGAGCTGTGGGAGCGGGCAGCCCAGATACCCTCCTAGGAGGCGACAGGACCCTGTGAGAGCAGAGGCCCCAGTCCCCAGTGTGTGCCTCATTTTCCCATTGACCTTCACTTACAAAACACACATCCAAAACGAAAGTCCTTACAATTCAAGACAGCAACCACATTAAACCCCAACTGCAAGCCCTTCTGCCCTAGGGTCTTGTATACCTGCAGTAGTGCACACCTTGGTAGGTAGCCTGGGGAGCCCTGACTGTGTTTAAGATGGGAAACACTAGAAGACGCTTGAATTCTCAGAGGTAGAATTCATTAGCTAAGGACAGGATGAAGATGATACAGAAAGAGGACACAGCTGAGAGGGTCAGCCCCCCAAGATGGAATTCATAACCCTTGGGGGGAAGATGGAGAGGAAAAGCGGATGCCCAGGGTAGACTTGTCAGTGTTTTGGCAGGAAGGGAAGGGAGTTTCTATTCCTTAATGTCTGTTTTCTCTATGGATTATGAGATGAGATGTTTTGCCTGGGCTGGGGAGGGAGTCTTAAAGGAATCATAGGAAAGTGTAGATCAGAGTGGAGAAGCTGTGAAGAATGGAGGACAAACCGCTAAGGGATGAGCCAGAGGCCTGTATGCCAGCCTGCCTGGATTCCAGTCATGGATTTATGGAGCTTCCGACCTGCCTGGTTGTGCAATATTTGGGACCCTGAAAAAAGAAAACTCCACCTTAGCCCCAGTCAGAGGTAAGGGTAGCCCCATAGGAGGAATTCTTTCGAGGAATAACTTTCTGTATACGGAATTGAATTTAAAAAGACTTGTTTTTTAGTGTTTATGTCTTTTTAAAAAAAAAAAAATGAAATGGTGTTGGTAATAGCTTTCTTTTTGTATTTCTAAACTGTGGTAATATGTACATAATATAAAATTTGCCATTTTAATTATCTTTACATATACAGTTTATAATGTTTGTTTTAAAATGTTTTTACTTTATAAGATTAAAAAGTTGGTACTCCTATATTGCACCTCTAAGATCGTTTTAAAATTTTTACTGGTCTATGAAATTTAGAAACATTATGAGCCTTAAAAGAATCTTTCCCCCATTTAACATTGTTACATGACTTTATTGGCAGAGGAAAATTCTGTAACAATTTGTAGAATCTTTAATGGTATGGCATAGGAGTGGAATCAGGATTACTTTTGGTTGTTATAACATCTTGATAAAGTGCTTCTCCTTCTAATATTTTGTATATATTCTCTTCTCTGACATTATCGAGATTGTCTAATGCTTCACTACCGTAAATAAATACTTCCTCTTTGTCAAGCGTAAACTCACAGTTCATATAAAAATAACATAAATATGCTTTCCTAAGGATCTTTTTTGCAATTAAAACCATACATATACATATATACAAATTAGGTGTGGATATAGTTGTTCATTTGGTCAAGGCTGTTTTGTTAAGTAGTTCTATCTAAAATGTGTAAAGATTTTGCACACATAATGCTTTTTTCATTCTGAGCCGCAGACACCAAAAATCCCACAGGAAGTTGTCTTTTAAGTGTTGTGGTTTTTTAGTTTCCTGTTCAGTTGCAGAGATGATCAGAAATAAGATAAATCTGTACAATCGAAAGAGATTTGTGGTTAAACATTATAGTAACTCTAAATGAGAATCCTTAATTAACTTGTATTTCTTCCCATATTGATCTAGAGGAGCTATGATGACATGCGTGTGTAAGCATAAAAGTCAGAAAATACTTTTTTGGTGTTCCATGGATAAACTCTTTAATTGTTAAATGGGTGATTCTTTCAGATTATTCTTTATACTTTCCACTTGTTGTCAAAGCACCTACCTAAAAAATAAACTGCAGGAATAAAGCTTTGTTTTTAATTGTTGGCAACAGTTTTACCTTTATTTTACAGATGATAAAAGCCTTCTCTTGTTTATTTAAAGAACAGACTTTATGAAGTTTAATTTAGATATTAAAAATACCACTGAAAAATTTTAAAGTGATACTATTAGTCACTGAAATACTAAATATAATTTTTAAAGAATAATATTTTCAAGATGAAATATTTTTGTTTGATTTCATTTTTTAAACCATGGCAAAGATAAAACTGTTAAATATATAACTATTTTTAATTAGTGACAAATAGTTGCAATCTAGCATTTAAATTACACATTGGGCAACTTGTAAAAGTGACAAATAAGGAAAAGTGAAAAATGTCAGTGCATTTGTAGATAGTGTCTCTAGATTTAGGTGCTATTAAAGACACCACACCTAGTTCTAGGCAGCTTATGCAATTGCACATCTTCTTAAATGGTAAAGATAATGTGAAAGGTCTTTCATCACCACCTTTTAAAATTAAAAAATACTTCCCAAACCTTTTTAAATGGTGTTTGCATATGAAGAAATTTAATCACAATTTTTTTTTTTTAATGGGGTCTCACTGTTTCCCAGGCTGGTCTCAAACTCCTGGCCTCAAAGAATCCTCTGGTCTTGGCCTCCCAAAGTGCTGGGATGATGATGATGATGATGATGATGATGATGATGATGATTTGAGACGGAGTTTCGCTCTTGTTGCCCAGGCTGGAGTGCAATGGCATGATCTCAGCTCATTGCAACCTCCGCCTCTCGGGTTCAAGCGATTCTCCTGCCTCAGCCTCCTGAATAGCTGGCATTACTGGCGTCTGTCACCATGCCCGGCTACTTTCCTATTTTTAGTAGAGATGGGGTTTCACCATGTCGGCCAGGCTGGTTTCGAACTCCTGACCTCAAGTGATCTGCCTGCCTTGGCCTCTCAAGTGCTGGGATTACAGGCTTGAGCCACTGCGCACGGCCCCAAGTGCTGGGATTATAAACGTGAGCAACTACGCCTGGCCACCTTTTTTTTTTTTTTTTTTTTTTTTTTTTTTTTTTTTTTTTGAGACAGAGTCTTGCTGGTTGCCCAGGCTGGAGTACAGTGGCACGATCTGGACTCACTGCAACCTCCGCCTCCTGGGTTCAAGTGATTCTTCTGCCTCAGCCTCCCGAGTAGCTGGGACTACAGGCACGCGCCACACCAGGCTAATTTTTGTATTTTTAATAAAGACGGAGTTTCACCATATTGGCCAGGCTGGTCTCAAACTCCTGACCTCGTGATCCGCTCGCCTTGGCCTCCCAAAGTGCTGGGATTACAGGCGTGAGCCACCACGCCTGGCCCACAATTCTTAAAAGAATAAATAATACTTTGTCCAAAAGCAAAACAATTACAACATGACTTTAAAACAAAAATGACTTCAACCATTTTTATGAAGAACAAAAAGGAATAAGGGTTTGGTTTGCAGAAGGCTCTTTTCTGGTTCAGACAGCTTTGGGTTGCAAGATGTGTGGCACTTCGAAGCCTTAATTGATACTTATGTATCACCTACACATACTTCTTTGTTAAATTTGTTCTTTTCATACAGTTGAATTCTAAAGAGAAAACCATTGTCTAAAGCCTGATGTTTATGATTTCTTCCATTTCTTCTGTGCCGGTTGTGGCACTATACCAGATACTTTAAAGATGTTATCATTGATGTTACTAAGGATTTCTGGCATTTTTTGAAGACCTTTACATTTACAAGTGTAGATTAGTGAGTCTAGGATTGGTTTCTTACCATGTTCCTTGGTGTTTAGCAAAGCCGTCAACATTGTGGGAAGTTTGTGTAGTGGCTGATTAAACTGGACCATGGACTGCACGTGTTTACACCCTTTTCTGCCCAACTTTGAGTTGGAGGGACAGCATTGGAATGCAGGGCAGCTTGACCCGTTCGGTCAACAAGAATTTCAGCAATCTTGATGGCCAAAAATAAACTTTTCAAGATTCCTGTCTAGATGGGCGGGAAAGAGACTTTGGATATATCTTGAGGTCTAATGTGGGGTGTGGGCCGAGATGTCACAGGTCTCTAGGGTGTTTCTCAGGCTGCTGCCTCCGGGTGCCCATGACCTCATCACCAGTTTCAGCCTTGGCAGTCGGCGCCGGTGAACGAGAGCAACGCTTCTGACCCTGCCGGAGCTCCTCGGAGATGAAAGCCATGACGCGCCTTGCAGAAAATGCATTCCGCCTTCCGTGGGAACAACGCCGAGGCACGCGGTGACAGCCGTGACCATGCTGTTTGCCCAGTGAAGGAAACAACTGTCGGGTATCGGCTCTGCCGGCCTTTCCAGCCGCACTCATGCATGGGGCTCACCCCATGATGTGCGTGGCTTGTCGAGGAGCAAGTGGACAAGTCTCTTAAGGAAAGCTTTGGTGCACAGGCGCTTTCTCCTTGGGGGCGAATTCTGCCAGACCTTGGATAAAAACAAACAGGAAGACTCGCACGGCAGCGGAAACTGTCTTCCAAGTTACTTGGGTTACCCGGCTTTTCCTTCCGCGCTTGGGGTCGGGACCCCGGCCGCTCGTCCCGCCCCCTCCCCCGCCGCGGCCCCGCCCCCTCCCCGCCTCGCCTCGCCTCGCCTCGTCCAGCCCCGCCCCCGCCGGGCCGGGCATGCTCAGTGGGCCGGGCCGGCAGGTTTGCGTGGCCGCTGAGTTGCCGGCGCCGGCTGAGCCAGCGGACGCCGCGTTCCTTGGCGGCCGCCGGTTCCCGGGAAGTTACGTGGCGAAGCCGGCTTCCGAGGAGACGCCGGGAGGCCACGGGTGCTGCTGACGGGCGGGCGACCGGGCGAGGCCGACGTGGCCGGGCTGCGAAAGCTGCGGGAGGCCGAGTGGGTGGCCGCGCTCGGAGGGAGGTGCCGGTCGGGCGCGCCCCGTGGAGAAGACCCGGGCGGGGCGGGCGCTTCCCGGACTTTTGTCCGAGTTGAATTCCCTCCCCCTGGGCCGGGCCTTTCCGGCCGCCCCCGCCCGTGCCCCGCTCGCTCTCGGGAGATGTTTATTTGGGCTGTGGCGTGAGGAGCGGGCGGGCCAGCGCCGCGGAGTTTCGGGTCCGAGGAGCCTCGCGCGGCGCTGGAGAGAGACAAGATGTCCGCCAGAGCTGCGGCCGCCAAGGTGAGCGCCTCCGCGGCCGCCAGGGCCAGACCGGGCCGACCGTCGCCGCCCGCCCACCGGCATCTGGCCCGCGTCCCGCCCTCCCTCGCTGGCGGCTGTCTGGGCCCCGGGGCGGCGGGGTGGGCAGGGCTGGCGCGGGGCCGCGGGCCGCGGGCCGCGGGCCGCGGGGAGCCCCTCGGGCGGGGGCGGCGCGGGCCGCACTGGGGGCGGCCGGGGAGGGGGCTGCGGGCGCCCGGCCGCCGTACTGGGCAGGTGCATAGCTGCCGGCGCCTGTGCCTGGCTGCGGCTCGCTGAGGGCGGGGACACGCAACAGGTCCCTCGCGGAGAAACTCGGCTCCAGTGAGGGTTCGGGGGCTGGAAGCCGGCTCTCAGCGGGTCGGGGCTTGGGGTGCCACCTCCTGCTGGCCGGGAGCTGCTGTCTTTGGAGGAGTGGTTGGTCCCCGGCGAAACCCTGTAGTTTCGATCTGATGTCACTCCCTGCGGTATGCGCACGCCAGCGATAAGGCTTTGAGACTGCAAAACACTCCACTCAGCCTGTGAGGCGTAGTAGGTCGGGTTTTCTTTCATGCTGTATTACTTATTTAAGGTAACTTTGAAAATAACCTCTTTAACATTTAATAATTTAACTTGAATTAAACTTTCACAAGTAATACAAAGTATTCCTACGAATGGACAATAAGATGAGCACTTAAAAATTAGTAAAGGCCGGTGAGTTCAGCCGAAAAAAGTAACGTTTTTCCTGTTACTTTTCCTATGTGCTCTGAAATATTATTGCATTTTCCCATTGCTTTGAAACTAACTTGTGTATTACATTAAAAAGCCAAAGTTCCTGAAAAACAGCTAGGATGCTCCTCCCATTTTGTATATTAATTTTTTCATCATAAAATAGTACTTGTTATTTCAAACAAAGGAATACAGAAATGTGAGGAGTAAAAAATCTGCCCTTTAAAGAATATCAATTCATTACTTCAAATAGTATCGAGATACTTGGGCAGGTAGTGGTTTTCTGTGTGTATTTTTGTTTGAAATGCTTACCCGTAACATCTGGGAGCAGGAATACTATGCCTCTGAAACTTTTGAACTCTCACAGAAGCTTGTTTGCTGGCTGGGAGAAGCTAGCGGTTACACTTATTAATGAATAGATTGTTTTAAGGGATATAGTATTCTTCGTTTAAGAAAAATTTAACTTGCACCTTTTGACCTTACATTGAGGAAGAACAATCTAAAGGTAAAACTTGATCCAGAGATTTAGGATAAAAGGCAACATTTTGCTTTGGTTTTAAAATAAGCTCCCATTATTTGTCTTTTCTGGGGCTTTCTTTCCTAGGAGGAAAGGCTTTGTTTCCGTATTACACAGAATGTCACTTTGTTCCTGAAGTGTGATCTCTGGTACTTAATATGCAAGACAACACACTTTTTAAGAGGTTATTTCAAGTATGGAGAGAAATACGTTTTCAATGGATTGCCACAGTAAGGTAGGAGGAGTACTTCTCCTGAATTATAGTATTGAGATTTGTATGGCATATTGAAAAGCATCACTCGTTAAATATTACGTTGTAGGGACTTTTTTGCATTGTAAACATTTGCGAGTAAAGGGCAAGTTGAAAGCTTTTTTTTAAGATGCTGTATTATGGAGCCACTTCAGAATTTTATATAGAGCAAAACAGGCCATAAATGAATAAGTGAAATGAAATAATATTCAGTGACCTGTTTCCGTAAGTCACAATTAATTTTTGAAGGTGATTAAAATGCTTACTAAGAGCCAGGCTGGACTCAGTGCTTTACATATGATGCGTTTGTTTTCCCCACCCTCCTTTCAGTTTGGAAAAAAAAAAAAAAAAAGGCAACATTAATTTGGAAGCTCGCTGTTACTGTTTTAGCATGATAGTTTGGGAAACTCTTGTCTAATAAGCCAGTGCTTTTGATTCGGTTTTCTTTATAATGGTTGAATAGTTTGTCATCCTATGAATATGCTGCTGTTTAGATTATCTTTGCTTTCTTGATAGACATTTGTTTCCAGGATTTTGTTCTTGGAATAGTAGCCTTTTTATATCTGTACACATATATTACTGTATATCAGATTCTTAAAAATGGAATTACCGAGGCAAAGGCTATGTGCAGTTTAAATTCTGATATATACTACTAAATGTTTCTCTAAAAAGACTACCTAGAAATAAATATAACAAATATTGGTGAGCTACTGGAATCTTAATGAAGGACATAAAGTGAGATCTGAATAAACGAGATGAAACAATGTATTTTCTGGATGGAGACAGTCACTGTTGTAGAATTTACTAATTTTCCCCAAGTCAGTGTCTTCTAGTGTTGTATTGTAGAAAACTTGACATATTGATAAGAAAACCTACATGATAAAATGATAGCGACAAAATTTTGGAAAAAGAAGGCCGTATCAGGAAACTTGTTAGAAATTCACAGTCATTTAAAGCAGCCCGTCAGTTCAGGAACCAGGGAGGTCCAGAAACATCTGTGCATTTATGGGCTTTTAGTAATTATGATCATCAGTATTATTGCATGTCAGGTATTGTTCTAAGTGCTCAATTTATTTAATTCTCACAGTAACCCTATGAAGTGAACTATTATCTCTACTTTTTGGTGAAGAAATTGAAACAGAGATACGATAACTTTTAAGTTCATTTAGCCAGCAAGGTGGAAAACTACGAATATGTGGTAAAAAATAATATTGTAGACTATTGGAGAAAGTGGCTTGTTCAATGTATGGTGCTAGGACTATTGGTTATCCATTTTTTAAAAATGTTTTCTGCCTCATAGGCTAAAAAAAATCAAAGGAAATCTAAATGACAAAGAGCAATAAAAATTCTAAAATAGAAGAAAATGTAGAATACTACTTAAAAATATGTATGTACCTAGATTGAAAAGAATCCTCCGTGCATGATACTAAAGAAGTAATAAAGGCGGGTGGGTCACTTGAGGTCAGGAGTTCGAGGCCAGCCTGGCCAACATGGTGAAACCCCGTCTCTACTAAAAATACAAAAATTAGCCGGGCATGGTGGCGCGTGCCTATAATCCCAGCTACTTGGGAAGCTAAGGAAGGAGAATTGCTTGAACCTGGAAGGCGGAGGTTGCATTGAGCTGAGATCGGGGCTACTGCACTACAGCCTGGGCGACAAAGTGAGCTTCCGTCTCAAAAACAAAAAGTAATGAAGGAAAAAACGTGGCCGGGCGCGGTGTAATCCCAGCACTTTGTGAGGCCAGGAGGGGCGGATCACGACGTCAGGAGTTCAAGACCAGCCTGACCAACATGGTGAAACCCCGTCTCTACTAAAAATACAAAAAAAAAAAAAAAAATAGCCGGGCCTGGTGGCGAGCACCTGTAATCCCCCCTAATGGGAAGGCTGAGGCAGGAGAAACGCTTGAACCCGGGAGTCAGAGGTTGCATTGAGCCGAGATCGCACCACTGCACTCCATCCTGGGCGACAGAGCGAGACGCTGTCTCAAATAAATAAATAAAGGAAAAAAACGTTTTTTATATGTGTGATAAACGTCTGCGTTCGCAGTCAGAATTTTGTTTACTGGTGTATTTGATTTAAGATTATTAGAAAGTTGAAAAACAAGAATTAGGGTGGTTCTCTGCGTCACCAAAGAATTGTTTAAATGTGTAAGAAAGTGGTATGAATCATTGTTAAGAAACGATTTCATTGGTTGAATCACAGAAAAGTGGCTGAAGGAAGTTTCAGTGGCTTCTGTGTTTTCAAGCTGTTTTCCTTTGGAGGAAGCAATAAAATTTAATTTAAGATTGTGCTATTGTATATGCTTATTAGATTTTGCTGAATACTTAAATGTTTTTGTTAAGTCTCGGGAATAGTAGTATTGCCCGCTGTGGCTATCTGAAATTATAATGTAAGTATGAAAATGATTTATGTCATTTTTTACTGTTACACTGATTTACATGATACCCAGGAATTGATTTATTGTATCAAGTGGAGCACAGTGGGCTTTTTTTTTTTTAATTAAGTTCTGGGATCCATGTGCAGAATGTGCACATTTGTTACATAGGTATACGTGTGCCATGGTGGTTTGCTGCACCTATGAACCCATCATCTAAGTTTTAAGCCCCACATGCATTAGGTATTTTTCCTAAATGCTTTCCCTCCCTTTCCCCCCACCACCAACCCGGGTAACAGGCCCCAGGTCCTGGTGTGTGATGTTCCCCTCCCTGTGTCCATGTGTTCTCATTGTTCAACTCCCACTTATGAGTGAGAACATGTGGTGTTTGGTTTTCTGTTCTGGTGTTAGTTTGCTGAGGATGATAGCTTCCAGCTTCGTCCGTGTCCCTGCAAAGGACATGAACTCATTCTTTTTTATGGCTGCATAGTATACCATGGTGTATATATGTACCACATTTTCTTTATCCAATCTGTCATTGGTGGGCATTTGGGTTGGTTCCATGTCTTTGCTATTGTAAATAGTGCTGCAGTAAACATATGTGTGCATGTGTCTTTATAGGAGAATGATTTATATTCCTTTGAGTATATACCCAGTAATGGGATTACTGGGTCAAATGGTATTTCTGGTTCTAGGTCCTTGAGGAATTGCCATACTATCTTCCACAATGGTTGAACTAATTTACATTCCCACCAACAGTGTAAAAGCGTTCCTATTTCTCCACAGCCTCGGCAGCATCTGTTGTTTCCTGACTTTCTAATAATCACCATTCTGACGGGTGTAAGATGGTATCTCATTGTGGTTTTGATTTGCATTTCTCTAATGATCGGTGATGATGAGCATTTTTTCATATGTTTGTTGGCCGCATAAATACCTCCTTTTTTTTGGCAGCATAAATGTCTTCTTTTGAGAAGTGTCTGTTCATATTCTTTGCCCAGTTTTTGATACGGATATTTGTTTTCTTGTAAATTAGTTTCACTTCCATGTGGATTCTGGATATTAGACCTTTGTCAGATCAGTAGATGGCAAAAGTTTTTCTCCCATTCTGTAGGTTGCCTGTTCACTCTGATAGTTTCTTTTGCTGTGCAGAAGCTCTTTAGTTTAATTAGATCCCATTTGTCAATTTTAGCTTTTGTTGCAATTGCTTTTGGTGTTTTCATCATGAAGTCTTTGCCCATGCCTATGTCCTGAATGGTATTGCCTAGGTTTTCTTTTAGGGTTTTTATGGTTTTGGGTTTTACATTGAAGTCTTTAATCCATCTTGAGTTAATTTGTGTATACAGTGGGCTTTTCTTGATATCTTAACGTTTTTGAAACCTTAAGAGCTGCAGAAAATGGCCAAGCTAATGAACAAAAATTAATGACAAGAGTCAGTCATTACATATAGGGATTGTTTCTTGAGTGAGTGATGCAGTGTTTTAATTATGATAGTTACTGATCAATGCATACTTGCTTCATACTGTTTTAAAAGTGAAAAACTCACTGTAGTTTGTGAGAAGTCACTGAAGTTTGGCTGCCAACTTTTAATGATCCTCACTGTAGCAATAATTTTTGTGTGTGTTTGGCATTTTAGACCATCATGGTTAAAGCTTTAATTTATATAGTTGGCTGATAATCCTAACTACATTTTACAACTCTTACATTTGTTTCAGGACAGCTTCATAAGATAGTTATGTTTCAAATTGTGGTGTTTTTCCCCCCCAGGTTATATATTGGCACAAATTACATTATATTATTAGGAAAGACACCAATTTGCCAGACTCAAGCATGTAATCCCTGCACTTTGGGAGGCTGAGGCGGGCATATCACCTGAGGGCGGGACTTCAAGACCAGCACAACCAACACGGCCGAAACCCCGTCTCTACTAAAAATACAAAAATTAGCCGGGTGTGGTAGCACATGCCTAAAATCCCAGCTACTTGGGAGGCTGAGGCAGGAGAATCATTTGAACCCAGGAAGCAGAGTTTGCAGTTGAGCCAAGGTTGCAGTGAGTCGAGATAGCACCACTGCACTCCTGCCTGGGCAACAGAGTGAGAGTCTGTCTCAAAAAAAAAAAAGGAAAGACACCAATAAATAATGAGGTGGAAACCAATCTGTGGCTTCGAGGGCTGTAACGCAGTATATGTAGTACTGCTTCCCGTTTGATTTGAAGGAAAAAAAGTACAGTAGTTCCACTCCCTTTTTCCCCTCCAATCCTGGAAACAAGGTCTGGCTCTGACTTTTACTTGCTCTTTAATCTCTTTTCTGTTTAGAGACCAAATGTAAACTCTGTACAGTTCTAAGAATAAAACTGTGTATAAATATGATAGATCACCATGCTGCTAAGGAAAATGTCTTTAAAAATAATAGTTTTGGTGGAAAATTTGAAGACGTAATCCTGTTACTTGACATACCCCTGATATGATAAAAATTCACCTTACTGAAAGACCATGAGTCCAGCTGTAAATTCATGTGTAGTGCCACCCATCTGTGACTGCTCAGTCATTGCTCATTTCAGGCCTGCCTGAAAGCATTCACGTGCTCAGCATTGTGTATGACTGAGCATTATAGTAGCTGAAGGCAAGCTAGTGGAATGAGCCAGTCATTTCTAATTAGCAAAGTTTTGATATGTTAAATAAAAAGATAGTTTATGTCTAGAATGATCCTCCTGGAATATTTGACTGGAACTTGCTTTGCACCTCTGAATTTTGAAAGCAAATCTTGAAAAACCTTTTTACTTTAACAACTTTTAGTCTTGTAGAAAGAAATAGACATTAGGATAGTTTACAGATTTTAAAGTTAATCCTATAAAATTGGTGTGTTGCAGTATTTCTTGCATAAGCCAGCAATAAAAATAAGACTTTTGCTCTCTCTGACCTAGAGTGCATCTTTATTTATTTATTGCAGAGAAGAGTGGCTTCAGGTTGCTCCTTTATGGGCTAGCCAGGTGCTTTATTTCCATTCCTCTTAAACAGATAAATTCTTAATAATGAGCAGTATGTGGGGAATACGTGGGTAGGGAGTTTTATCTTATATCCTAAGCATGGATGAAAATAAATGGACTCTGAATGATTGCCTTTACCACAAGAACACAGCTTTAGATCATGAGAACACCAATGTTACCAAACTTTGTACTGTAAAACACCATTTGAAATGTGATAACAAAACCCTGTCATATATGTAGTGCTCAATACTGAATCTCAGGTGGCCCTCACTTTGGGATAGATCAAGAGATAAGGTTTTATTAGTTTGTGTTGCGGATATATTTCAGTTGATATACTGAAAATACTGGGAAGTGAGTTAACTGGTGAATGATCTCAATTCTAGTTTATCATGTCCGGAAAGGAGGTAAAACAGAAGCTGATATTACTTTCTGTGGATTCTAATTAGGAACATAAGATTAGCGTATACCTGGTTTAATTAATTTTTTTTGACTTACCGAAATATTTTTTCCTTTTTAAAAAAATGTAAATTCCCAAAGACTGAAAAGTTCATTTTTCTTCTTGGTTATCTTAGGAATTTTCACGCTTTTGGAATTGTCATTATCTTGGAGATTGTACAACAGTTTCTGGTAACTGAATATCACCAGTTAAACTTAATATAAGATTAGCTCACTTAATTTAGTATGTAATTTTAAAATTCAGGAGGATACCAGTAATGACTAATTCTTTTTGTTAGCTTAACACATATTAAATGAGTACATTTTGTTTGGGATCCCGATCCTAGAAATTTACAGTTTTCAACTGCTATACGCTGTAATGATCACTTTGTGAATTGTGTAACTCATTGTTGAAGAAACAAAGGATTTGCATTGTTTACTCTTAAAAATACGAGCAAACTTATGGTCATCCTGTAATAACAGAGCATTCTTGTGTGCTTTCTTCGTTGGAGGAGGTGACAAAGTCATTTTCTAAACCTGGGCTTGCTGTTTAGCAGAGTTTCTGTATTTTTCCTTGTTAATGTTTTTAAATGTTTGAATTGAATCTGGATACATTGATGTAAGTGTTTTCTGCATATGTTTGGTATCAATATCTCAATAGGAGGGAGACATTAAGAATTATAAAGTAATTGGCTTATATGCTTAACAGCTCCTTGAATATACTGACAAGGCAAATGAACACTATACTAGCTGTTACTGTTACATTTAGGGTTCAAGAAGCTGTGAAATATGTAACAATTTGGATTCCTAAAGCGGAATTTTACATTCAGCAGATATTTGTTGGTTACCTCGTGTGTACCAATCACTGTTGTAGGTGCTGGAGATGCAGCAGTGAACACATCTCTGTACTGATAGGGCATTTTAATGGTGCGGGTAGAGAGCAGCAAATAAAATTCTGTCCATAATGATAAGTGCTAGAATCCCTAACATGCCTTTTCTGGGTCATATCCTCCCTTCTTCAAAGATTGCATGTATCTTGTCTTCTAGGTTTCTCATTTTCTAGTTTTTCTTTATAGTTACCACCTAATTATGCATTCTGAAAGCACTAGTTTTGACTCTCTGAACTTTGCGCATACAGAATCTTCTAGTGTGAATTCTGTTGTATATGGCTTCTTTTGCTCAGCATTATGTTTGTAAGATTATGTTGTGGAGAACTGTAGCTCATTAGTTTTCATTCAGTTCTTGTACTTCATGGTATTCCATTGTATGAGGACTTTATTGGTTTCGGGAGAAAATAGTTTCAGTTAGACTTCTGTGGCTTTTTGGAGAAAAATATTGTATATGTCTGTCTGAGGGGCAAGAATTAGATATGCATTATGAGGCAGTCATTGGAGTACCAACAGCTGAGCAAAAGGTAGTAAGCTTCTTTTGGTGTTCCTATGATTATCTTGAAAAATCAAGTTGGTCTTAGTTTGGAGGATATTTTATGACTAAGATGTTTGTCATACTAAAGTATGTTTTAGTAGTAAGTATTGAAGTATGTTTTAGTAGTAAGATATCCACTTACCTGACTGATCAGACCACCAAAAGCCACAATCAGGGGAAATACATGAATCTGGCAAAAATGAGTCTGCCTTTCAAAATATAATTGTGGAAGTTTTTCCTGGTAATGTCATATAAAGGTACTAAGGAAGGTTTATTTACTGATTTTTTTTTTCTAACAGTGGCAGTTATTGGAGTATTAATACTTACTGGAGTGTTAATACAGAAGTACACTATTTTGATGCTGTATCACCTATAAAAATCAAGTCAGTAGCCATGGCAAGTAGGCTTACATTTTAGTTATAAGTGTGAGAAATATGTGTCAAAACAAACAGTAGCCCCTTATATTGCATGCTGACTCTGTGACAGATACTGAGCTAAGTGTTTTATGTGCATTATCCCATTTAATCTTCACAATTCTGTTAGATACTACGATTATCTCTGTTTTTACAGGTGAAGGATCTGAGGTTAAATTTACTTGCCATAGGTAATCATACATCTACTTACATGTTCTATAAGTCATACATTCACATCCTTTTATGTTCGTGTGTTGTAAGAGAGCACCAGGGAGAAGAGTATGGGATGGTGTTAGGTAAGTCTTAGACCAGAAAAGCAGCATGAATCATGAAAGCCAGAAGAGAGGGCACTGCTCCATCAGAGCACAAGCCAGTTTGTCTAAAGGAAGCAGCTCTTGCTCAGCCCCAGCTGATTGTTTTCTTGGAAGAAGACAGGCCAGATCTCCCAGTTTTTCAAGAGGTTGCAAATCCGGATTTTCATGTAAGTTACCCTGACTTAAGTCTTGCTAGTTGACTTAGTTTTTTATATCTTTTTATTGTGAAATATATTGCCATGTGTACAAAAGTACATAAAGCAAATGTACATTAATGGATTATTATAAAGTGAACACCCGTGTAAACACCATTCACCTGTCAGCAGGCCAGATCCTGCACAGAGAGGTCAAGTAAAATAAGGACTGAAAAGATTATCACCGAGCAACTCTTAAGTTTTACTTATATGTGAGTTTAGCCTCTGGAATCTGAATCCTGAGTCTGCCACTAAATGGCTGTTTTCTCATCTGTACACAAAATGCAAATGTAAAAATGCAAACAAGACCCATCTCAGAGTGATTGTGGGCTCAGCACATACTAAGCTATTATGTTAGCTGTGTCTTCTAAAAACATTTTAAGTGAAGCCTATTTTAATATCAGAGAGGAGGCATATAGGAATTTTATTTATTTACTTGTTTATTTATGGACAAAGGTTGGCCTGTAGATTATTTAAGACATTCATTCATTCATTCATTCATTCATTCATTCATTTTGGACAGAGATCAGCCTGTAGGTTAGTAGTTTTCAGCCCAGCAAGATGTTTTGTGGTTTCAGAAGGAGGATTCATTTATTTATTTCTGGACAAAGATCAATCAGCCTGTAGGTTAGTAGTTTCAGCCCAGCAAGATGTTTTATGGTTTCAGAGGAAGGTTCCTTGGGTTCCTGAGATACTTTTGAAAAAATTATTACAATGGCATTAGATAAGAGATACAGTCTTTAGTCTGATGGATTAGGCAATAGAGTTGAAAGACTATTCCAAATCCAGGGTACCTGGCTCAATTTGGATGTCTACCTAGTATGGTGAATGGTTGATTAGCAAGTTCTATTCAGCTTTGATTTGCTGAGCACCTCAGGTCTTTCTACTTGTTTTATCCGTACTTTCAACCATTTACATTCTCCCTCCCACCACCCCCCCACCCCCACCCAAGTAATCCTCCCTCTGGATTCCTGTAATAGCCTCCTAAGTATCATACCCCCCTCTTCCCCTTACAATCTGTTTTTCTGAAATAATCTTTTCAAAATCCAGGTTTGATTAGTTTCTCTCCGCTCTCCCCCGCCCCGCTACACACACATGCGAACACTCATCCTAAAATTCCTAGGCTGCTTAACTACCTTTAGAGTAAAAGATCAAAATCCTTAATATGGTCAGTAAGCTCCTAGTGGATTATTTGGCCCCTGCCTACCCCTCTAGCCACATCGTATCTTTTTCCTCCTTGTTTCTTGTTCTCAAACTGTGCTTTCCTCTTTTTGGTTCCTAGCAAGTGTACTTCCTGTCAACTTTCTCTTTGAGTTCCTCATGGCACTGTTTTTCCTTCTTTCATAGTACTTATTTAACTTTGTGACTATATATTTAGCCATGGAGTTTTTCGATCATTTGGTTCTCCTGCTAGACTGTAAGCTCCTTGAGAACAAAGGTCATACTAGTTGTGTCCAGTTATTCGTGTAGTTTAACACAGTGTCTAGTACATAGGAAACTCTCAAAACATTATTTGAATGAATGAGAGATGCACTTTCCTACACTAGGCTCTTGCACGTGCTGTTTTTTCTACCCGGAAACCTTGCCACCTCCATCTTTCATGCACCTCATAGCTGTCTCTTCTCCTCAAGGACTTTGCCCAGAGCCCAGAAACTAGGTCAAAACTCTGTGCTTTAAACTCTGTGTACCCCTTTATAGCACTTATGATAACCTGTACTTAGTTCTCTGCTATTATTTGATTAGTATCTGTTACCCCTTCTAGACAAGAGTTGCCTTTTCAATGCTGTTAACTCACTTACTGGTAATGTTAGACCACCTTAAATTCAGCTTAGCAGCAGAAGGAAGGTACTAATCCATCTCCAGGACTAGTTGCATTTTTCTTACTATTCTGAAAGGGGAGGGGAAGCAGTTGCTGGAATAGCCAGCTCATGGAAATACTACTTAATATCCTGGCATCATGGTAGCTGCATTCTTGGTTTGGGTCTTTCCTAAATCAGTAATTAATTTCTAGTCCCCTCAAGTTACCTTCTTTTAAGTGGAAAATTTTCAAACCTATAGAAAAGTGGATGTGGGGAATATAATGAATTCCCACATTACTGTCACCCAGTATGGTTAACAACTTACAGCCAGTCTCATTTCATCTATACTTCATTCATTGTGTCTTCTCTTCCCCATTATTTTGAAGCAAATGCCAGATATCTTTTCATCTGTTAGTACATAGTGAACATCCCAAATCTGAAATGCTTCAAAATCCAGTACTTTTTGAGCACTGACATAATGCTCAAAGAAAATTCTCTTTGGAGCATTTCAGATTTCAGATTTTTGGATTTTGGATGGTTCACCCTGAAATCGGAAACACGTGGTTTGAAGCATTTCAGAGAAGAGATAGAATGGAATACTCAACATGTGTCTGAATATATATCTCTAAAAGATGTCTTTTTTAAAAGTACTATAACTACATTATCATTAGCACACTTTTAAAATAAACTCCAAATCAAGTACTTAAGTGTTTGGTTTTTTTTTTTTAAGACGGAGTTTCGCTCCTGGTTGCCCAGGCTGGAGTGCAATGGCATGACCTTGGCTCACTGTAACGTCTGCCTCCCTGGTTCAAGGGATTCTCCTGCCTCAGCCTCCTGAGTAGCTGGGATTGCAGGCATCTGCCACCATGCCTGGCTAATTTTTTGTATTTTTAGTAGAGACGGGGTTTCACCGTGTTGGCCAGCCTGGTCTCGAACTCCTGACTTCAGGCGATCCACCCCCGTTGGCCTCCCAAGTGCTGAGATTACAGGTATGAGCCACCGCGCCCAGCCATGTTTAGTGTTTTCTAATTGTGTTAAATGTCAACTTTCCTTGATGAGGTCCTCTTACTGTGATTGTTTAACATTTCTCTTAGGCATATGAGGTCCCCCATTTCTGTCTCTCTCTTTCCCCTCTTCCCTTGCAGCTTTATTGGTTGAGAAACAGGATTATTTGTAGAAATTTTAACAGTATGAATTTTGGTATTTGCTTCCTTGTGGTGATTACAATGGTGGTTGGCCCACTGTATTTCCTGTAAATTGGTTAACTGTAGCTAGAGCAATTCTGTCTAATGTAGTAGCCACACCAAAACTTTAAGGTAAAATTAATTTTCATGTTTTATTTAACACACATATCCAAAATATTACCATTTTAGCATGCAATGATATAAAATTATAGGTGAGATATTTTAAATTATTTTCCATATTCAGTCTCTGAATACTGTTGCATGTATATTTTACATATCATGTATATTTTGCACATAGCATATCATAATACATATCACATATTTCGTATCATATATATATTTTACATATACCATGTCTCAGTTTGGACTACCCACATTTTAAGTGCTGAGTAGCCCCATGTGGCTGGTGGCTACTGTACTGGATAGCACAGATCTAGAGCCTTGATCAGATTCAGATTTGATTTTTTTGTTTGTTTTTACAGTTCTACTTCATAAGTGGCATTCGGTCCCAGGGTTTTTTCTGTTGTTTTTGGATGATGTCTGCAGCCATTGATGATCAGTGTGTAGATCCCTTAATTCACTAGGTGTTACAAAATGATGATATTCAATTTTTATTATTCCTTTTTCATTGGTTAGCTGGAGTGCTTCTAAAAAAAGAAACTCTCCTTCATCTACTATTTTGATCGCCCACTGGTACTGTTTGTATAGGAAAGACAGAGTAAATATCTTATTCTTTCCCTATACGTACCAGTTTCTCAAAATAATGAGTTCTGCCAGCACTTATCATTTTTTAAAATCACTGTGGGCATATGGATGGATGGAAGCATATTTGATTTATTTTAATCCATTGCAGTCAAATTACTTACAGTTCTGTCAGGTTACTTTATTTTGAATTTTTAAATAACATAATACATTAGGCAAATCATAGGTGTACACAGATTGATATATTTTCAAAGTGAATATGCCTATTTGCCCACAACTCAGATCAAGGAAGAACATTTACTTTACGTCCCGAAGCTCCCCCACCTCCATCCCTTCGAGTTACTTCATACACAAAGGTAACCCTGTCCCAACTTCTAACAGTGTAGATCACTTTTCCCTGTTTCTTGTTTATGTTTTTGTTTTAAGACAGTCTCACTGTGTCACCCAGGCTGGAGTGCAGTGGTGCAATCTCGGCTCACTGCAAACTCCACCTCCTGGGTTCAAGTGATTCTCGTGCCTCAGCCTCCCAAGTAGCTGGGATTACAGGCATGTGCCCCCATGCCTGGCTAATTTTTGTATTTTTAGTAGAGACGGGGTTTCACCAGGTTGGCCAGGCTGATCTTGAACATCTGGCCTCAAATGATCTGCCTGCCTCAGCCTCCAAAAGTGCTGGGATTACAGGTGTGAGCCACCATGCCTGGCCACTTTTGCCCATTTTTTGTTTCGTAATTCAGATGTGATGTTTACCAGTTTTCAAGGATTATGAAATTCATGTGTTCATTGTAGGATGTATAAAAACTTAAAATATACAACTCTGAAACCAAGTTTTTTTTCTGAGTACGTAAATATTTTTTCCAAAATTGGTATCTTTCTGCATTTTTCTATACCATTATAACTTTTTTAAACTTTTTATTTTAAAATATTAGATTTATAGAAAAGTTAAACTCTTCTTTAGTGTGGTTACATTCTCCATCTGTAATATAGTTATGTTCATTTGTTACTGTTTTTATTCTGTTTTTGATTTCCTCCCCTCCCCTCATGTCTTTTTGGTTTTAATAGTTTAATTTTTTGATCTGTGAAGGGTAATGTCATGAAACAATACTGTGGTCTAAGAAAGAGAGTTATGCAAAAAGATATACTCAGAGGACTGTCACTCTCTCTTCATCTCTGCTATGCCATTCCCTTCCTCCTCCTGTCTACCTGAATAAATTGTGAGAGATCTTTGTATCTATCTTCAACCTTTAGAAGATGCTATACCTAAAAATAGTTTTATTTTTGATAACTTGAAAGCACTCTAGATTTTAAGTTTCCAAGAATATTTGTAACTGTCCCTACTGAGATTTTCTCAATATTTAATGTACACATAATGGTAACTTTTAAGCTGATGTTCTTTCACTCTTACTTTATAGCTAATGTAGCAGCTTATCTGTGAACTTAATGTTTTTAGCAGACCTTCAGCTTTGATCAACCAGAAAATTACAGGTTCACTGTGTCTGTCTTTCCGACTAATATTTCCTAATCATATCCATCTCATCATTTGTTTCCTAAACTGTTAACCAAGGGATGGACACAGTGATACATTTGTAAATTTAACCAGTGTTGAATACAGTGGGGTGTTGGATGCTAAATTTACTAAATTTCTATTGAGACTTTTATCCTATGGTTGCTGCCTTCTTATTTTGATCATTATTTTAATTCTTATGTTTCCTGAATTTTTATCTTCTATTCATGAAGTTTGTTGAATCCCTGAATATCGTTAGGACCCTTCTTCATTTTATTTTAGAGTGATCTTTTTTACTACCTCCTGGACATTTCTATTTTGGGAATTTAAATGACGGCCCATCAGATCAGTCCAAATATACATATTTTGCCTTACCTTTTAACATGTAGCACTATTCCCTTTGTACTTCATTTGTGTTGCAGTGATCACAATTTGAAATTATGTAATTGAAACTTCATTGAAGGGCAGGGGTCATCTGTTTTATTCACTGAAACCTACCTTGTCCTTCTCCTTAAGTTCCTGGCTCAACCTCATCTCCATAGATGATCTTGCTTTCAATTTGGATGGAAAAAAGCCAAAAAGACCAAAACAGAAACACTTTGGAGTTCAGAAGGAATGAGAAGCCGTTCAGTGTAGCAGCTTTGCTCACAGAAGGAACTTGGAGGGTTCACAGAGTGTTCTTAATACCTTTACTATTGGTTTTCCTAATGGGGAACTGCATGTCATCAAGAAAGGGTGTTCCTTGAAGATTTGTGGAAATTTTATTATTTTATGATGTCAGATAAATGAGGTGTATTGATCTAAAAAATTGAGGGATCTTAAGCTTTGGTGTATTCTCTGGACAGTAAGTAGTGTTTTGTATTAGCTCCATTGGTTTTCATGTATCCTCATTGTCTGCTTCTTCTCAAATTCCTTTGGTTGTCCACAGGGTTATCTTAGTCCTTGGGTAATTACATCTTTTCCTTTTGACTTCAGCACTGCTACTTGGTTGACTACTCAAGAGCCATTTTGAACTCCACCCACACTTCTCACTAACTTTCTAACTGGTTTCCCTTTCTCAAATCATTTTCCCATTACAGCCTTCAGGATGAATTCTTATATCATTTGATCGTCGAAAATTCTTTAGTGTCTTCCATTTGAGTTTAAAGTCCTTGGCATTATATTATAAAGCCTGTTGTGATCTGGTACCCTTGCACCTTCTCTCCTTTTACTCTCTCCTTGTTCCATAAATTGTACAACTTAGTCATATCAAAGCCAGCGTCATGTGTAGCATCACACAATCTTGCTGACATGCTGTTTCTTCTGAAACATCTTTCTCCACTTTTTTCCTGGACATCCTTCAAGCTTGATGAACTCAAAACGTTGCTGTCTCAGGGAACAGATCTCTGATCTTCACAGCAGACACAGTCCTTTTGCATCTTCCATAACAGCTCTTATCTATGTGGTGCAAAAGTTATTTATTTTGGTGCAAAAAGCTCATATCTTTTGATGCCATTTTAATGGCAAAAGCTGCAGTTATTTTTGCACCAACCTAAATACCATTTAGTGTTCTCAGCTGCTTCTTTGAGCCCCTAGGGAGGGAGAGGGACCTTTTTTTGGCCTCCCCAACACTTACCATGTCTGATACATGTTTGTTGAATGAATGAATGAATGAATGATACATGGATTGGTTTTGAAATTACAGCCATAAGGTTAGTAAAATTTAACTGGCTGTGTATTTAGATAATGTTAAGGAGTTCTTCATTTGGAGTATACTTTATATCTTCTCTTTTGGATTTGTTCTTCTCCCAGTTATAGGCTCATCCTGTCTTTTCAGTTATTGTGCCCTCCTATCTTTCCCCATTCAGTAATCAGTCCTGAAGGACAGTGAAACTGCCTAGAACTGGGATCTGAAGTTTTGGCAGGAAGCCCTTCAGAGTTGGTGATCTGAGTAGTGTCTTTGCCAGCTGGAGCTTAGAACAAAGAAACTAAACAAACTCTTGGCAGATTGTGAAATACAGCTTTTTGCTTCTTCAGAAATTGTGATTCTAGTCAGTTGATGCTGACTTAGAAATGTGCGCAGAACTCAGAATCCAGCAACCATGAATTGCAGTCACTTTTGATGCCTGCAGTGCTTCACTAATTATTGAATTTGTAGCCTGTTCATTGGAATTATAGTCTGATAGAATTTTGGAGCTAGAAAAGTCTTTTCATTTGAGATAATTTCACCCATTTCCCTAATTGTGTAGGTGAGGAAAATTAAGATCACGTTTCTAGTTGATGATACCTTTCGGCTCTGGTCTCCTTATGCCTGGTCTAGTTCATTTCCTGTTCACCAGCATCTGTCTGAGTTACTAGGGAATGGTAGTGCTAGAATCATGCTTAGAGGAGTAATACATTTTCCCCTTGGTCTCCTACAAGCCTAAATGTCTTGAACCTGAGACTGGTAATTTACCAGAAGCTTTTTGTGCAAGTTATGCAGTTATCCCTTGTGCATGTTTGAAATGAGAAAATGACAAGCAAGTTTACAATAAGGATATTAAGTTTTAAAAATAATTTGATAAGTAATAGATGAATGTAATTAAAAGTACAAAGGGCTCCCAGTGAAAAGTGAGACTCCTCCTACCTGGTTTTCCTTTCTCCACTCCAGAAGCCATGCGTTTCTTAGGTATTCTTCCAAAGGAACCTCCACACCCCTTGCTTTTCTAATGCATCAAAATTCTCAGTCATTAGTGAACATTTTTTCTTTATGGAATGCTCATTAAAATAGTGGTTAATAAATTTACTGGTACTAAAAATGTCTCATATCAATTTTAGCTTTGATTTCTGAGTGATTTACTAGAAGGATTTCTTAGTTTTTCCTCAGCATTTTATTATGATCACTTTCAAACACGTAACAAGATTGAAAGCAGTCTGCCATGGTTACCTGAATCCCAACCACTAAGATTCTACCATTATCATTTTACTGTATTTGCATTATTACATATTTACGTGTTTGTTCATCCTTCCATTCCTCATTCAGAACTCCTCATCAGTACTGCCTGGTTATATAAACAACCATGGATAGAATTTGCTACTTTTGCCACAGAAGCAAATGAAAGGCTAGAGAATGGAGAGAGATGACATGGTCCATCATTTAAACTAGGAATATATTTTTCTGTTTTTTGTTTTTTTTTTTTAAAGATAAGGAGTGGTAAAACATAGTAACTCACTTATATTATGGATTAAGTTGGTTTAGTGGCTGGTCAAGAGCCTAACCACTTCTTTTGATGTTTCATTCTCAATTACTTTCTTCTACATAGGTCTTCCTTCAGATAAATCAAGCTATAATTGATGTTTAACAGAGAAGTTTTTTGAGATGTGGACTTTTCCAGTCCTCCAAAGAAAAACTATATTGATTTTGATGTGGAATGGTGAGAGCAATTATGTTTTAGTATTTTAGTCTTCTCCCTTGTACAAAGCAAGTTTCTCTTATTGCACTCCTCCTGGAGACTGTACATTAAGACCTTAATGTATAGATTGCTTACTAACAGGAGAATAAACATTTTTTATAATTAACAATAAGAACATTAATCCTCTTAAGCATTATTTGATTTTCCTAAAAGCCAAGTGGAAAAACAGATACAGATGCTTCTCAGCTCACTTAGAACAATGTCCTGATTAAACTCATCGTAAGTTGAAAATACTTTACGTCAAAAATGCATTTAATACACCCAACCTACCCAGTATCATAAGCTTAGCCCAGCCTACCTTAACCATGCTCAGAACACTTACATTAGTATATAGTTGGGCAAAATTATCTAACACAAAAGCTTACTTCACAATAAAGTGTTGAATATCTCATATAATTTCTTGAATACTGTAGTGGAAATGAAAAACAATGGTTGTATGGGTACCATCGTAAAGTCAGAAAATCAAGTTGACCCATCCTAAGTCAGGGACTGTCTGTATTCGAAATGTCAAATAGGAATGAGATTTTGTGAATATAGTTTAAAATACATTGCCAGTTTGTTCTGATGGGGAATGGAGAAAGGAAAGCAGGAAGATAAAACACCTGATAGAAAAATGTCACCCACAGTCCCTTTACTTTGAAGGTGATAAACAATGTTAACATTTTGTTTATCCTTTGAGCCTTTATTCCCTACTAATGTTTAAACAAAATTAGGATAACCATGTACACGCTGTTTTACAACCTGCTCCCCCCTTAATGTTAAATAAATTTTCCCATTTGATTAACATCTTCTTACAAAATGGAAAACTGTGTTCATTAAGACCTTAGAGAGGATGATGAACTGTTTCATACCATAGAGTATGTTATCAAAGAGAGTTAAGTGCATGTTATCACATCACTTGCCATTTGGACTGATAGGAAAAAGATTAAAAAGGCAGTAAAACAATGTCACTGGTTAATGAAATAGATCAAGAAAAGATGAACTGAGAGCTATGCAAGCAGTTCTCATTCTTAATATCAGCTGAGATTGGACAAACTGGCAACTCTTGCAGATACTTTTATCATGTGTATGTTAGTGGGACTGTTGATGTTTAGCTGATTTACTCATACTATTGTTGCTTCTCATTGATGGAAGAATTTTTTTTTTTAGTGCATTATCCCGGTCAATGTTTGTTTAAAAAAAAAAAAACAGCTTTGTTTCCAGTGGAGGTCTCATTAAAGGGAGGTTTTGGTGCACTTCATTGGAAGATTGAAACAAATGCTGGTGAGGTTGGCAGTTCTTATCTATGGGAGTGAACAGAGAGATCCTTTCTCTCTCCTCTCTTATTCATCTGGCAGGATAATCTAGTTGCTTTGAATTTAGGGAAGCAGGCTTTCTTTATAGGGACTTACTTTCTAAAATGGCATTAATCTTCAATTAAAGTCGCTGTGGGAAAGGAGAGAATGGGCCCATGGCACCTTGGTAGGCATATTCTCATGATGCTAATGACAGCAGTAAGAGAAAACAGACCTCACTTATGAAATAGGCATTTATAGTAATGGGTGACTAGTGATCTGAGAGTGTCATGCTTAGCCTTCTCCCTTTTTACTTTACCTTTTGATAACTCTGAAGAATCTTTTTTAAATTTACTTGTAAATACATTTTAGGAGTCCCAGTTTCATAAAATGGTAACATTAAGAGAGACTGAAATATTTTAAGTCTCCAAGAGCAATTAACCCCATTTAAAAGAAATTTATTTTGAATTCCTTACTGCTAATTCCTTAGATCAACCTTGTCCAACCCGTGGTTCACAGGTCGCATGCGGCCCAACACAAATTCGTAAATTTTCTTACAACATTATGAGATTTTTTTTTTTGTAATTTTTTTTTTAAGCTCATCAGCTTTCATTAGTGTTAGTGTATTTTATGTGTGGCCCAAGACAATTCTTCTTCTTTCAAGTGTGGCCCAGAGAAGCCAAAAGATTGGACACCCCTGCCTTAGATAATAATTTATTTTCGGCCGGGCGCGGTGGCTCACGCCTGTAATCCCAGCACTTTGGGAGGCCGAGGTGGGCGGATCACGAGGTCAGGAGATCGAGACCATCCCGGCTAAAACGGTGAAACCCCGTCTGTACTAAAAATACAAAAAATTAGCCGGGCGTAGTGGCGGGCGCCTGTAGTCCCAGCTACTTGGGAGGCTGAGGCAGGAGAATGGCGTGAACCCGGGAGGCGGAGCTTGCAGTGAGCCGAGATCCCGCCACTGCACTCCAGCCTGGGCGACAGAGCAAGACTCCGTCTCAAAAAAAAAAAAAAATAATAATTTATTTTCCTCTCTATTGAGAGGCTCATGACAGGAGGTAAAACTGAAGTACGCTATAATTTGGGCAGGACCTGTATTGGAGCTCTTACTGCTTTTATTTTATGATGATTCTTGGGGGAGTTTGGGAGATTGTTCTTTTTTGTTTTTGTTTCTTGTGTGTATCTACGTGTGTGATACATATACTAGAAAAGCTGTTCTTTTTCTTTTGGTTATAAATGAAGCTTGAGAAGTAATTCTGTAGCAAAACTGAAACTAGGTAGAGTAGTCATGTTTGTGACGTTAAAGCAGCCATTTGCCAAACCTATTAATGGTTTTATCTGTTTTCCTGTGACATGTATATTTATAATTACTGTGTTCAGAGGCATTTAACTTTCCCTTCGTTTGTAAAACATAAGAGATGCTTTTAAATGTTTACGTGCCATTAGATATTTTAAGATAATACCGCTCCAACTTTTATTCTTTTCTAAGTATAAAGTTGCAGAATTAGCTTGAATACTGATTTCAGCTTGCATGAAATGAATATAGAGCAGCTGTCCAAATTAAGTTAAAAACAAAGGAAGTTCCTGTGTGTCGTTTCCTGTCTCTTAAAAGCAAACAAAAAACTTTCCATAATTATTAAGGTCCTTTCAGAGTGTCTCTAATATTAACTGTGAATTTTGGTATTTCAGTGTGCTGAATTGTTGGATGTTCTTGCTCACCTTATTAAGGACATTTTCTTAAAAGGTAAATGATTTGTTTTTCTTTTCCTTTATCAGAGCACAGCAATGGAGGAAACAGCTATATGGGAACAACATACAGTGACGCTTCACAGGGTAAGTTTGTGTTGCAGTAAGTAATCTGTGTATAACTCAGGATACTGGCAGCTTTGAAAACAATAGAGGAAAGCCAGATGTCAGGAAGCCAGAGGGAGGAGGAAACTTTTTCTATATTCTTTTGTTTAAAATTAGAGTTACAATAATTTTTTATTAAGGTCAAAAGTGAGCATGATTACTTTTTCATATATCCTTTTGAGTATTTGCTGTTTTTATTCCTGACTTAAAAAGTGATTTGCTTTTAAAATTTTGAGTGATCAGATAAAAGACTCTGTACATTAGTATAAATTATTATAAACTGCTTCAACCTTTCTGAGTATATATGCATCCATTGTGGGAGTGAAGTTTGAAATTAAACCAGGTTGTATGCATAATAAAATCCTAAAAGATACTTAATTGATTTCAAACATGTTGACCCAAGCTGTTGCTTAAACAATTGCAGATGCGAGAAGAGAGATGAGTAGTAGTAAGAGATGAGTTCTTACTTGGTGGGACTAAGAACTTTGTCCGAAGTGAGACTGCTATCAATTTGAATTCTGGTTCTGCCTTTCTCTTGCTTTAGAAATGGGGAAGTGATTCAGTCACCTTCGAAAACCTTGGTTTTCACAAGTTTAAAATGGAACAAGTTGACACCAGTTCATGCTTTACCAATTTGTAAAGTTAAGTGTCTCTCAAAATTCTCTTTCCTCTCTTTCAAGAGAGCTGAATCTACTGATTACTCCCTTTCTTAGAGAATGTATGGAAAGAGAGAATATTTAAATACTGGCCTTGCACTTTACACTTACTATTTCTACCAGCTATATCCATTATTAGGAAGATGGAAAGGGGAAAGAATCATGTTGCTGGACTCTGCCCCTGATTATCTCACGAATGTTTGGATCTGCACATAGTAGATAATGGGTAAATTAATTATTAAAAAATAGTTGTTTTTGGCTGGGTGTGGTGGCTCACGCCTGTAATCCCAGCACTTTGGGAGGCTGAGGCAGGCAGATCACGAGGTCAGGAGATTGAGACCATCCTGGATAACATGGTGAAACCCTGTCTGTACTAAAAATACAAAAAAATTAGCCAGGCGTGGTGGCGGGTGCCTGTAGTCCCAGCTACTCGGGAGGCTGAGGCGGGAGAATGGCGTGAACCCAGGAGGCAGAGCTTGCAGTGAGCCGAGATCATGCCACTGCACTCCAGCCTGGGTGACAGAGGCGAGACTCCCTCTCAAAAAAAAAAAAAAATTTTTTTTTCTGATAAGATATAGTCAACTTTTTAATGTTTCATTATTAAATGGTGAAGGAAATCATTATCTAATACTAACCTTAACTTTCATAAACCTGCAACATGGCCTTCCTTTGTTTGAAATGTATTGATAGGTAGCATATTTAAATCAGATACATATGATTAAACATATAAAATAACTTCTTACCTTATGACTAGTGGCGATGTCAATGATTTGGTATTTTTTTTATCATATTACATTTATTTTTATTAAGACTTTTATTGTTTTTATTGGTATAATTTACATACAGTGAAATTGACCCTTACAGTTCTGAGTTTTGACAAGCATATACAGTCATGTAACCACCACAATTAAAATACAAGACAACTTCAATACAAAAACTTTCTCTTAACACCTATTTTTAATCATCCCGGTCCCCTCACGTCCACTTAACCAATGATATGGTTTCTTTTTGTACATTCTTGCCTTTTCTAGAATGTCATGTAAATGGACTCATACAACATGTAGCCTTTTGAGGCTGACTTCTTACACTTAGCCTAATGCATTTGGGATTTCTCCATGATGTTACTCTATCAGTAGTTTCTCTTATTGCATAGTAGCATTTCATTGTATGAATGTATAATTGTGTGTTCGTTCTCCAGTTGTGGTATATTTGTGTTTTGCAGTTTCCATTGATTATGAACAAACCTCTAGTGTACAGGTTTTTGTATGAACATAACTTTTTATTTCTTTTGGGTAAATACTTAGGAAAAGACTTGCTGTGGGTCCCATGGTAATTATTTAAGTTTTAAAGAAATGGTCAAATTCTCTGTACCATCTAACACCACCACTGGCAGTGTATAAGAGCTCCCGTTGTTGCGTATCCTCATCAGCACTTGATATGGGTTGAGCATCCCAGATCTGAAATCTAAAATGCAAAATTCAAAACTTTTCGAGTGATGACGTCATGTTTAAAGGAAATGCTCATTGGAACATTCTGAATTTTGGATTTTCAGATTATGGGTGCCGAACTGGTAAGTATAACGCAAATATTCCCAAATCCAAAACATTTGAAATCTGAAACATTTCTGGTCCCAAGCATTTCAGGTAAAGGATACTCAATCCGTATTGTCAGATTTAGAAAGAAAAGAAAAAAAAAAAAACGCTGGGCACAGTGGCTCACACCTGTAATCCCAGCACTTTGGGAGGGAGAGGCTGGTGGATTACCCGAGGCCAGGAGTTTGAGACCAGCCTGGCCAACGTGGTGAAACCCCGTCTACTAAAAATACAAAAATTAGCTGGACGTGGTGGCAGGCGCCTGTAGTCCCAGCTACTTGGAGGCTGAGGCAGGAGAATCACTTGAACCCAGTAGATGGAGGTTGCAATGAGCCGAGATCACGCCATTGCATTCCATCCTGGGCAACAGAGCAAGACCAATTGCCATTCAGTGGGTATCTAGCGGTATCACACGTGGTTTTAGTTTGCTTATCTCTGAAGATTAATGATCTCTTGATGTGCTCATTTGTTGTCCATATATCTTTGGTAAAATGTATTCAAACCTTTTGCCCATTTTTAATTGGGTTTTTCTTATTATTGAGATTTTATAAAATTGCGGCAAAATACAACATAGACTTCACGTATTCAAGACTGTTGCCCATTTTTAAGCTCTATGTTGCTTGTTTTTTAGTTGTTGAGTTGCAGTAGTCTTTATATATTTTGGATATTAACCAGTTGTTAAATATATGATTTGCAAATATTTTTTTCCTTTCCATGGATTGCCTTTTTACTCTGTGATTATTCTTTTTGGTACACAGAAGTTACTGAGTTTTGAGATTTTTTTTTTTTTTTTTTAACGTATTCAGGATACAGATTCTTTATCAGGTATTATTTTGTAAGTATTTTTTTCCCATTCTGTGATTTGCCTTTTCTTTCTCTTAATGACAGTGTCTTTTGCAGTACATGCTTTAAGTTTTGATAAAGCTCTGGCCAGGTGTAGTGGCTCAAGCCTGTAAACCCAACACTTTGGTAGGCCAAGGCAGACAAATTACTTGAGGCCAGGAATTTGAGACCAGCCTGGCCAACATGGTGAAAGCCTGTCTCTACTAAAAATACAAAAATTAGCTGGGAGTGTTGGCATGTGCCTGTAGTCCCAGCTACTCGGGAGGCTGAGGCAGGAGAATCGCTTGAGCCCAGGAGGCAGAGGTTGCAATGACCCTGACATCGTGCCACTGCACTCCAGCATGGGAGACAGAGTAAGACTCTGTCTCAAAAGGAAAGAAAGAAAAATTTTTGATAAAGTCCAGTTTGTTAATTTTTGCCTTTATCAATCATGTTTTTGGTTTTGTATCTCAGAAATCTTTGCCAAACCCAAAATCAAGAATAATTTTTCCTCTGTTTTCCTTTAAAAGTTTTATTTCAGTTAAATTCTGTTTGTGCCATGAGATACGGGCAGAGAGATTTTTTTTTTTCATACAGATGTCCAGTGTTTATTTTGAAGAAGCATTTTGTTTGAAAGATTATACTTTGTCCGTTTAATTGCCTTTCTCGCTTTGTCAAAAATCAATTGACCATATATTTCTGGACTCCCTTGTCTGGTCTGTTGATCTGTGTGTCTGCCTTTTTACCAGTTACTTATGCATCGATTACTGTAGCTTTATATTAAACGTGGAAATCAGGTAGGGCAAATCCTCCAAATACTTTTTAAAATTATTTTGGCTATTCTAGCTCCTTTGCCTTTCTGTATAAATTTTAGAATAATTTTGTCAACTTTTATCTTCCTTCCCTCAAAGAAAATAAAACTGCTGGGATTTTATTGGGATTGCATTTGAATCTACAAATCATTGGGGATAATTAACATTTTAACAATATTGAATATTCCAAACTATGAATATAATGTTATCTCCTCATTGTTTTATTTCTTTAATGTATTGTAGTTTTTGGCAAATAGATCCTGCACACATTTTTGTTAGGTTTATAGTTAAATATCTCATGTTTCTTGGTGCTATTGTAAATAGTTTTTTTTTTTTATTTCAATATTTGATTGTTCCTTGTTACTGTGTAGAAATGCAGGTTTTTTTTTGTTTTTTTTTTTATAGCAACCTTGCAGTCTTAAAATTACTAGTTGTAGGAACTTTCTTGTTTAGATTCCTGGGTGTTTTCCTATGTGTAGGCAGTCATGTCATCTGTGTATAGAGGCAGTTTTTTTCCCTCCTTTTGAATGCTCTTTATTTCTTTTTCTTGCCTTATTGCACTAGTTTGGACTTTCAGGATGTTGTTAATTAGGAATGGTGAGCAGGCATACTTACCTTACTCTTAATACTGGGTAAAAGCTGTCTTTCACCAGTAAGTGGTTTTTTTTTTGGTTGATGCCTTTTATCAGGTTAAGGAAGTTCCCTTGTATTTCTATTTTGCCATTTGTTAGATTGAGGAAGTTCCCTTTTATCTTAGTTTACTGAGAGGTGGTTGTTTTTAATCATGAATGAAAGTTGAATTTTTGTCAGTGCTTTTTTTTGTGTGTGTATGACTGGGATTATATGGGTTTTCTTCTTAATCTGTTGATATGGTGGATTTCTTGTTGTTTGTTGAACAGCCTTGCATTCCTCAGATAAATTCTACTTGATTGTTTACATGTTATCCATTCCAGATGTTGCTGGATTGATTTGCTGATGTTTTGTGAAGATTCTTGTTTTATTGGTCAGTACTTTTTTTTAACATTGTTTATATCTGGTTTTGGTATCATGGAAAAGCTGTACCTCAAAACAAGGAGTTGGGACGTGTTCCTTCCTTTTGTGGTTTCTGGTAGAGTTCATGTACAATTGATTTTATTTTTTTCTTAAATATTTGTTAGAATTCACTAGTAGAGTTACCTGGTGCTAGAGTTTTCTTTGTGGGAAGGGTTTTCATTACAAATTCAGTTTCTTTAATTTTATATAGGAATATTCAGGTTATGTATTTTTTCCTTGTTACAGTTTGTTTTGTTTTGTTTTGTTTTTTGGTAGTCTTTTTTTTTTTTTTTGAGACAGAGTCTTGCTGTATCACCCAAGCTGGAGTGCAGTGGTACCATCATGGCTCACTGCAACCTCTGCGGTTGAAGCGATTCTCCTGCCTCAGCCTCTCGAGTAGCTGGGACTGTAAGCATGCACCACCAGCCTGGCTAGTTTTTGTGTTTTTAGTAGAGCCGGTGTTTCACCAGGTTGGCTGGGCTGGTCTTGAACTCCTGACCTCAGGCAATCCTCCCACCTCAGCCTCCCAAAGTGCTGGGATTACAGGCGTGAGCCACCATGCCTGACTGGTAGTTTGTGTCTTTCAAAATATTTGTCTTTATCATGTAAGTTGTTAAAATTATGAGTATAACATTGTTCATAATATTCCCTTATTTTTAATTTTGGATGGTTCTATAATGCTGTTTTGTTTTGTTTCATTATTTATATTGGTAATTTGTGTCTTATTTCTTGGTCAGTCTGGCTAGAGGTTTGACAATTTTATTGATCTTTTCAAAATACCTACTTTTGTTTTCAGTGACATTCTTTATTCTGTTTTCTGTTTCATTGATTTCTGCTCTTATTTTAATATTTTCATCCTTTTGTTTACCTTGAGTTTAAGCTCTTTTGATAGTTTTTTTTACTGGAAGCGAGATTATTCATTAGAGACCACAGATGCAATTTGCTATTACCACATTACATCTTTTCCTTACTACCTTTTCAGTTTTTTCAATAAGCAAAATAACATAAGACACCTTTAAATTAGCTAAAGTATGTTTCCCTTTGTATGCTCTTGCTTGGTTTTGTTAGGAATTCATGTGTAGGAAAATACTAAATGTATTTGCCACAGACCTGTGTCTCATTAGCTCAGGGAAAGTGGGAAAGATCCTCAATATTAAGAAAACAGAATCTGATTTTTCTGACCTTGTTAGAAGTGTCATACCAATTCATTGTGGTAAGTAATGGCTCAGGCAAGTCTGTTATGATAATGCCGTTTTAGATGATTAATGTAGGTTCCATTTTGTACCTGGCTTCTTTCTGTGCCTCAGTTATTTTTTTGCCATGAGAGGGCAGCCCAGAAAATGTCATCAGAAGATACATTGAGATAAGAGAGGTATATAACTCACAATTCTTCAGTTGTTGAATATGCTAACTGTTGTACTAGGAAAACAGCTGGGTTTCCTCTGAGCCTCATCACAGAGAGACTATGACAAAATCAAAGTCCTCACCAGCCATCCCTCCAGGAATGGTTTTTTGGTTGTTTTTTGTTTGTTTTTGGTTTTTTGAATTAAAAAAGAAATATTTTCAGAGCAAGCAGTAATAAAAGAAAAGAAAAAAAGAAAATCATCAAAGAAAAGCCCAGGACCTGATGGCTTCACTGCTGAACTCTACCAAACATTTAAAGAAGAATTATATCACAAAAGCTAAGAAGAGAATACTTCCAAATTCATTCCAAAGGGCCAGTATTTCCCTGGTACCAAAACCAGACAAAGACGCAACAAAAAAAGAAAACTACAGGCCAGTATCTTTGAACAGAGATGCAAAATCCTTAAACCAAATTCAACTACATATTTAAAAGATCATTCATTGTAATCAAGTGGGATTCATCCCAGGGATGCAAGGATGGTTCAACATACTCTGATATGGTTTGTGTTTGTGTCCCTGCCCAAATCTTACATTTAATTGTAATCCCCAGTGTTGGAGGAGGGGCCTGGTGGAACGTGATTGGATCATAGGAGTGGAGTTCTCATGAATGGTTTAGCCCCATCTCCCCTTGCTACTATATAGTTAGTGAGTTCTCATGAGATCTGATTGTTTAAACCTCCCTGCTCTCTGTCTCTCTCCTACTCTGGCCATGTGTGTTCCCCTGTTGCCTTCTGCCCTGATTATGCATTTCCTGAGGCCTCACCAGAAGCCAAGCAGATGCTGTCATGCTTGCTGTACAGCCTGCAGAATAGTGAGCCAATGAACTCTTTTTTTATATAAATTGCCCAGTCTCAGGTATTTCTTTATAGCAATGTGAGAACCACCTAATACATATTCAGATCTGTAAATGCGATACATCACATCAAAAGAATGAAGGACATAACCATATGTCCATTTCTATAGATGCCAAAAAAGTATTCAGTAAAATTCAGCATCCCTTCATGATAAAAACTCAACTGGATGTAGAAGGAACATGCCTCAACACAATAAAAGCCACAGACAGATAAACCCACAGCTAGTATCATGAGGGGGGAATCTAAAAGCCTTTCCTGTAAGATCTGGAAGAAGGCAAGGAAGCCCACTTTCACCACCTTTCTTCAACGTGGTACTGGAAGTCCTAGCCAGAGCAATTAAACAGGAGAAGAAAAGAAAAGGCATCCAAATTGGAAGGAAAAATTTAGATTACCCTTGTTTGCAGACAATAGTATCTTAAATTTAGAAAAACCTAAGGACTCTACCAGAAAACTGTTAGAACTGAGGTTTAGTAAAATTGCAGGATGCAAAGTCAGCATATAAAAATCAGCAGCATTTCTGTATGCCAAGAGCAAACAATCTAGAAAATAAACCAAGAAAATAATCTTATTTCCAATAGCTACAAATAAAATAAAATAAAATACCTAGGAATAAACTTAACCAAAGAAGTGAAAGATTTCTACAATGAAAACTATAAAACACTGATGAAAGATATTGAAGACGGCACCAAAAAGTGGAAAGATACTCCATGGTCATGGATTCAGTATTGTTGGAATCAGTGTTGTTAAAATG
Organism: Homo sapiens; assembly: GCF_000001405.40. Classification (NCBI taxonomy): domain Eukaryota; kingdom Metazoa; phylum Chordata; class Mammalia; order Primates; family Hominidae; genus Homo; species Homo sapiens. Next base: position 2,076,823 of record NT_187660.1, on the reverse strand, counting down.
TCCACACTACCCAAAGGAATTTACAGATTCATTGCAACCCTTGTCAAAACACCAATGACATTCTTCACAGAATTATGTTTTAGGGTTGGAAAAACAATCCTAAAATTTTTGTGGAACCACAAAGACCCAGAGTAGGCAAAGCAATCCTGGGCAAAAAGAACAAAACTGAAGGAATCACATTACATACATTATGTGACTTCAAATTATACTCCAGAGCTATAGCATGGTGCTGGCATAAAAACAGACACAGACCAGTGGAACAGAATAGAGAGCCCAGAAAAAAATCCACACATTTACCTCCAACTCATTTTCAACAAAGCCACTAAGAACATTGGGGAAAGGACAGTCTGCAATAAATGGTGCTGGGAAGACTGGACATCCACATGCAGAAGAATGAAACTGGACCCCTATTTCTTGCCGTATACTAAAACAAATCAAAATGGATTAAGCACCTGAAGTTATGAGACTACTAGAAGAAAACATTGGGAAACACTAAAGGTCATTGGTCTGGGCTAAGGTTTCTTGAGTGTGACCTCCAAAGAACAGGCAACCACAACAAAATGGACAGTGGGATCACATCAAGCTCAAAGCTGCTGCACAACAAACAGTCAACAAAATGAAGAAACAACCCACAGAATGAAGAAAATATTTGCAGACTACCCAACTGATGAGATAATAACCAGAATATGTAAGGAGCTGAAACAACTCGATAGGAAAAAGAAATCCAATTTAAAAATGGGCAAAAGATCTGAAGCACAAGAGCTGAATAGATGTTTCTCAGGAAGACATATGGGTAAATGGTCAACAGGTATATGAAAAAATGGTCAACATCACTAATCAGATAAATACTAATCGAAAGTATAATGAAATATTTCATCCCAGTTAAAATGGCTTTTATCAAAAAGACAGGCAATAACAAATGCTAGTGAGCAGGCAGAAAAAAGAGAACTCTTATACGTTGTTGATAGGAATGTAAACCAGTACAGTCACTATGAAGAATAGCATGGAGGCCGGGCATGGTGGCTCACGCCTGTAATCCCAGCACTTTGGGAGGCCGAGGTGGGTGGGTCATGAAGTCAGGACATCGAGACCATCCTGGCTAACACGGTGAAACCAGCCGAGCGTGGTGGTGGGCGCCTGTAGTCCCAGCTACTCGCGAGGCTGAGGCAGGAGAATGGCGTGAACCTGGGGGGTGGAGCTTGGAGTGAGCCTAGATTGCTGCACTGCACTCCAACCTGGGCAACAGTGCCAGACTCTGTCTCAAAAAAAAAAAAAAAAAAAAAAAAGAATATTATGGAGGCTCCTCAAAAACTGAAAATAGAGCAACCATATGATCCAGCATTTCCACTGCTGAGTATATATCCCAAAGAAAGGCCTGGGTGCGGTGGCTCATGCCTGTAATCCCAGCACTTTGGGAGGGCAAGGTGAGCGGATCACCTGAGGTCAGGAATTCAAGATCAGCCTGACCAAAATGGAGAAACCCCGTCTCTACTAAAATACAAAAAATTAGCCAAATGTGGTGGTGTGCACCTGTAGTCCCAGATACTCAGGAGGCTGAGGCAGGGGAATTGCTTCAACCCGGGAGGCAGAGATTGCAGTGAGCCGAAATCGCGCCATTGCACTCCAGCCTGGTGACAGAGTGAGACTCCGTCCAAAAAAAAAGGAAACGAGTATATCAAAGGGATAACTGCACTCCCATGTTTATTGCAGCATTATTCGTGATAGCCAAGTTATAGTATCAACATAAGTGTACATCAGTTGATGAAGGGATAAAGAAAATGTAAATATGTTCCATGGAATATTAGTCAACCATAAAAAATAATGAAATCCTGTCATTTGCAACAACATAAATGAGACTGGAGGACATTACGTTAAATGAAATAAGCCAGGCACAGAAAGACGAATACCACATTTTCTCACTCGTGGGAACTAAAAAAAAAAAAAAAAAGAAAAATGAACTCACGGAGACAGAGAGTAGAATGATGGTTACCAGAGACCGGGAAGGGTGGTAGGGAAGTAGGGATGGAAGACTTGGTTAATGGGTGCAAAAATATGGTTAGAAGGAGTAAGATACAGTGTTTAGTAGCACAATAGGGCAACTATCGTTAATTTATTGTGTATTTCACAGTAACTAGAAGAGTGGAATTGAAATGTTCGTAACAGCAAAGAAATGATAAATACTTGAGGTTATGAATATCCCAGTTACCCTGATTTAATCGTTACACATTATACTTGTATCAAAATGTATTGATGTGGATCCCATAAATATATACAACTACTGTTTACTATAATAATTAAAAATAAAAACATTTTTAAAATCTTTGGACAATGAAAAAGTCTTGCCAGTGGGAGCTGAGTTATGCCAAAGCATAACTTAATTGACTTCATTCTCTGAGGCTACAGAATGGTACTTTCAACTGTCTTAGTTGTTTGGTGTTCTAAGATGATGCCGAATAAAATTTAGACTATCTAGAGCAGGATCAGCAAAGTATTTATATAAAGAGCCAGATAGTAAATAAGTATTTTAGGCTTTGCAGACCATAAATCTCTGTCAAAACTACTCAACCCTGCAGCCGTATTGTAGAAGCAACCATAGACAACAGGCAAACGAATGTGGCTGTATTCCAACTGTGGGCCATAGTGTGCTGACTGCTGATTAGAGCAGTGGCTCTCCAGGTTTTATTGTAAAGAGGGATCAACTGCACAGTCCCTGCCCATCAGAGATTCTTACTCAGTTTGTCTGGGCTGGGATCCCTAACACGTATTTTAAATAGGCTTCAGTTTGAAATGGAGGGCTATGGCCTCTGGCATCCCACTTTTAAGAAACACAGAGGAATCAGAAAGCTTGTTCTCTCTGAGGTGAGCAAGTGGGCTTTTGGCAGTGGTAGTAAGTGAAGGGGATAATTTGAAACTGTATTCTTTTGGCAATAACCTGGAGTATAGATACTCTGTATTGCCAAATAAAGACAAATCCATATTCTTTGACATCTGACAGTCAATTTTATGAAAGTTGGAGGTAATGTTATAAAAAAGCCATTTAATTGATGAGAACCTAACATTTTCTGCTATTTACTGTCTAGAATAATATATGCTTCATTCTTTCATTTGTATTTCCAGAAGATATTTTCTTCATCTTATATTTCTAGAAACCATTGAAACCCTATTCATTCTTAAAGACTAAGTAATTTTTTAGTGTTCTACTGTATGCCAAGCACTGTTGTACTCTTGTGGGCCCTGGAATTATATCAGAAAAAAACAGGCAGAATTTGCCTCCTCATGGATTCTGATCTCTCTACTGGTCCTCAGTGACAGTTGAATATGTACATCAGATAGTTGTTTACCCCATCTCCTACTACATTATAACTTTCACAAGGGTTGGAAATCTTAAGTCCGTTTTCTATCTCCTTAGTGCTTGGTACCTAGTTCTGCCCCAAAAAACTTAATTCCCTAGGACACTAACCATGTCGAATAAAGTCACTCTTGGGAGGTCTACAACAGCACCGCCCAGTAGCAGTATAATATAAACCACATATGTAAATTTAAATTTTTTAGTCTTCTTATTAAAAACTGTAAAAAAAAAGAAAAACAGGTGAAACTAACTTTATAATAGGTCTTATTTAGTATGCACAAAATATATTTCAACATGTGATAAGTTTAAAAATTGATGAGTTGATCTTACAAAATTGTTCACTTTTCAATGTCAGCACCTTTCAGGTAACACTAGCCATTTTTGAAGTGCTTAATAGTCACAAGTCTGATGCTTATCGTATTAGTGTAGGTGTGTAGCTTCAGATGGTAACCACATGTGTTCACCTCTCCTGCTGCTGTAACACACCCACACCTTTTTAGTTTTCAGATACTCGCCCTTAGAAAATGCATACATTTTTCTAATTCTTTGGGAAATGAAGTGAATTCCTCAGGAATGAGTTGCTCGTCGTTACTCTGCTTTTTCATTTTCTAAAATAGAATTATGTAAAAGATTAAATATTTGTATACTAAAGTATTAAAAGATGAGTATAGAAAGCAAGGAAACTAGTCAGGTAATTTTAAGGGTGAGCCAGTGAGTGTTTAAACTAGGGAGGTGATTGCATAAGAGGTAAACTTGGGATGGGGTGCCAAGGCAATGCACTGGAGGGAAGAACAGTCATTAACAGACCCAGGACAGCTGGTTAACCACATGCAAAATAATGAATTTGGACCCCTACCTCACAAGATTTACAAAAATTAAGTTTAAATGAACCATAGGTGTAAGTATAAGAGCTTAAACTCTAAACCTCTTTGAAGAAAACACAGGGATAATTATTCGTGACCTGGGTTAGGCAATGGTTTATTGGATATGATGTCAAAAGTATAAGCAACAAAAGGGAAAACAGATACATTGGACCCCATCAAAATTAGAAACTTTTGTGCTTCAAAGGACACCATCAAGAAAGTGAGAAGATATTCCACAGAATGGGAAAAGATACTTGCAAATCATACATCTGATAAGGGATTTGTTTCTAGAATATATAAAGAACTTTTATAACTGAACAATAAAAAGACAAATCAGTTGAAAAATAGCAAATGATTTGAATAGATACTTCCTCAAAGAAGATGTATGAATGTGCAATAAATGCATGAAAAGATGTTCAGTATCATTAGCCTTCAAGGAAATGTATATCAAAAAGTATAGTGAAATACCCCTTCACACCCACTAGGATGGCTGTACTCAGAAAGACAATAAAGGTTGGCAAGGATGTGGAGAAATTAAAACCTTTGTACATTGCTGATAGGACTGTAAAATGGTGCAGCTGCTGTAGAAAACAGTTTGAGAATTCCTCATAGAATTATTATGGGACATAGCAATTCCTCTCATAGGTATACACCCAAGAGAAATGAAAGCAAATGTCTACATAATAAGTTACACATGAGTGTTAATGGCACCATTATTCATAATAGATCTGGCTATATTAGCTGATGAATAATGAATAAACATGATATATACATAGAATGGAATATTATTTAGCAATAAAAAGAAATGAAGTACTGATACATGCCACAACATTGATGAACCTTGAAAACATTATGCTAACTGAAAGATGCCAGTCATAAAAGAACATATATTATGTGATTCCATTTATAAGAAGTATTCAGAATAGGTGAATAGAGAGTTATATTAGTGGTTGATGAGGCTAGGGGATTGAGAGATGATGGCTAAAGAATGCGGAGTTTCTTTTTAGGGTGGTGAAAATGTTATAAAATTTTGATGGGGTCCAATGTATGTGTTTTCTCTTTTGTTGCTTATACTTTTGACATCATATTCAGTAAGCTGTTGCCTAACTCAGGTCATGAAGATTTATTCCTGTGTTTTCTTCAAAGAGGTTTAGAGTTTAAGCTCTTATACTTAGACCTATGGTTCTTTAAACTTAATTTTTGTAGATGTTGTGAGGTAGGGGTCCAAATTCATTATTTTGCATGTGGTTAACCAGCTGTCCTGGCACCATCTGTAACCAGTGATGGTTACAACTGTGTACATACTAAAAACCATTGAATCATACACTTTAAAGAGTGAATTTATGATATATGAATTATATATCAGTAAAGTGATAAAAGGAATTTTATCGGTCAAGCAGCTCCAAACTGCTGTCTGATAAAGTATTTAAGCTGAAGCAAACATGTAATCTAAGATACACTCCCTTTATCTGGTAGAAGGCTATTGTTTGTACTTAGTACATTATAAGTTTTTCAGACCCTTCATTATATTTGTCTGTGAAGTAGGTGTTAACCATGTGAAGTAAGGTAAGTCTCAGAAAGGTCTAGTAAAATGCCCCTTAAGAGCGAGAACTTGAACCCAGGTTTGGACTCAGCATACAGTGCTCTTTCCATTTATATGTCACGTTTAATTTACAGTTTTTAAATGTGGCTGGCACAGTGGCTCACACCTGTAATTCCAGTACTTTGGGAGGCCAAGGCAGGAGCATCACTCTAGGCCAGGAGTTCAAGACCAGTGGAGGCAACATAGTGAGACCCTATCTCTACACACCCCCAAAAAATTTAGCCAGGCATGGTCGTGTCCACCTGTAGTCCCAGTTACTTCAGGAGGCTGAGGCGATAGGATCACTTGAACCCAGGAGTTTGAGGTTACAGTCAGCTGTGATTGCACCACTGCACTCCATTCTGGGCAACAGAGTGAGACCCTGTCTCTAAAAAACAAAAAGTTTATGGAACATAATTTCTGAAATTAAGAACTCATGTAATTCACATAAACTAAACAAAGGTCTCTCTATACATGCAATAAAGTAAATAAAATAAAGGGTAGGTAATTTGGCAATAGAGGAGCCAATGTTTGTTTAGAACATTGGTGGTGAGGCTAATTTTATAGAGAAAATGACAGTCTTAAAGAAGGGGACTTGGAGGTATTCTGTAAGAAGCTGGAAATAAGAAAATGGAACAGGAATGAGAAATGAAAACTATGATTTGGGTATCAGAACTAAAAGAATGAGAGTAAGAATAAACAGGAAGACACACACAATTTGACTAGCCAAGGGACATAACTGTTAAAAAACCGAATCAATCTGACAGTCATAGAAGATTGAACAGCATTTTGAGAACTACCAAGTTGGTAGAAAATCTGCAGTGCTTGGATCTTGTGACTTCTAATCTGTTTGGGCTTACCACTAACTAATTTTGAAAAGGCCTTTAAATCTCTTGGGATCCCCATGGAATCAAAGTATATTAAAGTTGATAACATTAAAATCTCTCTTATTCAGATGAGGGAACTCAAATCTGTGGAGGTCTTCCATAAGGTCATGATTGGCAAGTAGTATAGAGACACACAGGACCCAGGCCTGCTGACTTCAGCTGTAAGAAGGGAGCTGGAACAGACAATTGCTGAGGCTCCATCTGGTTTTCAAATTCTGTGATCTCAGTGGCCACTGTGAAAACAAATGGCTAGAACAGGTTCCATTGAATGTTCATTGAAATTCCATTGAAAGGTTAATAGGAAGAATAAGAGGAGAAAAGTAAGACTAGAATTAGTGAGGAAAGTTATAATTAGCGGATTGTACAAGCCTAATATGGAAAAATGGAAGAATAAAATAAAAGGCAACAAGTGGAATCCTTAAGTAGGTAATTGGGCATATTCAATAGGAACAGAGAGGAATCTTTGGAGAATAAATTAAGCAGTTATTTCTGAAACAGGAGCAACTTTCAGGAATTTTTTTTTAAGGAACCAAGAAATACTTTAACCAGTGGGTGGGCAGACCTTTTGTGTGAAAGGCCAGATTGTAAATAGCTTGACTTTGTGCACCACAAGGTCCCTGTTGGAACTGTTCAGTGCAAAAGCAGTCATAATTATATGTAAAGGAATGGGCATGGCTAGTGTCCAGTAAAACAGGACACATAACTGAAAAAATTCCAGGACCCTGTTTCCAAGTTCTAACATAAATTCAGTTGTCTAGCCAGGCGTAGACATATAAACACAGAAGTTATTGCTGCTCATGGTTGCTTAAGGTTTCAAAAGTTTGAAATACGGCAAGTCTTTGATGCTCTTTCTTCCATCCCCAGAAGCTAAAAGTTATCCTGTACATTTTCTCATGTAAACATACTTTTAAAAATCAACTGTCTTGGCAGAACTATACAATTTTTACGTTGAAGATAGATGAGAAAAAAATGGCACATTTTCCATTTCTTTTGAAAACCCCTTGGGAAGGTACCATGATAGTCTCTTAGTAAGTCTAATACAGAGAGCATATTATTGCCTCAGAGTAATCTACCTCTGTCAACTTTGATTACTGGAAACAGTAAAAATTTTTTTTTGCGCATGCTATCATTTATTTCTCTGTTTTAAAATGGTTTTTACCATATCTAGATCATATAGCTGTTACATCATTTAACCCTTTAATCCTCGTTTAATCTTGGTGTTATAAATAAGTACAGTATATATGTGATGCTTATCACCAGTCCTATCCATGTATCTCGTCATTTTGATTGTCAGAATATTATTAGATTCCTTAGGATGAGATCATAAAGACAATATTTCCTGTGTTCTTGCATGTTGACTGGTTTATTTGTGTTTTTTGTACTTGAAGGTCAGTTGTGTTGAATATAAAATCCTTGACTCGGCTGGGTACGGTGACTCATGCCTGTAATCCCAACACTTTGGAAGCCGGGGATGGATCACCTGAGGTCAGGAGTTCGAGACAAGCCTGGCCAACACGGCGAAACCCCATCTCTACTAAAAATACAAAAAAAAATTAGCCAGGCTTGGTGGTGGGCACCTGTAATCCCAGCTACTTGGGAGGCTGAGGCAGGAGAATCACTTGAACCCGGGAGGCAGAGGTTGCAGTGAGCCGAGATCAAGCCATTGCATTCCAGCCTGGAGGAGAAGAGCGAAACTCTGTCTCAAAAGAAAAAAAAAATCCTTGAGTTGCTATTTCTTTTTTCTTAAAATTTAGTCATTTAAATATATTTTTGGTATTAGTCCTCCTGAGTTGATATTCTCAGATAACTCACATATTTACAGTGATGTAAACTCTTTCAGTACCTAGTTTCAATTTTTTCAAAAATAGTATCAGCGAAGTTTTTTTTGTTTTTTAAACTAATTTTTCTCTTCCCTTCTTTTGATTTGCTTCTTTAGGGACTCCTACTGTTCATATATATCATGCTGCTTTTGCTTGTCTTTAGTGTTTGTAATGTTCCTCAAATCCTTTTTATAAAATCTCTGGCGTTCTTTTTTTTAAAAATGTTATTTGTTTATTTAAAAACTTTCATTTTAGGTTCAGGGTACATGTGTAGATTTGTTATGTAGGTAAACTTGTGTCACAGGGGTTTGTTGTACAGATTATTTTGTCACCTAGTACTAAGCCTAGTACCGAATAGTTACTTTCTCTGCTCCTCTCCCACCTCCTACCCTCCACCCTCCGGTAGTCCCCAGTGTGTTGCCTCTGTGTCCATGTGTTCTCATAATTTAGCTCCCGCTTATAAGTGAGAACATGCAGTGTTTGGTTTTCTGTTCCTGTGTTAGTTTGCTAAGGATGATGGCCTCCCATTCCACCCGTGTTCTTGCAAAGGACATGATCTTATTCTTTTTTATGGCTGCATAGTTATACTACATTTACTTCATCTAGTCTTTCGTTGATGGGCATTTAGGTTGATTCCACATTTTAGCTATTGCGAATAGTGCTGCAGTGAACATATACGTGCATGTGTCTTTATGATAGAATGATTTATATTCCTTTGGGTATATACCCAGTAATGGGATTGCTGGCTCGAATGGTAGTTTTCTTTTTAGCTCTGAGGAACTGCCATACTGCCTTCCCCAACGTGTATAAGCAGTCCCTTTTCCCTGTAGCCTTGCCAGCATCTGTTATTTTTTTTTGACTTTTTTAAATATTAGCCATTCTGACAGGTGTGAGATGATATCTTTGTGTTTTTGTTTGTTTCTTTGAGATGGAGTTTTGCTCTTTTTGCCCAGGCTGGAGTGCAGTGGCACAATCTTGGCTCACTGCAACCTCTGCCTCCCGGGTTCAAACGATTCTCCTGCCTCAGCCTCCTGAATAGCTGGGATTACAGGCATGCACCACCACGCCTGGCTAATTTTTGTACTTTTAGTAGAGATGGGGCTTCCCCATGTTAGTCAGGCTGGCCTCGAACTTCTGACCTCAGGTAATCCACCAGCCTCAGCCTCCCAAAGTGCTGGTATTACAGGAGTGAGCCACCACACCCGGCCGCTCATTGTGGTTTCAGTTTGCATTTCTCTGATGATTACTGATGTTGAGCATTTTTTCATATGATTATTGGCAACGTGTTTTTTTTTTTTTTTTTTGAAAAGTGTCTGTTCTTGTCCTTTGCCCACTTTCTAATGGGGTTGTTTTTTTTCTTGTAAAATTGTGTATAGATGATGGATATTAGACCTTTGTCAGATGCATAGTTTGCAGATGTTTTCTCATATTCTGTAGGTTGTCTGTTTACTCTTTTGATGGTTTCTTTTGCTGTGCAGAAGCTCTTTAGTTTAATTAGATTCCATTTGTCAATTTTTGCTTTTGTTGCAGTTGCTTTTGGCATCTTTGTCATGCAATCTTTGCCAGTTCCTATGTCCAGAATGGTATTGCCTGAGTTGTCTTCCAGGGTTTTTATAGTTTTGGGTTTTACATTGATGTCTTTCATCCATTTTGAGTTGATTTCTATGTATGGTATAAGGAAGGGTTCCAGTTTCAATCTTCTGCATATGGCTAGCCAGTTATCCCAGCACCATTTATTGAATAAGGAATCCTTTCCCCATTGCTTGTTTTTGTCAGCTTTGTCGAAGATCAGATGGTCGTATGTGTGGCCTTATTTCTGGGCTCCCTGTTACGTTCCATTGGTCTGTGTGTCTGTCTTTGTTACAGTACCATGCTGTTTGGTTACTGTAGCCCTGTAGTTTAGTTTGAAGCTGGGTAACCTAATGCCTCCAGCTTTGTTCTTTTTGCTTAGGATTGTCTTGGCTTTTTGAGCTCTTTTTTGGTTCCATATGAATTGCATTCCTGATTTGGCTCTTGGCTGTTGTTGGTTTATAAGAATGCTAGTGGTTTTTGTATATTGATTTTGTATCCTGAAACTCTGCTGAAGTTATTTTATCAGCTTAAGGAGCTTTTGCACTGAGACCATGAGGTTTTCTAGATACAGAATCATGTCATCTGCAAACAGGGTAGTTTAACTTTCTCTCTTCCTATTCGGATGCCCTTTATTTCTTTCTCTTACCTAATTGCTCTGGCCAGGACTTCCAGTACTGTGTTGAATAGGAGTGATGAGAGAGGGCATCCTTGTCTTGTGCTGGTTCTCAAGGAGAATGCTTCCAGCTTTTGCCCATTCAGTATGATGTTGGCTGTAGGTTTGTCATATACAGCTCTTACTATTTTGAGGTGTGTTCCTTCAATTTCAATGCCTAGTTTATTGAGAGTTCTTAAGATGAAGGGAGTTGAAGTTTATTGAAAGCCATTTCTGCATCTATTAAGATAATCACGTGGTTTTTGTCTTTAGTTCTGTTTATGTAATGAATCACATTTAATGATTTGCATATGTTGAACCAACCTTGCATCCCAGGGATAAAGCCTACTTGATTGTGGTGGATTAGCTTTTTAATATGCTGCTGGATTCAGCTTGCTAGTATTTTGTTGAGGATTTTTGCATCAATGTGTATCAAAGATAATTTGCCTGAAGTTTTGTTTTTTGTGTCTTTGCCAGGTTTTGGTATCAGGATGATGCTGACCTCATAGAATGAGTTGGGGTATTGTTCCTCCTCTTCAGTTTTTGGGAATAGTTTCAGTAGAAATTGTTCCAGCTCTTGTTTGTACATGTAGAGCAGCTATTAATTCATTTGGTCCTGGGGTTTTTTTTAGTTGGTAGGCTATTTACTACTGATTCACTTTCGGCGTTTGTTACTGGTATGTTCAGAGATTCAGTTTCTCCTGGTTCAGTCTTGGGAGGGTGGGTTTGTCCAGGAATTTATCAGTTTCTTCTAGATTTTCTAGTTTGTGTGCATGGCTGTGTTCATAGTATTCTCTGATGGTTACTTGTATTCCTGTGGGGTCAGTGGTATCCCCTTTGTCCTAATTGTGTTTATTTGGATCTTCTCTCTTCTTTGTCTAGCTAATAGTTTATCTTACTGATTTTTTTTCAAAAATACAATTCCTGAATTCGTTGGTCTTTTGAATGGTGTTTCGTGCCTAGCTCCTTCAGTTCAGCTCTTTTTGTTATTTTTTGTCTTCTGCTAGCTCTGGAGTTGGTTTGCTCTTGTTCCTATAGTTCTTTTTGTTGTGATGTTAGGTTGTTAATGTATGTAATGTTGTTAATGTCGTATGTATTGTTGATTTAATGTTAGGATGTTAGGTTGATTTCTTTTTTACTTTTTCTCTTAAGATGTTTTTTGGTCTTATATTCCTATCTAAAATGACCTTTTAAAATTTCAGATTTGGTCTCGAATTCTTCCTCTTCATTTCTACATTTTTTCTAATTCTTTCATGTCTTGTATCTTCTTGTGCTAATAACAGTTTTAATCCTCTCCCTCTTTTAAGCCTTCTTTCAGGCATACTTTTATTGTCTGCAGAGATGTTATTCTGCTACTCAGTATCCATTATATAGTAACTTTATGTAGAGCGGAGGTCTCCATCCCCCAGGCCACAGAGATGTACGGATCTTTGGCCTGTTAGGAACTGAGCCACACAGCAGGAGGTGAGTGGCGGGCAAGTGAGCAAAGCTTCACCTGTATGTGCAGCCACCCCCCATTGCTCTCATTACTGCCTGAGCGCTGCCTCCTGTGGCGGCATCACATTCTCACAGGAGTGTGAACCCTGTTGTGAGCCATGCATGCAAGGGATCTAGGTTGCACACTCCTTATGAGAATCTAATGCCTGATGATCTGTCACTGTCTCCCATCACCCCCAGATGGGACCATCTAGTTGCAGGAAAACTAGCTCAGGGCTCCCACTGATTCTACAATATGGTGAGTTTTGTGATTATTTCATCATATATTACAGTGTAATCATAATAGAAATAAAGTACACAATAAATGTAATGTACTTGGATTGTCCCGAAACCATCCCCTCCACCTGCCGGTCTGTGGAAAAATTGTCTTCAAAGAAACCAATCCCTGGTGCCAAAGAGGTTGAGGACTGCTGGTATAGAGGGTTTGATTCTGATCGTTTTTTCTCATTTTTGCCTGTAATTTGTGGTGGTTTTTTTTTTTTTCCTTCGGGAGGTGGCGGGGAGGATTTTGTTTGTTTGTTTGTTTGTTTGTTTTAGAATATGGCTTCGTTCACATGCTAAGGAAGTCTCCATAGCTGGTTGTTTATCCCCTCCTCGTTGCATTTTGCACTTCAAGGGGGATACATTGACCCCCTAGTTTTGTTGTAAATGTTGCACTTGGATTCTTGGTTTGTTATGTAGTCGACTGCCTGTTTTTATTCAGGAAGATTCATTCATGCCTACTCTCATTGCTGCTAATTTTTCCAGAATTCTGTTTTTAGTGCTCTAATTAGGGCTAGTTTAAAAAAAGAGTCTCTATAAAGGGAAATAGAATTAAAGTTAAATTGAATAATCAATCAAATACTTGTTGAGGTTCACTAACTTCGTGAACCACTTTGTGTCAGGCTTCTGCAGGGTTGCATTGAGTTGAAAGATGTATACGAATATATTGAACTAGCAAGCCAGTCACTGCGATGACTTGTTTTGGCAAAGAGAAAAGATTTTACTCACAAGACTGCCAAATGAGGAGATGGGAGAACAAATCTCAAACCCACCTCTCCAAAGATGGGATTTTAAGGATGTTTTTGGAATAGAGTACCAAGGTTCTCCAAGGTGTGGGGGAGAAAGATTGGGGGTAAGGAAAAGTGAGTTAGTTAGGATCTGCATACATGTAGTCAAGTTACACAGCTCTTCATAGAATGCATGTTTGAAAAATGGCAGTATCACCATGATCTGAGGAAGGAGGTTTTGGCCCTCTGACATCAAACAGTCACCTCTCTTTGGGCATTCATGCAGGCCCAGTTGAAGGGTCGGTGGTCTTAATCAGCTTGAAGTGGACAAGAGCTGCCAACTGGTTCCTGGAAATAACTTTAAGCAACCGTTACTGTAGTGACCCACATTCGGAAGTTATCTGTAAGGAAGTTCGTGGGAGATTTGCTATGTGACTTGCTAGTGGGGAGTTTAAAATAGATCAACTAGAAGTAAGCGATGAAAAAGACAGGTTAAGTTTGGCGGGCTTAATCAGGTTAGCCTTCGATTTTAAATATGTGACTTCCTCCCAAATAGGGCCTTGCTAACCGAGGATACTTGTGCTGTGTGTTAAGTAGCACAAGTGTGTACATGTGCCCCAGCACATGTACAGGATGGACCACTTCTGTGAAAGCCAAGGGTAGTTTTATGAATGAGGTGACATGGAACCTGGGTTTTGAAAGATGAGCTGAAGCTTGCAAGATTGATAAGGTAGTAAGGAAATCCTAGGGAGAGAGGAGATGTTAAGCCATAGTTTGATATTGCATGATCTCCCTAAGCAGGAATCAGTATTTAGGTGGGTTTAGAGCAAAGACTGGGGTGCTGGGAAGCAAGTTTGGAGTTGTATTCAAAGGCACTGCATGCTAAGGAATTTGGACTTGGGGCAAGGATCTATTGGATTAGGGTCTTTGTGTTAGAGGGACAGCACTGCCAACACTTGTAGTGCAGTGGAGGTGAGAAATCTGTTGAAAGGGCCAAATAAGACAATTATGAAGGTAGAGGGAAGGGAAAGTGGGGAAAAGTTGAACCTTTTGAAATTTTTAATGAACTGATCTTATATTCAGAAAACATTGAAAGCTGCAGCTCTCGTTCCTGGCTGCTCATTAGAATCACCTGGGGGCTATTTTTTTTTTTTTAAGTCCACCAACTCCTCTTCTCCATTTTTACTTAATTGGTATAGATTGAGGATCATGCATCAGCAAGCAGTTTTGAAATTGTTCCCAAGTGATTCTTACCTGCAGCCTGGGTAAGAAGTCGCAGGGCTCCTGGATAGTCATTAAGTGAACTGTGGTAAGCACTGATGTAGCAGGATTACCTGCCCTACTAGGTGCCGGAACTGCATTTACTTGCTCACAAGTAATTTTTTTAAATGTATGCTCGCATCCCTGCCTTGCTTATTGAAAGTTCCTAATGTTTTTGGTTTTTTTTAATCTTTTTATGTTTTTAACTTTTAAATAAAAGAGGAAAATAAAAGAACTACCAAACAAGATGTAAGTTCATACTGTAAAATTACATAGAGTAATTTTTCAAATTACTAAATTACAAAGATTAGCCCCAACTTCTTTGAAGGAGAAAAAAAGGGAAAGGATAATCGTTTACTAAGGCTGGGGTGTTTAGGTGTTTTCCCAGCATTTTGCAATTACAAACAGTCTGCAATGAATAACCTTGTGCGTTTGTTACTTTTGTATTGTGAGAGAGGTATGTGTATCTTTAGGGTACTTTCTAGAAGTTAGTTTGCTCTGTCAAAAGATAGTACATTTGTAGTTTTGTTAGGTTACTGCCAAATTCCTCTCCTGAAAGTTGTAGCAATTTGTGTGCCCATCAGTAGTAGACTGTTTGCTATAGCCTCCCTTTTCTGAAATATGTTATACTTTAATGTTTCTGTTCTTGGTGTTCTTTGGTTTTAATTTGCATTTATCTGTGGGTTTTAACATCTCATGTATCTTTTGTAAATTGTTTCATTGTTTTATTTATTTATTTATTTTTCTCCCTTCATGTTTAAGTAGTTCTTAATATCGACATTTTCAAAGTATGGTCTGTGGACTCCTAAAGGTCCCTGAAACCTTTTTAGGTTCAAGGGCAAAACTCTTTTTATTCAATATGAAGGTATTTCTTATCTTCTTCGCTGTGTAATTATTTGACTGAAGGTTCAGAAACAATGGCGGTTAAAACTGTGGGCTTTGTAGCCCAAATCAAGGCAGGGGCACCAAACCGTATAATAGTCATTGTCACACACTCGTAGATTAAAAGAACAATTTCAGTTTTATTTAAGAATGACTTGAAACAGTAAGAACTGTGTCTTGTTACTTTCCAACCCTTGAATACACACGTTTTCAGTAGTCTAGGTATGCAAACAGGAAGTGTGCCTAAAGTACTTCTGCCTTGTACTAAAGTACTTGTGTGATTATTTGAATTGCAGCCGTGTATTGAGTGGGGGGGGTGGAAGGCAGGCATCACTTTTACTTGAACAATTGTTTACTTGAAGGAATGTATGGTTATCCAAACTTGAATATTTGACAAACATATTTCTCCAAAATGAATGAGTACCTTGCTTCAAGGAGAACAATTCTTGATAGTATTTGTTGCTAACAATGAAAACTGATTTTTAAAACAAAATTTAAAATTTGAGAAATTTTTATCTGCCACCATAAGCTCAGTAGCTTTTCAGTACTTAAAGACTCTTTTGATAACCTTGATAGTGATATTAACACATGATTTTAAAATACACTGTGTGGTGAAATGTGGCATCATTTGGAAGATTTACCTAACTCAGGGAACCAGTATTTTCCGAAAGACTAAGGCATGCTATAGT
Organism: Homo sapiens; assembly: GCF_000001405.40. Lineage (NCBI taxonomy): Eukaryota > Metazoa > Chordata > Mammalia > Primates > Hominidae > Homo > Homo sapiens. The sequence continues at coordinate 2,060,781 of NT_187660.1, read as the reverse complement.
AAAATTATACATGGATAAAATACTCATTCAGAGTGTAAAATAGGCCAATAGATAATTCATGCAACAGTACAGACAGTTGAATGATATGGTTTCAAACTGTACATTGTTACTCTCCTTTAGGAAACTATCATTTATTAAGTTTTTGGCATAAAGTCAAACATGAATTTTCGTAATTACCTAAAAAGTCTACTAAAATAACTCTTCTTTTTCAATGACTGTATCTGTGTATGAAAAGCTGGATTTTCTTTGTGTACTTTAACAAAAAGCAACATACTTACAGGGTTTGTTACAGTGCCTTTTCACAAACTTTGTTTTCTCTTCAGCGGTGAAAGTCAAATTTTGTCAAAGGCTTTTTCAGGATCTTGGAGATAATCATATAATTTTTTTCTCTAGATTTATTAATAGGATATATTATGCCAGTGGATTTCCTACTAATCCTGCATTCCTGGAATTAATCCCTTTTTCATGGAGTATTTATGTAGTGTTGGCCTTTGTTTGCTTATTTTTATTTTGTATTTTGCACTGATACAAATAAATTATGTTGAGCTGTAATATTGGGGGGTTAGTCATTATCATGGACAGTCATCAGCTTTCAGTGTCAGTATTATACTTGCTTCATAAAAAGAATTTAGAAGCTTTCCTTGATATCAGTGTTCTGAAACAATATATTGTACTGAGGCTGTCTGGATATTGCATGTTTTGGCACAATTTCTCTGGGAAATCATTTGCGCCTGGTGCCTTTTTGTGGGATAATTCCCTCATAAATTTTGCTGCTTTTTTCTCCAGAAATTGGGCCGTTTAAGCCTTTTATTTATAATAGGGTCAATTTTGGCCATCTATATTTCCTCAGGAATTATGTTTCCTTTAGGTTTTCAAATTTATTTGAATTTGTTCTGTAGTGTCTTATGTTTTCTAATGCTGTTCTAATAGTCATTTGTCTCTAATTGTTTATTTTTGAAGTTTTAGTCCTGCTTTTAATTTGAAATTTGGATATTGTCTTTGAATTATGATGAGTGTATGGTTTTGTGTACAGTAGTCCCCTCTGAGCCATGGGGTGTATGTTCCCCCAGTGGATGCCTGAATTCTTGGATAGTATCAAACCCAGTTTTGCTGTTAATTGGAGCACATTTCTGTGCCTGTCTTCCACTCACAAGTTTAATGCCTTTTCCATCTTAAATAAGCACTTACCATGCACTGTGGCGAAACCCTTGCAATTTTAGGTGTGACAGCAAAACCAGCACAAATTTTGTTTTCCTTCACAATTTCACTAATAGAAGATTCCTTCTCCCTGTAGATCTTAGTAACCTCAGCATATTTTTTTTTTTTTTCTGTATTAAATGGAGGACTTTCGCCTTCTCTCTTGAAGGAAACACTACAGATTTTCTTTGGTATACCGAATTGCCAGCATCACTACTACTGTACTTTGGGGTCATGATTAAGTAAAATAAGGGTGACTTGAACACAAGCATTGTGTTACCTCTCCACAGTTGATCTCATAACTGACAGCTACTGAGTAACTAATGGGTGGGGAGCCCCTATGGCGTGGAGACACTGGACAAAGGGATGATTCACATCTTAGATGGGACGTAGCAGGATGGCAAAATATTTCATCACACTGCTCATAACGGTGTGCAATTTAAGTCTTACCAATTGTTTATTTCTGAAGTTTTCCGTTTAAAATTTTCACACTGCAGTTGACCTGAAGTAACTGAAAGCAAAGAACATGAAACCGAGGATAAGGGAGAACCACTGTAGTTGGTCTATTTTTGTTCTATTAAATTTTGGGAGAATATATAGAGAAACAGATTCAGATGGTTGCCATTATCTTCAGTTACTCAGAAATTTCCCTGTTTTATTATTTTCTTTTTTCATATTAACTTTTTTGTGTTCGCTTTATTGCCATATAATTCACATGCCAAACAATTAAAGTATGCAGTTCATTGGTTTTTAGCGTGTTCCGAGTTGTGTGACCATCACCAGAGTCCATTTTAAAACATTTTCATTACTGGGGAAAAAAAAAACACCTCCCATTGAATTATCACCCCCTCCAATCCCTGTAGCCCTAGACAACCACCATTCAGGTTTTTGTCTTTATAGATTTGCCTTTCTGAGCATTTTATATAAACGGAATAATAGAATCTATTAACCTTTGTGACTGGTTTCTTCACCTTAGCATGATGTTTTCAAGGTTGATTCATGTTATACTATGTATGAGTACTTCATTCCTTTTTACACACAATGTTTCATTGTATGGATATATATCACGTTTTATCCATTCATCAGTTGATGGACACTTGGAATAGTTGGTATTTATTCATTTTTAAGAAGATTTTTTTTTTTCTTTTGCTACTTCTATAGGCTTTGGGATGGGAGGAAAGGTGATGTATGCACTATTCATGGTGAAAATAGTCTCCTCTGTTGCGGACTGGAAAGCTGAGGGAGGAAGTTGTTACCTTTGTCCTCAGGCAGTTTGAATTGTACAGTTTTATACAAAAACATACATTTCTGGCTTAATGATTCTGTAGCCTTAAGAAAATGTATATTGTCTCTTTAAACTACTCTTAAGTACTTCATATCCTTTCTAGGGAATAGTGATTTCTTTGAGATTAGGTAATTTTTTAACAACCTGGAAAATATTTTGAATTTTTTCTATACCGGCCTGTCCTGAGTCATTGTGGTAAAGATTCTTGGCTCTTTCAGAAGTGCGTAGCTTATTATAATTTAGTTTTTTAAAAAGGTAATTTTACAATGTTAGTTCAATATGGCTAATGTACACCTTCTATTGTATAGTGTGCACAAGGCATTATATTCTACAGAGATTTTTAGGAGTTGGCAGAAGTTGTTGAAAGAAGTTGAAATAACTAATACTTGATTTTCAAAGCAATTGATATTTATGTAAAATGACAAAGGGTGTGTATGCTGGATAAGTCTGTCATCTTCTAAATCAGTTGCCAGGATGGCTGATGATCACACTGGGCTCTGCCAGTCTCCTCAGGACCTCTTCTGATCAAAAATAAAGTCAGGATCTCAGTGTTAATAATTTTTAATTGTCTTTTGGTTTTTAAAGAACATGTATATAGTTGGCGATTTTTAATATTCTGTTATGTCCAGTAGTTATTAGAGCATGCATTCTTGTACAAGGATAATTCTAATAGGTAACCATGCAGGTGAGTGTTTATGGATCACAGATATATTAAGATTGTAATTTTTATATTTTGGCTTCTCTAGATTGTAGAGTATGATATAACAATTATTTTTGTCCTTAATAGCAATATTTTACTGTAATTTTTACTTTAGGCTCCTGGATTTGGATTTGGAATTGCAATATCTGGTGGACGAGATAATCCTCATTTTCAGAGTGGGGAAACGTCAATAGTGATTTCAGATGTGCTGAAAGGAGGACCAGCTGAAGGACAGCTACAGTAAGAGTGCTGCTTATCGTGGGCACTGTGCAACAAGCAGTGTTCCTCTCCTCAGGCACTGGCGTACTGTCTTACACTGTCTTAGTGATTTTGTCATATTCACACTCCACCTGTGCCATGCTTCATATATTTTTCCTTAAATTAACATATATTAAGAGGGAAACTGGCTAGGTGTGGTGGCTCACTCCTGTAATCCTAGCACTTTGGGAGGCTGAGGCAGGGGGATCACTTGAGACCAGGAGTTTGAGACCAGCCTGGGCAATGCAGTGAGATCCCCATCTCTACAAAAGAAGTTTAAAAATCAGCTGGGCATGGTGGCTTGTGCCTGCAGTCCCAGCTACTTGGGAGGCTGAGGCAGGAGAATCCCTTGAACTTAAGAATCTGAGGCTGCAATGAGCCATGATTGCACCACTGTACTCCAGCCCAAGTGACAGAGCGAGACCCTGTCTCCAAAGAAAATAAAGGAAGCTTTATCCCTATGAAAATTGGAAAGCTAGTATCACTCACTTTAAATAGAATGTGTAACTGTAAAAATAGTGAAAAAGAAAATGTATAACTCCTTTTGGGTAGAATCTAGCCTTCAGAAGCCTCCTCCCCAAGTCTTGCCACCCTTTTTATTCCCTATGAAGATTAGTAAGATAAAGAGAAACACAAAATACACTAGCAAAATAGTGGCACTATAATTAGAAGAATTAAAAGAGAATTAAAAGATGAAAAACTTAAAAGGGAGTAAGTTTTCCAGCTGTATGACTTAGTATCATTTAATGCCCTGTAACTGTACTACCAAGAATCATTTCGTGTATGTGATATCTGTTCAGTCTTTTGGGGAAATACTTTGTTAATGACTTAAAAAAATTAAGGACCTGTGGTTAGTTACTTGTTAAACATTCTGCAGAGAAATCTGAAAGTAAGTCAGTTGACATTATTTTATCATTGATCTAAAGAGAAATTAATTAATTGGCTCATAATTAGATTACATTTTAGAAGTACCTATCTTGGAAATATCATCATAAACTTACCAGAATGTTTTTCTCTAACATATTATTTTGTGCCCTTTTCCCCTTAGGGAAAATGACCGAGTTGCAATGGTTAACGGAGTTTCAATGGATAATGTTGAACATGCTTTTGCTGTTCAGCAACTAAGGAAAAGTGGGAAAAATGCAAAAATTGTAAGTATCTTTTCTCTGTAATTTAGTAAAGGTACCCCAACTTTATTGTTGATACATTTCTGGTATTTGAATTTATCCTTCCCATTTAAGGAAAACTGAAACAATAGTTCCAAAGTTATTTGTTTACACTTGAGTGTTTCTTCTAACACTGGTGTGGTATGTCACTGGTACGTGTATTTTCTCAGTTTAGATACCAGGATTTTTTTCAATTGAAAAAGGAAAGGGGACAGTTAAATAGTTACCTTTTTTTTTTTTTTTTGAGACGGAGTCTCGCTCTGTCGCCCAAGCTGGAGTGCAGTGGTACGGTCTCGGCTCTCTGCAAACTCCGCCTCCTAGGTTCACACCATTCTCCTGCCTCAGCCTCCTGAGTAGCTGGGACTACAGGCGCTTGACACCACGCCCGGCTAATTATTTGTATTTTTAGTAGAGACAGGGTTTCACCGTGTTAGCCAGGATGGTCTCGATCTCCTGACCTCGTGATCTGCCTGCCTCGGCCTCCCAAAGTGCTGGGATTACAAGCATGAGCCACCACGCCCGGCCAAATAGTTACCTCTTTTTGGCTTAATGTTTCCTCCTCTTTTCCTCCTCTACAGTCACATGCTACATGACAATGTTTTGGTCAACAACAGACCACATATCTGACAGTGGTTCCATAAGATTATAGTACTGTATTTACCTTTACCGTGTTTAGATACACACATAGTTACCATTGTGTTACAGTCGCTTACAGTATTCAGTTCACTAACATGCTGTACAGGCTTGTAACGGAGGAGCAATAGGCTATGCCAAGTAGCCTAGATGTGTAGTAGGCTATACCATCTGGGTTTGGGAAGATAACGTTCTGTGATGTTCACACAAAGACAGAATTGCCTGATAATTCACTTCTCATAATAGATATATTATGTTACTGTTCTGGATACTGTAGGCAGCTGTAAAACAATGGTAAGTATGTGTATGTCTAAACATGGAAAAAGTACAGTAAAAATATATAGTGGATAAAAAAATTATATGCCTGTTTAGTGCACTTACTATGAATGGAGCTTGCAGGACTGGAAGTTGCTCTGAGTGAGTCAGCGAGTGAGTGGTGAGTGAATGTGACATCTTAGGACATTACTGTACACTACTGTAGACTTTGTAAACACTGTACATTTAGGCTGCACTAAATTTTTAACGTTTTAATATTTTTAATGTATTTAATATTTTATAAATTTATAAAATTTATTTAAGTCTTCTTTCTTCAATAATAAACCTTAGCTTACTGAAACTTTTTTAACCTATAAACTTTCTAACTTTTTGACTCTCGTAATAACAAACACGTTGTACAGCTGTACAAAAATATTTAAAATTTTTTGGGTTCTTTTTGGTTTTTTTCTTTTTTTTTTGAGACAGAGTCTCACTCTGTCACCCAGGCTGGAGTGCAGTGGCGCGATCTTGGCTCACTGCAAGCTCAGCGTCCCGAGTAGCTGGGACTACAGGCACCCGCCACCAGAGCTAATTTTTTTGTATTTTTAGTGGAGACAGGGTTTCACCATGTTAGCCAGGATGGTGTCGATCTCCTGATGGAGGCTGTCTCGTGATCCGCCCCGCCTCGGCCTCCCAAAGTGCTTGGATTACAGGCTGTGTTTTTTTAAGACACGGTTTCGCTCTGTCACCCAGGCTAGAGTGCAGTAGCGTGATCTTGGCTCACCGCAACCTCCGCCTCCCTGGTCCAGGTGATTCTCGTGCTTCAGCCTTGGGATTACAGGCGACCGCTACCAAGCCCGTATTTTGTATTTTTAGTAGAGATGGGGTTTTGCCATGTTAGCCAGGCTGGTATTGAACTCCGGGCCTCAAGTGATCTGCCTGCCTCCGCCTCCCAAAGTTCTGGGATTACAGGTAGGAGGCACTGCACCTAGCCTAAAATTTTTTATTTTTCACTTTTTAAACTTTTTTAGTAAAAACTAAGACACAAGCACACACATTAGCCTAGGGCTACCCAGGATCAGGGTCATCAGTGTCACTGTCTTCCACCTCCACAGTTTGTCCTAGTGGGAGGTCTTCAGGGGCAGTAACACGCATGGAGCCATCATCTCCTGTGACAATAATGCCTTCTTGTGGAACACCTCCTGAAGGACCTACCTGAGGCTGTTTTCTCAGTTAACATGTAGAAAAAAAAATAAGTAGAGGGAGTACACTCTGCAGTAATGATAAAAAGTTTAGCATAGTAAATACATAAACCAGTAACATAGTCATTATCAAGTATTATATTCTGTACATATTGTATCTGCTACACTTCTATTCCACTGGCAGCATAGTAGCTTTGTTTACACCAGCATCACCACCAACATAAGTACTGCAGTGCACCCACGACATTATGACCCTGTGGCGTCCCTAGGTGATAGGAGATTTTCAGCTCCATTGTGATATTATGGGGCCCCTGCAGTACGTGCTGTCCGTTGTTTTACATGGTGCATGACTGTGTAGGTATCCACATGGCCATGCAGCATTTCACTATGCATATATATTTATCCAACCCACTCATTCACAGGCATTTCAGTGTCCAGTCCGCAAGTATTTTTTTAAAATTCAGCTGCAAAAATCATCATATTACTACCTACTTGTTTAGTTAATGTTTAGAATAATTTTCTAGGAGTGGCTTTTCAGAGTCAAAGGGCCTGAATGACTTTTGATGTATGTATTGCCAGTTTGTCCTTCAGAAAATCAATAGGCTATTGAGAGTTCAGTTTTCAACAGGTCTTAAATCTTTGCCAAACTGATAAACTAAACAAGTGTTTCAAATGAAACATTTTAAATCACAAGTGGATTTGATCCTCTCATGGTGTATTTACTACCCATTTGTTTTTTCATTTACCTGTTCATGTCCTTTGCATTTATATGGTGGTGATGGTCATACTAGAGTGTTTTCTGTAGTCAGATTATTAGCCTTTTGTCATACATACCTCATGTGTTGTTATCCTCTTTGCTTTTGTGAATGCTTGTAAGTTGTTTGTGTTTGTTGTTTTGTATCATTTTATTACAACATTGAAATGTTTTCATTTTTATTTTGTCATGTCTGTCAGACTTTCATTTTATTGGTTCTGCCTTGGTGTCATGCTTCCAAAAGCCTTTTAATTGCAAAAGCCTCTCTGTTGTATTTTTTTCTAGTACTTACATGGCATCATTTTGTTTTATTTTACCTTTGAGACTTAGTTAAGCTAAACTATTTTGAAGTAGGCATTTTTTTTCCTAAATATTTTGATTCCAAATTTTTCATAGTGTTAAAATCGAGCATAGTTGTCACACCTACTAATTATTATTCATGTTTATAACTGTTGATTCATAAGTAGAGAATCACAATAGGACTGGTTACCTTTCAATAAGTTAAGCACCTACTAGATGCAAGCATTGCATTATATGTACAGTTAAATGCATGGTAAGGAACTTCTCAAAAAACTCAAATCTTAGTGGGCTGGATAGGTATACATACTGATAACCATATAATGCACGTCATCTCAGGTTGATAGGTCAGGTACAGTAGGATCCCAAAGAGGTGGCGCACTCTTACAGGAATGATAGGGAAAGCCTTGAGTGCTCATCTGCTCAACTTTGTTTTTGTTTATTACTAGGGAGGAACTGAAGATTAAAATACTAATACCAGGTATTGCTTCCAATATAATATGTTGGAAATTAAATAGAAGTGAGATGTAAAAGCAGGCAGCTAGCATTAGGAATGCTTTACAGAAAATATTACCCTATAAGGACTTCAGCTGTGGGTTGCTCCAATAGGAGAAGGGCAGCCTTTCTCTTTCAGTTCATAACAGGGCATTGGCTGTCCTCCTTTTCACATGCTGGCCTCTGCTGTTTCTCATCCTTGAGCTTCAGCGTTGTTTCCTCAGAATGGCCCTCTGCTCAGGCCCTCATCCTGATCCTGAACCAGTATCTGATAATAATAGTAGTAGTCATAGGAAGCAGTGGTATTAAGTGTAGAGCAGCCCTTTGAAGAAGTTTAGGCACATAGAGAAGAGAGAAAAGATGATAACATGCAGGTGAATAGCAAGACAGAGAAATAGAAGATTAATTGGGGGAGCTTAGTAGGTAGAGGACAGATTTTAGGTAAATAAAGAGATTGAAGTTTCAGGTAACCTGGAGTATGGTAATTGATGAAGAAAAAAGTCTTAGAGGTAGGTAGGGATGAGAATGAGAGCTCAAATACAAGGGTTTTGTTCATCCAGGGAGAAGATTGCCTTGGTCTTTGAGACCAGAAGGAAAGAGGACCAAATAAATGAGACACTGAAAAAATTTAGGAGGGGAAATACTGAAAAAATTTAGGAGGGGAGGGGGAGTAAAATGGCACTGATCTTAAAGCAGGCTGAGTGGCTGGGATCTTGAAGAATGGTTGTAGAATACCTACATTAGCGAATTCCACAGAGAGGCAACAATATGTAGATGAAAGGATTGCTGAACAAGAGCAAGACTTCTGTAAAATGAATTTACAGAGGGCCTCATCAGCAAAGTGTGGAAGTGAAGGTAATAATAGGACTGGAGTTTGTCAGGGCAGATGATTGAGGGGTCAAGAAAAAGTCATTTAAATATGGCAACAGGATGTCTCATGCAAACTTAGGGGGAATGCGAGTGAAACCAGGATGGAACTGATGAACTAAGATGAAGGAATTGGAAATAAGATAGTGAAAAGTTTCAGTAGCTCAAGGTGTCCGACATAGAAGACAAGGAGTGATACACAAGGAGATCCTGTAGAACTACAGTGAGGTCAAGTGTATACTATTGTGAGAAGGCAAAGTGTAGTCCACAGATTACAGGGCCATTCAGTCAGCAGGTGTAATACATGTAGATCGTCAGCTTGCAGAGAATGAAGGAAATAAGTGGACAGGCAATACAGAGCCAGTTACCAGAATCATTGAGAAAAGAACGCCAGAGGGAAGAATTTGCACCTAGACTGGGAGTACAAATTGAAGAGATCCAGAGACTGAAAGCAGTTTGTGTTGGTGAAGTACGGCTGAGTTAATTAGCTCCAACATATTATTGAATGTTAGTGCGGCTATAGAATAAATTATCTCTTAGAGGTCTGGGGCAATTGTGGGCTTTGATATTGATGCATTCTAAAATTTTTAAGGAAGCAAGTTGGGCATGGAAGTTTGCTGTGGTTTTGGTAGCACCTAGAGTATATTTGATGGCATTAGAGTACAGTGCTGTCCTTTTTATTCAAACCACCAACAGTTGTTAGTTTCCCTGTAAGCTTGTGATTATTACACCAGGAAGATCTTTCTGTGTGAAGTAAATAAAGAGGTTTTTAGGCCCACTCGTTCTTATTTGTGCTTAACCAGATCTGTTTATCAGGAGAACAGAAAACACAGCCTTTATGGAAATGTATTCCTTAGAAATTTGTTGTAGTTGTTTGTGTATTGTTTCTTGCTGGTTCATAGTTAATATGGGATGAGAAGTGTAATATTCCTTTCTCTTTGGAACTGAACGTACATATATGAAAATCAGTCAACTTATTTTTTAACCTTTTTAACTTGCAGACAATTAGAAGGAAGAAGAAAGTTCAAATACCAGTAAGTCGTCCTGATCCTGAACCAGTATCTGATAATGAAGAAGATAGTTATGATGAGGAAATACATGATCCAAGAAGTGGCCGGAGTGGTGTGGTTAACAGAAGGAGTGAGAAGATTTGGCCGAGGGATAGAAGTGCAAGTAGAGAGAGGAGCTTGTCCCCGCGGTCAGACAGGCGGTCAGTGGCTTCCAGCCAGCCTGCTAAACCTACTAAAGTCACACTGGTGAAATCCCGGAAAAATGAAGGTATTCTCTGCCAACTCTTGCTGTTTTTTTCACATGAAAATTTAAAACTAATTTTAATGAGAAGTACAGTTGCTGTCTCTTCATGTCTTTGCTTTGTTGTCTTTGTGTTTGTGTTCTATCACTGTAAGTCAAATCCTGTTATGGCAGGCTTCAGGGACTGTTCATTTTTTCTGTTGGAACAGATAACACTTCAAGTGAATTGTCCAGGGCTTGGCTTTTGGATTTGTTGTGATGAGAATAGCCAGGTACAAATTATGCTAACAAGAAATGTCACACCATCACCAAATGGAAATTCAGTGTTTTTCTTAACTGTTAGTAGTGTAATCATGGAGAGAAATCTTGGGAGTGTTGTTGTTGTTGTTGTTTTTGTTGTTGTTACAAGGTCTGGCTCTGTCACCCAGGCTGGAGTGCAGTGGCACAATCTCAGCTCCCTGCAACCTCTGCTTCCCAGGCTCAAGCAGTCCTCCCACTTCAGCCTCCCTGGTAGCTGGAAGTACAAGTACATGCCACCATGTCCAGCTAATTTTTTTATTTTGGGTAGAGACAGGGTTTTTGCCGTGTTGCCCAAGCTGTTCTCAAATTGGTAAGCTCAGGCAATTCACCTGCCTCGGCCTCCCACAGTGCTGGGATTATAGGCGGGAAGCCACTGTGCCCTGCTGGGACTTCTTCCCCCTCACTCCAGACTGTTTTTTTTAAATGGAGGAATTTAAGGAAAGGAACCCCTTATAGAGCATTTCTCCATAATGCAGTACTTCTTTGAAGTTTTTGAAACTGAAACTCAGCTGCTTTCCCTCATGCCTCATTAAATTTGATAAAAAATGGATCTGACTGTGGCTTGCTCCTCCTGTGGGCATGCATGACTGATCATTTTGATATAAAGGGTGTTACAGTTGGAATATTATCAAGACTTACTTTGATCTGCTTTACCACTTGGCATATCTCCTAGGTGGTATTCCATACCCCCATTCAGTGAAGTCTCAGTGAAGTTGTCAACATTTGCTGTTTTTACTTCACTACTTACCCCTCAATCCTCTCTGGTCTGGTATCTTTTCCGCTCTGCCCCCAAAAATGTTCACACTAAATCTAGTGGAAGTTTTTCAGTCTCTAGCTTGCTTGCCTTTTCAGTATCATTTCACATGGTTAACCACTCCTTATTTTCAAAAATAATGTCTTCTTTGGTAGTACTGTATCTTTCTGTTTTTTTCCCCCACCTTTCTGTATCTTTTGCAAGCTCATTCTCCTCACCCTGCCCTTTATAACGTTCTGTCAGTTTCTCTCCTAGAATCTTTTTTTCCACTTAAGGTAACTTTTTTTTTCTTTTCCTCAGGTTGAATAACAATTAATTTAGGCAATCTCATCTGCTCCCCTGCTTCCAGTCACTGCTGATGATGGCAGAACCTCTTTCTCCAGCCCAAATCTTTACACTCTTGTGTTCCAACTGTTAGGCATATTCACTTAGATGTTCCTGTAGGTCCCTGAAACACAGCACATCTCAAATGAAACTCATCTCCCTCTTAAAATTTTTCTTTGTATTTCTCATGAAGTATTCAGTTGAATGTGTTTCTATTGATCCAGTTTCTCAGGCCATTCCCAGATGACATGGTAGTTACCCTTGCCTTCTCTTTTTTTCCCATGCATGATGAATGTCCTCACTCCTGAATACCACTCTTATCCATCCCACTCTTTCTCCACTGCCTCCACCCTTTTCCAAGCCACTGTCATCTCTTACATAGACTCATTTGGTCTCATAGGTTGTCTCTTGGATCCCTTTAAGTTGATTCTGCAGATTTCTTCATAGATCCTCTGTGACACTTCTGTCTTACTCTTTTGCCCCTTTCTTTATTAGTTCTCAGTCTCAGCTACACTAGACTTATGACTTCATTAGGTCCACCAGGTTTTTTTCTTCATTACTTTGATGCATTTGTTTTGAACTTTTCAGCCGTCACTCACCCCATGCATCCCCTCCCCCACAAACATACCCTTCAGGTTTAGGTCTTTCTTAGGTAAAGTTTTAACTTTAGTATATCTTCCTCAGGGCGGCCTTCTCCTTCCCCCTAGTAAGTGAAGAACCCTTGTGTTTCTGCCCTCTGAACTCACCGCATTTGGGATTACCATGCTAACATCCTTTTTTTCACTGACTGCAAATTGCCAGAGTGCAGGAACTATCTCATTTGCTGCTTTCTCCCTAATGCCTGGTACCTAGTTCATATATACCCCAAGAAATATTTAGAATGAACGAACAAACTAATATACAAGAAATATTTTGGGGTCATCTGTGTAATGGTCATTTATAAGTGTTTAATCTTGAAGAACAGTCTTTTAACCAATACCCTATCCTTCTGTGATGTAATGACCATATGGATGACTGCCTCATTCCTTGCCCAGATATCCTAAAAGGCCGTTTTCTTCACCCTGATTCTATTTCTGGCTGTGAGTACTCTTTGTATATTTGTCTTAAGTTAAACTGTAATTCTGATGTAATTTTTTTTTTTTTTTTTTTGAGACGGAGTCTCACTCTCTCTCTCAGGCTTGGAGTGCAGTGGCACAATCTCAGTTCACTGCAACCTCTGCCTCCCAGGTTCAAGCAGTTCTCCTCCCTCAGCCTCCCAAGTAGCTGGGATTATAGGTGTGCACCACCATGCCCAGCTAATTTTTTGTATTTTTAATAGAGACGGTTTTACCATGCTAGCCAGGCTGGTCTCGAACTCCTGACCTTGTGATCCGCCCGCCTTGGCCTCCCAAAGTGCTGGAATTACAGGCATGAGCCACCATGCCCAGCCTACTCTTATGTAATTTTTAAACACTTAGGTAATAGGTCTGTTAATTTATCCCATGTTAAAACAGTTTTCTGTTTTCCATCTTGGTTTTTGATTTTGTTTTTAATGCAGTAAGACTCTCCTCACAGAACCAGGGGCAATCCTTTTACTATTGACATTATATTGATAGTTGTAGTCATTGTTCTTATTTTTCTTAAAATATGTTTTTCTGCAGCTGTTGCAGGAACCTGGGCAGTTCTCTGGACTCTGCTAGTAATTTCCTCAACTTCCAACATTCCTTACCCACAGACGGAGTGATGTTCTCACTCTTGGATACTTTGTTGGTTGTTTAAAGGAAAGGATTGGCATTATAACTCCTGCCCACATCTGCCTGGCTGGTTGTAAGCCTTTGCACTCATGCTTAGTACATGCTAGTACTCTGAGTATGTCTATCCAGTGTCATGGGGTGTATAGGATCAGAAATATTTTTGGTCTAGGAGCTGGGAAAAATAGAAGTAGTATATGCATGATAATAGTCATCAATAAAATGGTCAATCTTTTCAAAGTTTTTCAAACCTCAAGCAGTTTACTCTTTAGAATTATATCTCTAGCCAGGCATAGTGTGACACATGTCTGTTAGTCCCAGCTACTCTGGAGCCTGAGGCAGGAGGGTTTTTTGGCCCCAGGAATTCAAGTCCAGCCTGGGCAACATAGTGAGACCCTGTCTCTTAAAGAAAATTGTATTCCTTAATCATTCTGAAGAGCTAGTGTATCAATGCTTGGTCAAAAAGAAATGGTGTCCTCTTGGGGATTTTCTCCTTTTCAGTAATATGGGAACACGGTCTATCAGTCCTTCGTTTGAACCATACACTTTCCCTTGGCTTTCACGGAGACATTGCAGACTTGCTAATTAGAGGGAATGTCTTATTTGCAGGATGGCCAAGAAATATTTCTTGTTATTGATTGTACTTGAAAACTCTATGCAGTAGTTAATTAGTTTAGTTGTATACTTGTAAAATCTATTTAGGTGTCTTAGGATGTTATACTAAAAACACTTACTTACATTATTTCAGAATATGGTCTTCGATTGGCAAGCCATATATTTGTTAAGGAAATTTCACAAGATAGTTTGGCAGCAAGAGATGGCAATATTCAAGAAGGTGATGTTGTATTGAAGGTATAATCATATTCTTACTTTTTAATGAACTGAAATAGAAAACAAGTTCTAGAGTTACCATGTAGTCTGTGCTCTTGTTTGAAGCAGTTTTGCCAAAGAGAATTAAAAATCAGTGTTTGGGGGAGAGGGATATAAATTCCCTTTATGCATTATTACATGTCGACACCAATGCTTTAGGTATCACAGGGTCATCCTGAGATAATTATTCACAGGCCGGTACTACTTTGTAGATAGATATGTCTGTTCTTACACATTAAAAAGTTCTGATAATTGCTTCCAGATACTATTGAAATGCTTATTTATTCGTTTGTTTATAAGTAATAGAAAGTGACAGCCTCAAAGAAGGAGTTAGGGGATGCTACTATGGGTTTTTCTGACAGCAACAGTACAGTAAAGATTTTATCATCTCAAGAAGGTGGAATACTTTGACAGTTTGGAAAAGTGTAGAGAGAATATTTTGGTTTTCATAGCAAGGAGTGGTTTGGATATTTCTGTTTATAACAAACTAAGTTAACATTTGTATTTTATTATTTACTTTCAAGCTGTAATTTATTTTCTGTTGCAGATAAATGGTACTGTGACAGAAAATATGTCATTGACAGATGCAAAGACATTGATAGAAAGGTCTAAAGGCAAATTAAAAATGGTAGTTCAAAGAGATGAACGGGCTACGCTATTGAATGTCCCTGATCTTTCTGACAGCATCCACTCTGCTAATGCCTCTGAGAGAGACGGTGAGTGTGATTCTGTTTGAACGTTCCCTCTAAGTGACCTATTTTCTTAAAATACTAGGGAGATTGAACATCTTTGAATGAAATGATAATTTTCTACCAGCCAAACACCTTCAAAATCTATAAGTTTTATATACATTTTTTCCTGTAGACAACTCACCACTATTGATATGATTGCTGGCAGGTGAAATTAATGCATAAATCTTCCATTTTATATATAATTTTACTTACTAGCTTATCTTCATTATTACTGGAGTACCTTATACTTGACTGTAATTATTTTTGTGGGAAAATAAGTAGCACCCTTTTATTAACAGACATTTCAGAAATTCAGTCACTGGCATCAGATCATTCTGGTCGATCACACGATAGGCCTCCCCGCCGCAGCCGGTCACGATCTCCTGACCAGCGGTCAGAGCCTTCTGATCATTCCAGGCACTCGCCGCAGCAGCCAAGCAATGGCAGGTAAGACACCCTATTTTTTTAAAAAATACAGGGGTTTTGTTTGCTTGATACCAGTATCTGAAATTGCTTACAAATAAAATTAAAAGATGTATTTCTTTTGATTATTCAAGATTAGATCTGTTTTTCTCAACTTAGACATTTTTTAAATCTAAAATAACCGCAAACTTTCCCTTAAAGGGCCAGATAGTAAACATATTTCAATCATGCAGGCCATATAGTTCTTTTCACTGCTCAACTGCAAAAGCAACCATAGACAATGTGTAAATGAATGGGCATGACTATGTTCCCATAAAACTTTATTTACAAAAGCGGTTGATCCGCAGCTGCAGTTTGTCATACTATTGCATTAGAAGATGCTAGCAAGCTTCAGAAATCTACTGCTTGGGAAAGTTAACTACAGAAGTCCTTTAATAAACACATTAACCTGGACTTTGTTTTCTCTTTTAAAAATACACTAGTGTTGGCCGGGCGCGGTGGCTCACACCTGTAATCCCAGCACTTTGGGAGGCCGAGGCAGGCGGATCACTTGAGGCCAGGAGATCAAGACCAGCCTGGCCGACATGGTGAAACTCTGTCTCTACTAAAAATACAAAAATTAGCCAGGTAGTGTTGGCACATGCTTGTAATCCCAGCTACTCGGGAGGCTGAGACATGAGAATTGCTTGAACCTGGGAAGCGGAGGTTGCAGTGAGCCGAGATCGCACCACTGCACTCCAGCCTTGGTGACAGAGCGGAACTCTTTCTCAAAAACAAAACAAAACACTAGTATTTATGCCAAAGGTTCTGGTATACTGGTAGTATATGACCTACCTGAGTTTATCTTTCTTTAGAGTCACACGTACATTTGAGAATCTGAAGAAAATTATGATCCTTCTCTCCAGAAAAATGTGCATGTGCACATACACGCAGCAATTGCATACAATTTCTGGAGACTCCCAAGGCTCTATAGGCCACCACCTGACCCATGGTTAACTGCAGTCCACATGAAGATCACTTGAAACATGAGTCCAGGGCTGAAGAGACAGTTTAGAAGAAAAGGGAACCCTTATACGTTGTTGATGAGAATGTAATTGATACGGCCATTCTGGAAAACAGTATGGAGGTTCCTCAAAAAATTAAAACCAGAACGAACTAGCACATGATCCAGCAATTCCACTTCTGGGTACATATCCAAAGGAAATGAAATCACTGTCTCGAAGAGATATCTGCACTCTCATGTTTGTTGCAGCATTATTCACAATAGCCAAGGTATGGAGTCAACCTGAATGTCGAACACATGAATGGATAAAGAAAATGTTCACACACACAATGAAATGTGATTTAGCCTTTAAAAAGAAGGAAATCCTGCCATTTGGAACAACATGGATGAACCTGGAGGGCATTGTGCTAAGTGAAATAAACCAGACACAGAAAGACAAACACTGCATGACCTCACTTACTGTGGAACCTAAGCAAGTTGAACTCATAGAAACAGACAGTAGAATGGTGGTTACCAGGGGTTAGGGGTGGGGAGGAATGGGGAGATGTTTGTTAAAGGGTACACAGTTTCAATTATAAGATGAGTAAGTTCTGGAGACCTAATTTACAGTGTAGTGACAAGAGTTAATAACGTATACTTGAAATTTGCTAAGAGAGTAGATCTTAAGGCATTCTTTTGACACACACTAAGAAAAGTAACTATGAGGTATGGATATGTTAATTAACTTGGTCTCGGTCATCATTTGAATATGTATATCAAAACATCACTGTTGTACACCTTTAATAGATACAATGTTTATTTGTCAATTGGACCTCAGTAAAGCTGGAAAGAAAAAGTAAATTTGGGTCTAGATCTGAAGAGATGATTTAGGATTAGAGATGTTGAATTGAGACTTAACTTGCATAGAGGTGTTAGCTGAAGCCATAGAAGTCACTAAAATTGCTAAGAGAAACAGTTTGGAAAGAAGGCAGAGAACTGGATAACAGGGAGCACGTTCTTTTAGGAAGGTGAAGAGGCGAGGGAGAAGTAAGAAAAGGGAGGCGTACCTAGCCAGGAGAGAGCTTTTTTAAAGTTTGTAAAAAACCGCAGTGACAGTGGTAGTTAAAACTGTAAAGTGTTTCGCATTCTACTAAAATGGGAACTAGTAAGAGAAGAGGATAACTTGTAAGAGCTATGAATGTGGTTGCTAATTCGTATCTACTGTAGTTTTTATGTATTTGTGAAGCTGATTATTTCTAAATTTCAAACCTAGATTTATAAATTATGAGAACCCTGGTGTTTATTTTAAGGATGTAATGATTTTTTAAAGGAATATTATGGCATGTTACGTGTAAAGTTGGCTTATCTTA
Source organism: Homo sapiens (assembly GCF_000001405.40). NCBI lineage: Eukaryota > Metazoa > Chordata > Mammalia > Primates > Hominidae > Homo > Homo sapiens. Next base: position 2,042,937 of record NT_187660.1, on the reverse strand, counting down.
TAACTGATGATGATTTTTAATTGCTGCAGTTAATATATTCTAAAAATCTTCCTGGCACAGCATAGATTGTTATCAGGAAAAGGATTACTGCCGCAACACATACACACACACAGTGATATAGCACCTTTGATGATTCACGGGAGCAGCTGTAATTTTAACATCTATTTCTCAGCTAGAAACCATGCTTAAGTAATTTGGACATGATTTCCCCTTTTAAATAACGCAATCTGAATCAAAATCTCAAATGTTGGGCCATTAGTTTAGATTGTAAAAAATTTTCAATCTTAGAAAATTCTTTTTGATGTCCACTTTCTTCATTTAGAGTTCCTCAGCACTTAGAATCTGTAACCTTAACTTAAAAGTGGAGGGTTTTTCCCCCCTAAAATTACTATTTTTGTGTTATATTGTGATTTTTTTTTCTCCTAGGTATCTTAAGTATTTTCATGGGTAGCACCAGTAATATGGGAGCTTTTAAAAATACAAACTTCTGGGGCTTGCTTTCAGTTGATCTGAGACGGAAGCAGGCAATACATTTGACCCTCGAACAACCTGGGGTTTAGGGGGGACCAAAACCTCCCTCTCACCCCCGACACACAGTCAAAAATCCACCTGTGATTTTTAACTTCCCAAAAACTTAACTATTAATAGCCTACTGTTGAGTGGAAGCTTACTGATAACATAAACAGTACAAAGTTTGTAGGTTAGATGTATTATATTCAGTATTCTTAAAGTAAGCTAAAGAAAAGAAAGTGTTAATAAGAAAATCATAAGAGAAAATACGTTTACTGTTCATTAGGTGAAAGTGGATCATCATAAAGGTCTTCATCCTCGTTTTCCTTCACTGCTCATTTCCTTCATCCTTGTTTTCACATTTAGTCGTCTGAGGAATAGGAGAGGTTGGTCTTTCTGTATCATGGGTGGCAGAGGTGGAAGAAAATTCGAGTGTAAGTGGACCCACACAGTTAAATCTCATGCTCTTCAAGGGTCAACTGTATTTTTTTGTTTTTAAGCTCCTGGCATCTTTCTCTTATGTGCACTGCTAGATGTGGGAACTAATGGTTAGAAAGTATAGTGTATAAAAGAAAAGGTAACTTCAACTACAGAAGGAAAAATCTCTTCAGGTTCTTTTCATATTTTTTGTGGTGAGAATTTAATTCCTGAAAATTTAGTAATCTGCCTACAGACAAGATATAAATAGTACCAGTTGCTTAAAGGTTTCATTTCCACCCCAAAGTTGAATCTTCAAATCCTGTAACTGTGGAGTTTTAATTTAGAGCATTCCCTGCATTTTGAGAAACAACTTAGATACATTATAAGAGTAAAATGCTAGTGTAAAAAAACACTAAAGGACTTCCATATATAGTCTTTTGTTTTTTTTATTTAATTTTGGCTGTATAAGTGTCTTTTTGTTTTACAAATTGTATGTAAATTATCTTTAAAGAAGTGATAAAAAAATGACCTGGTCTCTGTGAGAAAGGTTTCACTTGAGTGTAAAAGGAAGTCTGTCTTGGCAAACATCAGCCCTGCCCTGTTCTCTTCCTAGATTTCTGAATACTTTTGTATATTTTTAGGATGTGCGATTATCTGCTGAGAATAATAACCTCTTCATCTTCATTTTGTGAGAAGTGATAGAATATAGTGAATTCTTAGGGCTTTGGAGCCGGACTTCCTGGGTTCATGTCCCAGCCTGCCTTTGGTTACTTGCATAACCTTGAAACCTCTGTGTTTCAGCATCCCCATATGCAGTGAAGCAGGCAGGTCATACGTTACAGAATGGTGAGAAATTAGTTATTACAATACCTGGCACATGTGTTCGCTACTGTAATTATTATGGTGATTCATAGTAGTAATAATAGTATCATAAGTTAGAATTTCCAAATGTGCTTTCTTATCTGCTTGTATTTAACCATTTTCTGAGATTTCCTCATTCTATATAGTTAAGCAAACTAAAATTGAGAGGTTGCAATAAAGTCCAGGGTTATGTTGTTGACCTGGGATTGGGGCCAGGATTAAAACTGTTGGCTCTTTGACCCAAATCTTTGACCTTACTGGTGTAGAGAAAGAAATTTCATAGCTTAATTACTACTTAATCTTCAGGAAACTAAAATCTACCAGCGTTCCATTGTTGTCATGACCTACTTATGTTCCTCTGTGTGATATTCTTTTCTTAGAGAGCAAACATATGGAGAGAATTCTGAGAAAAACACACAAGCTTGTTCTTCATTATAATTAGATGAACAAAGTATCCTCACTGTTGTCTAGAACTGGAGTTGGCAGACTGCACTGTGTGGGCTAAATCCAGCCTCCTCCTTTTGTAAAGTTTTATTGGAAACCCATTCCACAATGGCATAATCAAGAAGTTATAAGAGAGACTATATGGCCAAGGGAGTCAATTACAGAAAAAGTTTCCAAATGCTTTGTCTGGAATGTTAAAATAGTTTTGTTTTTAAATTCAAAAAATACATATACATAGGGAAAATAATTACAGTGGTTTTCTTATAACTTGATGCTTGTTGCTGGGCTTGTTTGCTTTGTTTTGTATTTCACTTAGTATTGTTGCAGAGCCCAGTCTGGGCCAAGACTTGGGCTGTAGGAGCTGGGAATACTGAGAGAGCCCACAGTTGATGGTGACACTTTGCTTCTTGGTGATTACTGAGTGGGTATCATTGAAAAGAGATTTCACTGATCTTCCTGTAGTCCCTGCATAAGTAGAGAGTATTTGATTTGCAGGGTATGATCTAGGCCTCTGCTTGGTTAGATTGTATTCTTCCTCATATTTACAGCTATTTTAACAGACCCATTTTATGTTTCCCTCTAACATTGTATGTTAGAGGGAACAACAGGTGTTTACCTTTTTTATTCTATAAATTTTTATAAAAGTGAGCATGATTAGTCATAAGCAGGTACAATATTGAAAAAATTCTATTACAGTAAAAGTTCAGACTAACAGGATGAAATTGAAATGTGGGAAATTTGGATTGTCAAGATTTACATTTGGCATTCTACCCATTTACATTTGTTACACTCATTCCCTGAAACCAACAGAGTTCATCTAAGGCCTAAACTGTTTTCTAAAGTGTTTGGGGAATGTGTTTTCACAAATAGAAAAACAGTCCAGTTTATATTTAGCAAATCCATTTTACGAAAATGGTTAGTTCTGAGAAACTTAAAAGCAGTGTTTTCAGAAGATTGAAACTTTGTAACAGTTATTTAATCTCTTCATTCATTGTTCCTCCTGAGAAATGCCTCTACTGAATTCTAAAGTAAAAGGTGTGTCAGCATTGATACAGCTTATGATACAGCAAATACATGACAGTAAAATTGAATTTTCTGAATCAGAAATTTTTAGCCTAAATTCACGTTTGGCCAAGTTAAGATCATATATTTGGGATCAAAACCTCTTATCTATACAATCCACTCCATATTAGGAGTTTTCCAAGAGTGCTGAGTAAGTCCAAATAAACATGCAGGTAGAGCATATAATGTGCAGTCACGTGTCACTTGATGGGGATACCTTCTGAGAAATGCATCCTTGTGTGAACATCATAGAGTGTACTTACACAAACCTAGGTGGTAGAGCCTGCCACACACCCAGGCTATATGGTGTAGCCTATTGCTCCTAGGCTACAAACCTGTACAGCAGGTTACTGTACCAAATACTGTAGGCAGTTGAAACAGCAGTTAGCATTTGTGTATCTTAAACGTAGGAAAGGACAGTACAACTACAGTATTTTAATCTTCAGGGACCACTATTGTCTGTGGGGTCCATTGTTGATTAAAATATCCTTATGTGGTCTTAGCTTTTAAATTAAAGATCTAGTTTTTTATTTACACACCTTTTCCTCTACCTTCCATAATTGTTTTCGTCAGCATTTGAGAACTATAAATATTATTTCATCTTACTGTATATAGTTTCTGTCACATATTGCTTAATTTTCTCTGAAACTTACATACAGGTTGAGCGTAGGTAATCTGAAAGTGCAAAATCCAAAATGCTCCAAAATCCAAAACTTGAGTGCCAACATGACGCTCAAGGGAAATGCATTTCAGACTTTGCATTTTCAGATTAGGGCTGCTCAATGGGTAACCAGTATGATGCACATATTCCAAAATCCGAAATCCAAAACAGTTCTGGTCCCAAGCATTTTAGGCAAGGGATGCTTAACCTGTGCAACTTTGCCAATAGGCTAAAAATTATTGTTGAAACATCCTAATATTGATGAGCATTTTTTTTTCTATTTCAAATGTGGAGAGGTAACGATCTTCTGACTAGTGAATTTCTTTTTAATTTTTTTGACTTTTAGGTTTAGGGGTACATATGCAGGTTTGTTACGTAGGTAAACATGTGTCATCGTGTTTTGTACGTACTATTTCATCACCCAGATGTTAAACCCAGTATCCAATAGTTTTCTCTTGTTCTCCCTCCTCCTACCCTCCCCCCTCAAGTAGACCCCAGTGCCTGTTGTTTTCTTTGTGTTCGTAAGTTCTTACCATTTAGCTCCCACTTACAAGTGAGAACATGCAGTGTTTGGTTTTCTGTTCCTGCATTCGTTTGCTAAGGGTAATGGCCTCCAGCTCCACTCATGTTCTGGCAAAAGACATGTTCTTTTTTATGGCTGCATAGTATTCCATGGTGTATATGTACCACATTTTCTTTATCCACTCTGTCATTGGTGGGCATATAGGTTGACTCCATGTCTTTGCTATTGTGAATAGTGCTGCAGTGAACATTTGTTTGCATATGTCTTTATGGTAGAATGATTTATATTCCTTGGGTATATACCCTGATTGGTGAGTTTCAGATTTTATTTACTGATCATTGGTGTTAGTCTTTTGTCTAAATAAATTTCATAACTCCAATTTGATAAGTGCTTTATTCTAAACAAGAATTACATATATTGTTGGTAGTGAACATGGTGTTGGTAGTACTACGTGTTCTTTTTTAGGCTCACCATGAGGTCCTTTACCTTTGTTTTTTTTTTTTTTTTCTGTTTCCCTTTCATCTGAGAAAGATAGAAAGGGTGCCAGTTAGAAAGATATGATTCATTAAGTATTTCAATGGTTAATCAGCGAGTCGAATCAGTGACTTCTTTCCCGTGGCTCCTGTACCTTACACCGTGACCAATGTGCATAGTTCTGAGTGATCAACAGGCGGCACCACAGTGAATGTTCCTTCTGTAGTGAAGGTTGAAAGATTTTACCAGTAATGTGGATGTTATCCTGCTCATTCGTCCTTTGCCAAATACTTACTAATGTCACATATATGTTATCAGTGTATGGCGATAAATATCCTGAGCAATCTTTTTTTTTTTTTTTTTTTTTTTTTTGACACAGAGTCTTGCTCTGTCTCCCAGGCTGGAGTGCAGTGGCACGATCTCGGCTCACTGCGAGCTCCGCCTCCCAGGTTCACGCTATTCTCCTGCCTCAGCCTCCTGAGTAGCTGGGACTACAGGCACCCGCCACCACGCCTGGCTAATTTTTTGTGTTTTTTAGTAGAGACGGGGTTTCACTGTGTTAGCCAGGATGGTCTCGATCTCCTGACCTCGTGATCTGCCTGCCTCAGCCTCCCAAAGTGCTGGGATTACAGGCGTGAGCCACTGCGCCTGGCCATATCCTGAGCAATCTTAGGCAAGATCCCTGCTATCATTTGGATGTAAGCTCTATATCCAAAGCAAATACATAAATTTGAAAATACAAAAAGTAAATTTTCGTTAGTGGTTAAATGCTATAAAGAGAATCAGGGTAGTGTAATAGTGAAGCAGGAGGGGACAATATTAAATAACAGGCTCAGGGAAGAAAGCTTCTCTGAGGTCACATCATTTTGAACTGGGTAAGAAAGACCCTGGCAGGTGAAGGTCATTCTGGAATAAGGCAAAGCGTGTACTGCTCCTGAGATGGAAACTCGACCTACTGGAAGGGCAGCAATATAGCCCATGTGGCTACATCATAAGAGCAAGGGAGAAAGTGATTTGGAGATCCAAGAAGTGAATTTTTTCTGTTTTAAAAAATTTGGTTAGAACATGAAAGTTTTTTTAATGTTGTTTATTACTTGAAATGTTATTAAATGCTTTTTTGCTAATATGTTTTATCTAACATTTCAAAGTGAGTGGAATATCGATGACATCCTGAACTTTTGTGAACGAACTGTTATTTTCAGTTTGAGGGGATTTCAGGTTACTTCATTGAAATTCCAATGTGAGGTTTTATTTTCAGTGTGCTTTTGTGAGGGGCCAAAAGAGGGAAGATTTTAGTTGATTAAGTTTCTCTAGTTAATGGAAACCCAAGTGTAGTCATGGGGTATTCAGTGATTGCTGTTAGATTTTAACCCTTAAGAGGAGATCATGGATCAAATAGCAGAAAGGCAGGCTTCAATATTTATCATATATCCCGTTTAAAAAGTGAAAGTAGGCCAGGCACGATGGCTTACACCTGTAATCTCAGCACTTTGGGAGGCCAAGGTGGGCAAGATCACTTGAGGTCAGGAGTTCAAGACCAGCCTGGCCAACATGGTGAAACCCAGTCTCTACTAAAAATACCAAAATTAGCTAGGCGTGGTGGCGTGTGCCTATAATCCCAGCTACTCGGAAGGCTGAGGCAGGAGAATCGCTTGAACCTGGGAGGCAGAGGTTGCAGTGAGCCGAGATCATGCCACTGCACTCCAGCCTGGGTGACAGAGCGAGACTCCGTCTGGGGGAAAAAAAAAAAAAAAGTGTATTTAGCCGGGCGTGGTGGTGCACATCTGTGATCCTGGGTACTCAGGAGGCTGAGGTGGAAGGATCGCCTGCTTGAGCCCAAGAGGTTGAGGCTGCAGTGTGCCATGATCACGCCACTGAACTGTAGCCTGGGCAATAGAACAAGGCCCTGTCTCAAAAATAAGTAGTACAAAAATAAAAAGTAAAAGTATAAAGTTTATTTACTCCATCAGCTGAGATTTGTTTTCTTCTACAAGTACAATATTTAAAAATGGCAAATTTAAAAACAAACTGCTCCACTTGTCTAAAATAGTAAATATACAAAAAAACTTATTTGCAGATTTTTTAAATGTGAGACAATTTTCTGTTTTCTCTGAGAGAATCCTAATAAGATTTGTGACATTGGTCTCCCACTATAAAATCTACCAAATAAACTGCACAAAGTGCTATGTTAGTCATAAGTATTAGTCAAAGTACAGAATAATCATTATACCACCAATGAAGGTGTAACAACACAATTCTTTAAGTGAGACAAAAGTCCTCTTGGGCTTTCCTCAGTTGTTTCTTACTAAAAGTTGTCCATATCCATGAAAATTACTTTTGAACCACAGACCTGTTTTTCTTCTAATGCGGATGGACTAGATTAATAGATGAATGTTTAAGATGAGAAGCACTTGTACAGAAGAATAAGCTCCACAAACACATACATCTAAATTATTGCCTAAAAACAATATCACAGTGAAATAGACTCAGATTTTTTCAGAAGCATGCTCATGAACACATGTATGTTTTAGAAAGCAGATTACATGTAAAGGACAGATTTACATTGTGAGAAATTAGCTTACAAAATGACAAAGTGGAATTAAGGTAATTATTTTCCTGCCTTCTCAGCATACTTCCTGGGCAACTTTTTTACCTTTTGTTCCCAAGTACCAGCCCTGTATCTCTTGCTTTCTCATCCCCAGAATTCTTTGGGTACCAGTGCAGAGAGAGACCATTTTTTAATCGTTGTGAAGGGGGAACTTCAATGTGTATATATTTGTTTCCATATAAAATCAGAGGATTAGCAGTGATTGCAACATTCTAAGTATGAAACTGGAGTGTGCCTTCACTTTTCTGTCTTTTTGCAATAGAGCCTTCCAGGCTGAAATTTTCCTGTCAGTGGAAAAAACTTTGGAATACAGTTAACTTAAATTCTTAGCATATTTTTATTGTTAATTGTGGTTGAGATAATCCAATGCCTTTTAAAGGGATTAGTAGCTAGCTTTTGTTTTCAACCTAAACTGTGGTGTTCTTGCCTACCTTATGCAATTAATGAACTTGTGAAAAGTATGTATAAATCCGTTTTTGTAGTATAAGTCTTTAATTTGTAATGGGGAGTTGGCTTTATAAAAGGATATTCTACTAGAGTGAATGTTCAGCGCTTCATTTATTTCCTGTATTAAGGTTATTTTTAAAATAAGGCACATCAAGTTGATTGGAAAGGTGTTCATAGAGCTAGAAGTAAGAGGGAAAGGGCTATGAAATGGCGACCAGGCATATCTTATCAATCAGGAGACAGAAAGCACAGTTTCCATGAACAGAGAAAGTTGAATGTAAAGAAATTAAACATAACAGGAGTAATGAGGGATTGACTGGTAAGAACTAAAGAGAGCTCTGAAGATTAAGAACCACGGATAGGGCTGGGCGCAGTGGCTCACACCTGTAATCTCAGCACTTTGGGAGGCCGAGGCGAGCAGATTGCCTGAACTCAGGAGTTCAAGACCAGCCTGGGCAACACGGTGAAACCCTGTCTCTACTAAAATACAAAAAATTAGGCCGGGCGTGGTGGCTCACGCCTGTAATCCCAGCACTTTGGGAGGCTGAGGCGGGCTGATCACGAGGGCAGATCAAGACCATCCTGGCTAACACGGTGAAACCCTGTCTCTACTAAAAATACAAAAAATTAGCTGGGCGTGGTGGCACGTGCCTGTAGTCCAGCTGCTCGGGAGACTGAGGCAGGAGAATGGCGTGAACCCGGGAGGCGGAGCTTGCAGTGAGCCAGGATCGCACCACTGCACTTCCAGCCTGGGTGACAGACCGAGACTCAGTCTCAAAAAAAAAAAAAAATTAGCCGGACACAGTGGCATGCTCCTGTAATCCCAGCTACTCAGGAGGCTGAGACAGGAGAATAACTTGAACCCAGGAGGCGGAGGTTGCAGTGAGCCGAGATTGCGTCACTGCACTCCAGCCTGGGTGACAGAGCGTGACTCCGTCTCAAAAACAAAGCACAAAAGAACCACAGATAGAAGGAGCAGCTACTCTCCTTGGTGCTGAGATAGAGTGCCAAAGGAAGAGGCTCCCACTCACTCATCCTCAGGGCTGAGATCTGGCCTTCTTGGAAAGGGAACAACGGTGCTCACTGAGTGGCCGAGAATTTGCTGTGGTATGTCACCAGACGAACTTGCATGGTATTTGTACTCCCATGTGCTGGGGAGGTATCTCATGGGAGACTTCACACAACAGAACCGTTTGAGAGAGTCTCTGGAGCAGGCTGCTGGCCACCGAGTACTTTAGGATGCTGGGCACTGCAGGAGCATGCTGAGGGGATGCACCTTCTCTCCTACAGCGTCTCCCCAGGACCCTGTACTGACCATGCTGCATGCCCTCTGCCTCTACTAAATGGCTCCAAACAGCTGCAATTTCACAACCAAAGTTTTTTACTTGAAACAGCATGTTACTCCTTGCTAATCTAATTGAGTGTGTATTAATCGGCTACACTGGTCACACATTTGATTGGGTAAGACCTAAAGTAGGCTCTGCTTAACAGTGAGTCCGTTCATGTGACCTATAAAATCTCTCTCAGAGACTCCTTTCCAGTCCATCTTTGTCAGCTGTCTTGTCTAGAGCTTTCAACTAGCTCATAGCCTCCAGATAACAAGGTCATTACCTTTAGATTAATACGTGCAAGTTAATACAAAAAAAAAAAAACAACAGAAACTCGTCTTACCCTTCTGGGGAAAAGCAAAAGTGCCCATAAGAGGATCTTGAGGTACCTTAAAATGCCCAAAGTTTCCTTCTAGGCTACCAGGAGCTGGAATACGTAAACATGAACCTGACTCCGAACACATAATTTTTATAGAAAGCTTTCCTCATAATAGCAAACGCACACGCGCACACACACACTCACACACACACACACACACACATTTTTAAGCTTAAATATGGAGAGCCATTAGGATAGAATTATGTGAGGAAGGGCTGGGCATGGTGGCTTGCACCTGTAATCCAGCACTTTTGGAAGCCGAAGTAGGAGGATAACTTGAACCCAGAAGTTCGAGACTCGCCTGGGCAACATAGCGAAACCCCATCTCTACAACAAGTAGAAAAAGTTAGCAGGGTATGGTGGCACGCATCTGTAGTCCAGCTACTCTTGCAGGCTGAGGTGGGAGGATTGCTTGAGCCTGGGAGGTTGAGGCTGCAGTGAAGTATGATTGTGCCACTGCACTCCAGCCAGGGCAACATTGAGACCCTGACTCAAAAAAAAAAAAAAAAAAAAAAAAAGAATTAGGAAGGTTTGGGAAAAATGTGATTCATTATCACAACCTCACAATTTCTTTCAATAATTGCCACTGATTGTTGACTAATTTCATGTGTAAATTCAGATTTTATCTTGACTTCATAGTCACATTTGCTTGTGAAAGAACATTTTAATGTTTGGAAAAGTTGATTATTTTATTTTGTGCTGTAACTCTAGATCTGCATAGTCCAACACCATAGCCAGTAGCCACATGTCACTGTTCAACATTTGAAATGTGGCCAGTCCAAATCGAGGTGTATTGTTAGTGTGAAATGCACATTGGATTTTGAAAACACAGTATGCAAAAAATGTAAAATACCTCATTAATAACTTAGATGATGAAATACTACTTTAGATACATTGAGTAATAAAATTTATAAATTGATTTCGCCTTATTTTATTTAACATGGATTCTAGAAAATTTTTAATTACGTAAGCAGCTCATTTTATAATTCTCTTAAACAGTACTGTTCTAGATCTTTATGTATTATTGAAAAATGCCTCCATCTTTTGGTAGATAATGGAAATGCACTAACAAAAGCTAATATTTCAAATATTAATTGTATGAAAAATTGAATAGAATGGTGTGAGTCCCATTTATGTGAAATGTTGTTTTGGAAGGCTAATTGCATTTAATGTTATAATGATTGTATCACAGGACAAAAAGGTAATTAGCAATGGGGTATGCAAATTGGCCAAAGATAAAAATACTCCCAGAAGTTTTGTGTGATATATGGAGCAAGAGCCCTACATGTATAGCCAATGACGACCTATCGTTTATCATTGAGGAGAGCATTTGAGTTAAAATATTGTAAGTTAAAATACCAAGATGGTAATGTCTGTTAATCACATTTTAATTTTTAGAAGTTTTGATCAGTTACAAGAAAGAAGAAAATTAATTGGAATTCTTACCTTTTCTAAACAAATTCTGCTTTGTACAGAGCAATAGAAATCTGTAGAACTATTAAAATTTTGTGGGTAACTCATTCTCTTTAAAAATACTCATTTTAACTTATTTTTTCACTTTTCTCTTTTTAAAAATAATTTTGTATTTATAATATATTAATCATATTTTTTAATGCAAACAATGCAGGGATAATTTACTATTTTGCACTTCCCTTTTAATCTGAGGAGCACAGCACAATTTGGGGATAGAGCTTAATTTTGTTGATTTATACTTAGCTAATTGTGATATTTTATTACACAAGTAACGGCTAAAAATTTTGATCTTTTACAATTTATTGTATTTATTTATTTATTTATTGAGACAAAGTCTCGCTGTCTTGCCCAGGCTGGAGTGCAGTGGCGCAATATCGGCTCACTGCAACCTCTGCCTCCCAGGTTTAAGCGATTCTTGTGCCTCAACCTCCGAAGTATCTGGGATTACAGGTGCGTGCCACCACACCCAACTAATTTTTGTTTTTTTAGTAGAGAGGGGTTTTCACCATGTTGGTCAGGCTGATCTCGAACTCCTGACCTCAGGTGATCCACCGACCTCGGCCTCCCAAAGTGCTGGGATTACAGGAGTGATGTTTCATGTTAAACATCATTTGCATATTTAACCGGCCAATCTTTTCCAATTTAAAAGTAGCTCATCCTTGTTTGAGCTAGAAAATATCTTGGCTTTTTTTTTTTTCCTAAAAGATTGTTCTACTTCAGTGCAGCTCATTAAGAATATACCAACTTAAAAGTAGAATACACCTCCACAGAATGGTTAAAAGAATACAAAAATAGAAACTATGCAAAGTACTTATTTTTTATTCCTTCAGGAAGACAACATAGAAAGAAACCTTTTCCTGAAAAGAGACTACTAATAATATACGTTAATAAAACCAAATTTTATGTTTAAAGTTAGTCTTTAAAAATAATTTTAAATATATTTTTTCAATCTTTATTATAATAAGTAAATTTTTGTAAAAGTTGAAATAGTAGAGATAACTGTAAAATTCCTCTTGGCTACTATTTTGGCTATTTTTCCCTCCAAGGTGAACCACTGTTGCTTATTTGGTATCTGTTGCTTGTCTGTACATGGGCATGTGCAAACATGTCTGTTTATATTTTAGAGAAAAGTTTTTAAATAGCTATATGGTATCCTGCTATATGTATTCTGTAATCTGTGTGTCTTATTTGGCATTTTGTTTTGAAGTTATTTTCTTTCTTTTTTTTTTTTTGAGACGGAGTCTCACTCTGTCGTCCAGGCTGGAGTGCAGTGGCTCCATCTGGGCTCACTGCAAGCTCCGCCTCCCGGGTTCACGCCATTCTCCTGCCTCAGCCTCCAGAGTAGCTGGGACTGCAGGCTCCCGCCACCACGCCCAGCCAATTTTTTTTGTATTTTTAGTAGAGACAGGGTTTCACCCGTAGCCAGGATGGTCTCGATCTTCTGACCTTGTGATCCGCCCGCCTCAGCCTCCCAAAGTGCTGGGATTACAGGCGTGAGCCACTGCGCCCAGCCGTTTTAAAGTTTTCATGTCTGTACATATCATTCTATTTCATTACACCTAATTTTAATAGTCTTTTACAAACAATGCATGCTTATTAGAACAAGTGAAATAGATCAAATCCACCAACTCCACTTCACCCCCAGTTCACCCCCAGTTCTCACTCTTCTTGAATTAAGCCATTCTCCAGACTCGTACTGACATTTGGTATCATATATAGGGTTTGGGTTTTTCTTTTAATAATTAAGAGATCAGGATTTGAATTATTACTCAGCTAAATTATTTCAGTTGAACAATACAAGGTGAACATCCAGTTTATTCTTTTGATAAGAAACTTTCCGTATTATGGACATCTTGTTTCTAGGTATTTGCCTGCGAAAACATGGCAGTAAGCACCTTCGTACCTGATTTCATGTACTGTGCTGGTGCATTTTATTTCTAAAGTCCTTAAAGAGTGTGTTTGTGTTGTTCAAAATTTTTAATGGCTAGTACCAGATTACTGATATAGCTGTGTTTCAAATGTAAGTCTTTATAATATCTTTTCCTGTGCAAGTAAAAGTTTTTAATCTTGTCAGATATTTTTATCTTGCCTTTATGGCTTCCGAATTTCTATCCTACTTGCAAAGGCTTCCCCCAGTCTAAAGTTTTAGAATGTTTAATGTTCTTGTTACTGGTGTTATTTTTTCCCTTTCATTTCCATCTGATTGTTGACGATATTGACAAAAGATTTTTTTATGTAATTAAAATTATCTTAATTCAGGAAATTTTTCAGTAGTCTTTAATATTCATTAAGTTTTTTTTTTTTTTTTTTCAATATTTTGGGACCATTAGCTCGTGATTATACTACCTGGGTCTTCAAAATCAGAGTGAATAACAGTAGTGTTCACAGGTATCACTGTCCTGTTACTGAGTTTGGTGTAAATAGTGTAAATACATTCAGCATTTCACTATTTGATAGGATGTTTGCTCTTGGTTTTAGAAAATAGTTTCTTTCATAATTATATTGCTTATTTCAGTTTTTGTTTAGGAATGACTGCAAATTTTCTCATGCCAGTTTGATATTAACACTTTTTTCTGTAAATATTTGTGCATAATAATGAATTGTGTCAGTAAATTCCTAATGTCGAACTAATCTTGCACCCTTGAAATAACCCTGATGATAGTCTTCTAATACACTACTGTATTCTCCTAGCTAGTATTTTATTTATTTAGAATTTTTTCCTCCATTCATAATGAAAAATATATTATTTTCTCTCTTTGTACTCTTGTCATCAAGATTTGGATGTTAAAGGTTCTGGTAGCCTCAGATTGGAATGCTGATGACTAGAGTATTGATAATTGTCGACGATGAGTACATGGGGTTTTATGATACTGTTCTCTGTATGGCTGTATATGTTTGGAAATAAAGTTTTTTTTTAAGTGAATTAGAGAGCTTTTTATATTTTTCTGTGGTCCAGGATAATTAAACAAATTATTTTGTTTTTCCGAGGTTGGGAGAATGCAGCTGTAAAACCATATATACGTGATACTTTGTAAAATTATAGATCTTGATTTATCTTTTTATTCAAGATATATTTATTGGCTTCTTTTAAAATATATATTGTCTTGGTACACTTTATGATTTCTGTTTATCTGGGGAAATTATTAATGAACATTTAGTTTTATTTTGTTTCTTGCCACTAAAACTGATACTAGAATGAATGTTCTTATAAATGTTTTCTTGAGTACATTTGTATTTCTCTAGAATAAATATAGAAGTGGAATTATAGTGTATGACCTAGTTACATTTTTTGTTTTGATAATTTCCATTTTGCCTTCAAATAGTCATACACTTTTACCATCATTTTGTGAATATGTCTGTTTCTCCATATCTTTCCCTACCAGTGATGTTATCATGTGAAAGTTCTCATGGATGATAATATGATTTCTTTTTTTTGAGACAGAGTCTTGCTCTGTCACCAAGCTGGAGTGCAGTGGCACGATCTTGGCTCACTGCAACCTCTGCCTCCTGGGTTCAATTGATTCTCCTGCCTCAGCCTCACGAGTAGCTGGGACTATAGGCGCATGCCACCACGCCGGGCTAATTTTTGTATTTTTAGTAGAGACAGGGTTTCACCTTACTGGCCAGGATGGTCTTGATTTCTTGACCTCGTGATCCGCCTGCCTCTGCCTCCCAAAATGCTGGGAATACAGGCATGAGCTACTGTGCCCGGCCGATAATACAGTTTCTAATTAATTTGTATTTCCCTAGTTCCTAGTGAGGTTAAATGTGTTTGCATATTTATTACGTATTTGTACATCCTTTTTGCTGAAAAGCTTCTTTGTATTTTTGCATTTCTCTCTTGAGTTGTCTTGATTGATTTATAGTTCTTTTTTTCTTTTTCAAAGAGACGGAGTCTTGTTCTGTTGCCTAGGCTGGAGTGTAGTGGCTCTATCATAGCTCACTTCAGCCTCCAACTCCTCGGCTCAAGCAATTCTCCCACCTCAGCCACTTAAATAGCTAGGACTGTAGGAACAAGTGACAGTGCCTGGCTAAATTTTAAATTTTTTTTACAGAGTATGGAATTTGCTATGTTGCCCAGCTGGTCTCAAACTCCTGGGCTCAAGCAGTCCTCTTGCCTTGGCCTCCCAAAGTGCTGGAATTACAGACGTGAGCCATCATGCCTGTCTTTTCTTTTTTTAAGTACCAAATTCTTATATATGTTACTTAGGTCAGTACATAGTCAACATTTGTATTTAGTTAAACTGTATGAAATAGTTAACATCGAGCTGTTTGAACTAAAGAATTCCCATTTCATTTAGTTCAGCCCAGTATTATATATGTTTCCCAATTATTTGCACGTACTTTATTTTTATGTAATCACTTTTGTTGATATACTGTGGCTTCATTGAGTCTTACTTTAGAAGACTCCTGTTGATTATGTGAATGTTTAAACTCTTTTTTTAGGACTTGATTTCATCTGAAATCAGTTTATTTTTGTCATTGTTAAACATACGGATCTAATTTTTCTACATTTGTGGACAGTTGTCCCGACACCATTTATTAAATGTTATGTTCCTTCTCCAACAGTTTTGTTTGGAATGCTACTTTCATGATAAATTTTGCTATTATAGATATATTTCTTCATTTTCGATTTTATTACATGAATCTATTTGGTTTTTCTGTGGTAATGCTCTATTTTTAATTACTAGGTTTTTACAATATTTTGGTATCTGTTAGAGCAGGTTGTCATTGTTTTTGAAGTTGCATTGCCTCTTCTTATACTGTTCTCTTACAGATGCTTTCCAGAATCATTCTTATGCTCTTGATTTTTTATTTTAATGACACACAGTCTCCGGAGTAGAGATGAAGAGAGAATTTCTAAACCTGGGGCTGTCTCAACTCCTGTAAAGCATGCTGATGATCACACACCTAAAACAGTGGAAGAAGTTACAGTTGAAAGAAATGAGAAACAAACACCTTCTCTTCCAGGTAAGCATAACGAAACACTAAGTTCAAGAAACATTTGCAAGTAGAGTGAAGTAATTGTTAGGATTTACAGAAGATTTTAAAGATGCAATTATTATTCTTCTCATGTGTGAATTTGTCTGCATATGACTTCCAGCGTTTTCCTTATGGGTAGCAGGTTGGCACAAATCAGTTGCCTTTCATGAATGTTTTCCTTTACTTTCTAGATAGAAAATATTTATCATTAACAACTTCTTGCAATTAGTAAAGTTGTTTTCCAACACTGCTCCTTAAAGAGAAACATGAGATTGGCTTCAAAAATTTAAAAAGAAAAGTTATTTTGCTTTTTTGAAAGTGTTTTCATAAACATTTTATGGAGTATACCTTTATTTATTGTCTTTGGGTTTTTTTTTTTGAGACAGAGTCTCACTCTGTCACCCAGCTGGAGTGCAGTGGTGTGATTAGCTCGCTGTAACCTCAAAACTCCTGGGCTCCAGCTGTCTTTCCACCTGATCCTCCCTATTACAGGTGTGCACCACCGCACCTGGCTATTTTGGGTTTTCTGGGGTTTTTTTGTGGGTTTTCTTTGTTTTTTGTTGTTGTTTTGGAGAGATGGAATCTTGCTTTGTTGTCCAGGTTGGTCTCCAACTCCTGGCCTCAAACAGTCCTCCCACCTCAGCTTCCTAGTGTGTTGGGATTACAGGTGCAAGCCACTGTGTCTGACCCAAGCATCCTTTTAAAGCTGTCTGTGAAGACAAAACAGAATCAGCAAGGTGCTAAGATCGGTTGCCTGGGAGGCCTGGAGATTTTGTTTCTGATGTCTTTCACTTCCTTTTCTCAAATCATCTTTCTTGCTCTGCTTGCTGAGTGGCAGAAATATGGTTATTTAAAAACATTTTATCATAATGAGGAAAGGTAGCTACTTTGGCAGTCTTAACTGGGAAGTGTAGGAATTCTCTCTTCTCATATCTATTTTTTGTTATTCGTTCTTAAAGAATAGATTTTTCAAATTCTGATTGCTGGAACTATGGAAAACACAGGTGACTGTGTAACATACCTACTTGTTATAAAGACTTCAGAATTTATTACTATAAAATGTACTCTAATACATATGGTAGATATGTTCCTCATCAGGTTCTCTGAACTTATGAATCATATATTGCTTGGTTGCTTGCATTATTATTCCATGTTTTTCTAAAGTGAGTCCTACTCAATTTTTTTTTTCTTAGAACCAAAGCCTGTGTATGCCCAAGTTGGGCAACCAGATGTGGATTTACCTGTCAGTCCATCTGATGGTGTCCTACCTAATTCAACTCATGAAGATGGGATTCTTCGGTAATACAATTTTAAAGTTGTATTGTTTTCTTTGTTCATTATTAACATTATTCAGAGTAGGAATTTAATTGTAAACCATATTGCATATATTTTTTAAAATAGTACATACCACCTAATACTATGATTATTTTTATATTTAACATTCTGCTACTTATATATGATAGTGAGTTAGAAATTAGACAACAAAGGAACTTTTTGGATGCTTTCTTTCTCACCGCTGTCTCCTGCCTAGCTTTTAAATTAGGAATTAGAAAAAAAAAAAAATTCTATTCAGACATCAGAATTTCCACAGCTTTCCAATGGAGCATTAAAAAAAAAAAAAAATCAGTGTTTCTCAATCTCAGCACTAGTGGCATTTTGGGCCAGGTAAGCATTTGTTGTGAGGGGCTGTCCTGTGCATTGTGGCATGTTTAGCAGCAATCCTGGCCACTAGATGCCAGTAGCAGTCCCCTAGTTGTGACAATTAGAATTATCTCTAGACATTGCCAGATGTTTCCTTGGGGGCAAAATCATGGTTGAGATTGGTTGAGAACCTGTTCTAGGGTAGTTAGCAACCCAAAAGTAAGTTTTTACTATCTTAACACCTTTCATTACTTTACATTATATACTTGGTAGAATTGAGATGTAAATTTGTAAACAAATTTCAAACCATCATGATTATCAAATTAGTTTTTTGTTTGTTTGGTTAGTTTTTTTTTTTAAACAGGGTCTTGCTCTGTCGCCCAGGCTGGAGTGCCGTGGTGCAATCTCGGCTAACTGCAACCTCTGCCTCTTGGGCTCAAACAATCCTCCCACCTCAGCCTCCTGAGTAGCTGGGATGAAAGGACACACACCACCACACCTAGCTAATTTTTGTATTTTTAGTAGAGACGGGGTTTTGTTTCGCCGCATTGCCCAGGCTGGTCTAAAAGTCCTGGGCTCAAGCAGTCCACCAACCTCAGCCTCCCAAAGTGCTAGGATTACAGATGTGAGCCACTGTACCCAGCCCAAATTAGTTTTTTATTGGCACTGGTAAAGGGGACATGATGTGAATAATTGAAAATTGACAGAATTCCGGGCCGGGCGCAGTGGCTTATGCCTGTAAAGCTAGCACTTTGGGAGGCCGAGGCGGGCGAATCACGAGGTCAGGAGATCAAGACCATCCTGGCTAACATGGTGAAAACCCATCTCTACTAAAAATACAAAAAATTAGCTGGGCGCCTATAGTCCCAGCTACTCGGGAGGTTGAGGCAGGAGAATGGCGTGAACCCAGGAGGCGGAGCTTGCAGTGAGCCGAGGTCACACCACTGCACTCTAGCCTGGGTGACAGAGCGAGACTCCGTCTCAAAAAAAAAAAGAAAATTGGCAGATTTCCTCAAGTGGGTTAGATTTAGACCCAGCTAGGTAGATAGAAGTAGTTCCTGAAAGAGATGGGGTTTTTACAAGTTTAAAACTGTACAATTTTAATATTAGGTAATTGATAATTCAACCTTTTATAAATTGTGCAGGCATAGATAGTCCCCTTCTTTTCCTTTCTTGGGAATTGCTTGAAAACTTGTGTAAGTGTTTGAGGTTTAGGAAACTGTAATGATAAGATTCCAGAGACTGGCCGGGCGCAGTGGCTCATGCCTGTAATCCCAGCACTTTGGGAGTCCGAGGTGGGCAGATCACCAGGTCAGGAGATTGAGACCATCCTGGCTGAACACGGCGAAACCCCGTCTCTACTAAAAATACAAAAAAATTAGCCGGGCGTGGTGGCGGGCGCCTGTAGTCCCAGCTACTTGGGAGGCTGAGGCAGGAGAATGGCATGAACCCAGGAGGTGGAGCTTGCAGTGAGCCGAGATCGCGCCACTGCACTCCAGCCTGGGTGACAGAGCAAAACTCCATCTCAAAAAAGAAAAAAGAAAAATTCCAGAGACCTCCTTCCCTGGGAGAACAAATACCAAGGAAGATTTGAGGACGTGGACAGGATTAGTAGCTGTGCCAGGAAAGGTTTGGTTTTTCATTTAAAGCCAATGAATGGATTTGATGCAGAAGTTAGTGAGTCTGTTTTGCTACTGCAAGTAGTTAATATAATGCAGGCAGGACAAAGTATAAAATGTCAGTCATCTAAGGCACATGACACTGTTGGTGAGATATGGCCTAAAGCTGTCTTCTAACAGTGGTTTTCAGAAGCCATGTTTTACTAAAGGGTGGATACTGTGCTCAGTTGTTTTTGCTTTTTGAAGCACATTAGATGGGTCAGGGTTAGAAGAGGATTTCCAAAGTCCTATCTTTTGTTTTTGTTTTTGTTTTGCTTTGTTTTAAAGAGACAGGGCCTCACTCTGTCACCCAGGCTAGAGTATAATGGTGTGATCATTGCTCACCATAACCTCAAACTCCTAGGCTCGAGGAATCCTCCCACCTCAGCCTTCGGAGTAGCTAGGACTATAGGCAACGAGCCACGAAACCCAGCTAATTTTTTTTTTTTTTTTTTTTTTTTTTTTTTTAGTAGTGACAGGGTCTTGCTGTGTTGATCAGGGCTGGGAACAAACTCCTAGGCTCAAGCAGTCCTCCTGCCTCAGTCTCCCAAAGTGCTGGCATTATAGGCTTGAGCTGCCACACCCAACTGAGACCTGGAGTCTTAAGGACTTTGAGGAAATATTTAAAGAGGTTTCAGTACAATGGGTTTAGGAGAGGAATCTATGAGAATGCTTTTGACCTGGCTAGGATACCACTACAACCAAGGGGCTTGGACCATTTGTAGTAAAGCTGGTAAATAGTTTCATGGAGGGATCAAGGATGCCACCAGCCAGTGAGAGACCTCATCTGATTTCTCAGGCTCTTACTTTTATGACTAGCTGATGTTAGTTCCAGGTCAGGTAACCCAATCAGAAATGAATAAATAGTAAGTTCTGAAAGTTAAGGCGATCTCTTTAGTTGGCTTAAAGAGACTAGAAATCTCTCCTTCCTCAACACATTTCATTCATTTATTTGACTTTTTGTTGTTGTTGTTGTTATTGTTATCTATTAGTTTCTAATAATTTGGTTAGTATTACATAATAAAGAGTATAGGGATTTTTTTCTACACTTCTTGTCAGAATAGGTAAAATAGTGTATTTTCTTGCTAGGAATGTGAGAGTACTTATGAATCCCTAGAAGGGAAATATAGTGGGTAATTTTTAATTACAGTCTGTTTCTATCCAGTCAGTTCTTAGAAGGCATCCTTTAGTATTTGTTTTAAGGAGTGTCACAAGGTTTCAACACTACACTGATGCTAGAGGTGGGTGTGTATGCATTATTTTTTTTTTCCATTCAGAGAACTAGAAAGGGACAGAATGGATATGGGGCTAATGTAGAAAGGCTGAATGACTATATGATTTGTATTGTAAAACTCAGAGGGGCAGCAGAGTAAGTGAACTACTCTGTGAACTACTGAAAGACTCCACCAACTGCAAAGTTTTTTTAAAAATCACTCTCTGTTACATGTAGAAATCACAATGCTTGGAGCCTTATTTTGAGTCCATCGTGTTAGGAAAATTAGCCAATTTATACTTCAATTTCTACCTTTATTTTAAAAAATTTGACTTTTCAGTTATTAATAGAAATGATGTGTGAATTGGGGTGGAAAAAATGGAAGATGTTTTTAGCCATTTGGAATGTACCATAACTCTTTGAGAGTTGAGAAAACATTGTTTTACAAAGTAATTTTATAAATTAGTTATGTAAAATAGTACTTGCATATTAAATTTGAATATTCCAAAACTGTTAATCAGAAAATAGTGTTATTAAGTCTGATTTGAATTCTAACACTAAATTTTATTTAGTAAAATAGTGGTATGAGAGAAGTTTTAGAAATGATGGTTCTTTATTTAATTCTGAATATAGTTTTCACTGTAGTGATTGCTATAACGTTTTAAGCTCTTCTTAACTGTTTCAAATGAAATATCTGTTTTAACAGGCCCAGCATGAAATTGGTAAAATTCAGAAAAGGAGATAGTGTGGGTTTGCGGCTGGCTGGTGGAAATGATGTTGGAATATTTGTAGCTGGCGTTCTAGAAGATAGCCCTGCAGCCAAGGAAGGCTTAGAGGAAGGTGATCAAATTCTCAGGGTATGTCAGTATTGCAACTTATGTGGGTTAAAAAGTATTTGGATCACCAGAAAAAGGTATCAAACAACAAGCTTACTATTGTAATTAGATTGTAATCTGTAAGCAGTCTCCATTGAGCCAGTTAAACTTTGAAAGTCAAAATCCATCAGGTCTACCTTATGCTGGACTTCTCACTTCCCATTCTTGTATCTTGCTCTTGTTTACTGCTATATTTTGTGTTAGTAAAGAATGTAACATTTCATTTCTACCACTCGTGTTCATGGAAATAAAAGAAAATAAGTCTTATATCCCGATGATAATATCTACCAGGTAGTCTTTGGAAGTTCAACTAAACATTCAGACTGGCAGGACTCTGCCATGGGCCACAACTTGGCAGCAAGCAACATCAAGTGTTCCTCTCCCATATGAGTCATCTTGAAGCAATCCACACAACCTCTGGGACCTTTTTAACCCCAGATAATGGCTCAGACACAGGGAGATGGAATTCACATCAAAGGCAAATGTGTAAGCTGCCTGGCTTTGAAACTTCATACTCCACAAGAGACAGGATTAGTTACACAAATCAGGAAAGCCCAGGTTAGATGCAGAGTATCAGTAGAGTCTATAGAGTCCTCCCTTCCTTCCCCATAAACGGTTTCACCTAGTGACATAGTACCATCTTAATCTGTCTCCTGTTTCTTTTTAAAATATCCAAACCTCCATTTGATTTGCTAGATTAAACTATGTCCCATTTTAATCAGAAGGTATCTGTCCATTGTGAGCTCCTACATTTATTCTGCTTCTCTACCACAAAGTCTTTGCCGTGGCCTCTCTATTCTGGTCTCTTTCTGTACTCAGCCTGCCTCTTGCCAGTGTCCTGGATTCAGCCTCCTGTCTGCTCCAGAATCTTGTAGCTTTGTTCACTTTCTTGTCTTTCTCTCTCCACTGGTTCTTCATCTATCTTCCACTGTCTTATTTGTCCTTTTTTGCTGTTTAACTTGTTGAAGGATGTGGTTGAGGCCCTTGCCTGTTTTCTTTTCAATCATTGTGGTCATACAGTTTTGCAGCCTGGCTTCCACCTTCACCACACTGAAGCTCAGTTTTCAATAAGCCATTGCTGAGTTAATGTCATCCTCAAGCCTCATTTTCCTTTATTTTTTAGCAGCGTTTTGACTGTCTTAATCTTTTTTGAAGTACTTTTTTCCTTAGATTCCATAATACTGCCATTCTGGTACATTTTTTTATTCTTTTCCTGCCTCTTTACTGATACTTTTAAAACTTGGAGAATGTTGGTAACTCTCTGCTTCTCTTGCTACACTGCCTCTTTCTTGGGTTTGGTTGCTCAAGTGAGCAGCTCGTAATCAAAGTCTTTTCACTTAGCAATTTCCTGAGCTCTGTCATTTTCTCATTGAATCCTCCTCCTTTTCCCTTCAAACTTAGCATGTCAAAAAGTCAAGGCATCATGGTGACTTCAGACCTATTTCCATCTGATCTGATATGGTCATTCTTTCTGATGATGTTTACATTGTTGTCAATCAAGTTAGGTCAAAAACATTTAAATACAACATGTATAATAACGTTCACTATACCAAGGAAAGTAAAGAGACCTATTTTCTTACCCATCTCTTAACCCTGTTTTGAAGTAATCAGGGCATACATTTTTTTAAACGTTTCTTTCTTTTTTTTTTTTTTTTTTCCTTGAGACAGCGCCTCACTGTCACCCAGGCTGGAATGCAGTGGTGTGATCACGGCTCACTGCAGCCTTAAACACCTAGGCTCAAACATTCTTCCCCTCAGCCTCCTGAGTAGCTGGGACCACAGGCATTAGCCACCACACGTGGCAAATTTTTGTATTTTTTGTAGAGGCAGGGTTTCACCACGTGGCCCAGACTGGTCTCAAACTCCTGGGTTCAAGCAGTCCACCTACTTTGGCCTCCCAGAGTGCTGGGATTACAGACATGAGTCACTGCGCCTGGCTAAAAAATGTTTCTTAATAGTTCACTTTTGTTTTGTATCATAAAAGTAAGTGGTGCGTGTCAGGTTTTTTTGTTTCTAGGGTTTTTTTTTTTCTTTTTTAATCTGGAAAATTTCCAAAAGGTGGAAAGAAGAAAACCTGCCTGTAATCCTGCACACAGTCACTGGTGACATTTTAATAAGTTCATTTTGGCATTTAGAAGCTTCTAATAGAAGTAAATATTAACTTGGCAAACACTGAGCCTGCATTACACAGATGCTCTTACAGGGTTGCTACAGTGCAGATTGTCTTTTTAGTCCCATTTTCTTTTGATTTTTTTTCTCAGCAACTTGTAAAAAGTTACCTTTTTTCATCTAAACTGGTTAAATTTTACACAGATCTTTAATGTCAGGACACACTGAATACTATTTAAATAAATTTATACCTTTAACTCACTTTATTTGTTTCTGTTTTTTTAAAATTAGAGTGTATTCTTTTCTCCAAAGTAAAATAAAGTTTTTGGTCTTAAAAGATGTGATATTTTCGGCCGGGTGTGGTGACTCATGCCTGTAATCCCAGCACTTTAGGAGACCAAAGCGGGCGGATCACCTGAGGTCAGGAGTTTGAGACCAACCTGCCCAACATGGTGAAACCCCATCTCTACTAAAAATATAAAAAAATTAGCTGGGTGTGGTGGTGGGCACCTGCAATCCCAGCTACTCGGGAGGCTGAGGCAGGAGAATCACTTGAACCTGGGAGGTGGAGGTTGCAGTGAGCTGAGATCGTGCCATTGCACTCCAGCCTGGGCGACAGAGCGAGACTCTGTCTCAAAAAAAAAAAAAAGATGTGATATTTTCAAATTAGGTAGACTGAGAGTATCTGTGTCCTGCGTATGTTATTTTCATATTCTTAAACAGCCAAGAATGATTTATGAAATCTTATTTATTAGGTAAACAACGTAGATTTTACAAATATCATAAGAGAAGAAGCCGTCCTTTTCCTGCTTGACCTCCCTAAAGGAGAAGAAGTGACCATATTGGCTCAGAAGAAGAAGGATGGTGAGATGCTGTCAGAAAATGGAGGAGATAAACCTGTAGAGTTTGAGGACTTACAAAGGGATTTATTCCATTTTTAAAAAATAAGTCACTCATAGTTGAGTGATGAATGAATTTGTTAATCTCAAAGAAAGTTATGTAATTCTAAGTCATTTAGGAGCACAGAATTTCAGATGATTCTCATTAGCAGAGCATGCTAATAGGACTAACCTTTATAGTATTCTAATTTAAATAAAATGCCATCCAACCCTTTACAAGTGATAGAAAGTGTTGATTTATTAGCCATCAGAACCATACAAAAGTATATATGAGCAGCTTTCAGATTTTGTACTGATGTTTCTAAGCAATACACTCAGATGTTTATTAGCATTAATTCAAGAGAAAACTCCATTTTTTCTGTGATACAATTTTCACTTAGAGCCAGGTTTCTCAGCCTTGGCACTGTTGACATTTTGGACCAAATAATGTGGTTTTAGGGGCTGTCCTGTGTATTGTGGATGTTTAGGAGCATTCCTAGCCTCTGCTCACTAGATGAGATGCCACTAGCACACACCCCTTACCCTTTCAGTACACAGATGGGGCAGTCAAAACTGCATATTGGCAAATGTCCAATGTTGGATGGCGAGGGATAAAATTACCTTTATTTGAGAACTGCTGATTTAGATATGGAAATGTCTATAATGTTTGCAGATAAGTTAGATGATATAATAGAAAACAAGCATGTGGCTTTTGACAAGTTACTTGATGTATTTTCTGCATCAGTTTCCTCATCTGCAAAATGGAAGTACTAAGAGTTTCAATTCTTACAGTGATGAATACATGAAATAATACAGTACCTGGCACATAGTAAGAATTTGTTGGATATTATTATTGATATTATCATAGCATCTTTACATAATGTACTGTCTTTCAGATTGTTATCCCACTAAATATTGATAATGTGTTTGTTTTTATTCCTTTTAGTTTATCGTCGCATTGTAGAATCAGATGTAGGAGATTCTTTCTATATTAGAACCCATTTTGAATATGAAAAGGAATCTCCCTATGGACTTAGTTTTAACAAAGGAGAGGTGTTCCGTGTTGTGGATACCTTGTACAATGGAAAACTGGGCTCTTGGCTTGCTATTCGAATTGGTAAAAATCATAAGGAGGTAGAACGAGGCATCATCCCTAATAAGAACAGGTATGAATGCTTGGATACTTCTCATAGAGTGAATCAAGTAAATGATGATAGATCATTTCAATCCCACTGGGAAATTTTGGTAATGTAAAGAATTCTTTTTCATTGTATTCAACGTATCTATAACTGACTTAGGTTTACAAACTCCTCTTTATTATAACCATTAAGATTTAAACTGTATGTGAACTTCCATCCAGTATTGTATATTTCATTTCATTGTGGGTCTTTTTCCATTTTGCATTTTAAATGCCCTTATTTTAATTTTCTCCTTTCTTGTGTAGAGCTGAGCAGCTAGCCAGTGTACAGTATACACTTCCAAAAACAGCAGGCGGAGACCGTGCTGACTTCTGGAGATTCAGAGGTCTTCGCAGCTCCAAGAGAAATCTTCGAAAAAGCAGAGAGGATTTGTCCGCTCAGCCTGTTCAAACAAAGTTTCCAGCTTATGAAAGAGTGGTTCTTCGAGAAGGTAGTTTATTTTCTACAGACTAACCTAATACCCTTTAACGTCAATATGTTTAAGAAAGAAAAGGTATAAAATATGCTGTTTTTCATGTGAATTTCTCTCCAGCTGGATTTCTGAGGCCTGTAACCATTTTTGGACCAATAGCTGATGTTGCCAGAGAAAAGCTGGCAAGAGAAGAACCAGATATTTATCAAATTGCAAGTAAGTAGCCTCAAGGCTAACTTAAATGAGGTTGGGAGTTACACCTCTAAAGTGAGTGAGTTCTGATTCACTCATTCAATAAAAATAAGACTTTTTGTCAGTGAAAAATTAGCAGTTTATCCCATTCTTTTAATTTGGTGAGAAAACCCCAGTGACCATGTCCTTGTTCCACCAATTCTTTTAATGAGAAAAGTCACCGTTTAGGAAACTCTTGGCTTCATATGAAAATTGCATAACATACAATGTCATTGAATCCTCCCAGTCATGCTCTGAGGTAAGGAGTATAATATCCATGTTACAGTTGAGTAGCCTGAGACTTGGATGGTCATTGCGTGGATCCTTTCCAGTTTCTTCAGTCTAAACTTCCTGGTGGCCCTCAGTGAACAAGTGACAAGACTCGGCTTTGACCACAGCCCTTTCTTGCTCCATTCCAGCTCTTTTAGTCATTAAACTGACAAATACACAAATAGTTAAAAAGGGTAATAAAACATTGCTAATATTATCAGCTGTTGTTATTGCAGACATTTATAATAAGATAGTAAGTATAAGTATTGAGGCTGCAGTGCTTTGTATGCCAAATACGTTTTGCTTACAGATCCTTGTTTTATTTACTTTCTTTTTTTTTTTTCCAAGCCAAACTGTATCCAGCTTTATTAAAGATACTTTCCATAAACAATCATGGTATTTCAGGCAGGACATGGGCAGACAATCGTTAACAGTATACAACAACTTTCAAACTCCCTTCTTCAATGGACTACCAAAAATCAGAAAGCCACTATAAAACCCAATGAAGTCTTCATCTGATGCTCTGAACAGGGAAAGTTGAGAGTGAGGGTTGACATTTCACATTTAGCATGTTGTTTAACAACTTTTCACAAGCCAACCCTGACTTTCAGGAAGTGAAACGAAAATGGCAGAATTTATCTGAAGATCCACAATCTAGAAATGGAACCACTGCTCTTTTGACAGGTGCCATCTCAGTGGCATCACTGGAAAGTCCAGATTGCCTGACACACTGGTAACCAATGACTAGGGGTCAGGTCTCAACAGATGTCTGGGCTTAAGGGAGTTAAGTCTATGCTGAAACGTGGAAAGGGAGAAGAGGACATAAAAACAAATTTGTTTTTCCATAGCACAAGGCTTTTGTGCCAAGGTGGCCATGTGTGTCAAAGTCAAGGAATCCCTCCTCCTGGGAGCCAAGAGGAAGTCTCTCAAAACTGGAAGGGAAAGGTGTTTTCTCCACATCAATCCAGTTTTGGAGACATTCTATTAGTGACATATGCCCCTTCCCCCAAAAACAACAATGAAGTGTTCTGTGTGCGAACAACATAGCTTAAAAAAAAAAAAAAAAAGGTAAAACAAAATTCTGCATTTTTATAAAACTTGATAAAAGTATTTCAAACTGTACAGTCACCAGAAATACACAGTTATCAAAAATGCACACACTTCACTTGGCATCTCCAGCACCTTCAGCTTTCTGTGCCTGGTCTGTTTTGGCATCTCCATTTTCTGCAGGGTTATTCCCCTCCTTGCCAGCATCAGCTTTTCCCTTTTTCCCTTTGGGTACCTTCTCTCCCTTCTTTGCAGGGGCCTTTTTAGGCTTGGGCTCTGGCTTTGGAGGAGCAGGTTTAGCAGACAACCTCGCGGATCTTCTCTGTGGTTCGTCCTTCACCTTGGCTTTATCTCCCTTAGCATCCCCTTCAGCCTTTCTCTTGGGCATGGTGGCGGTGGCGACAGGACGTAGGTGCTGGACGTGGGATGCAGCGGCACGCGGGCTTTGGTCGGTCCGGGGGTCGTTCTCGCCTCTTCTTCACACTGCTCCTCTTTTTTTTTTTTCAGAGACAGAGTCTCACTCTTGCCCAGGCAGGAGTGCAGTGGTTAGATCATTGCTCACTGTAGTCCCAAACTCATGGGTTCAAGCAGTCCACACACCTCGGCCTTCCAAGCAGCTAGGACTACAGGCACATGCCAACACGCCTGGCTAGTTTATTATTATTATTATTATTATTATTTTTGTAGAAACAGGGTCTCACTAGGTTGTCCAGGCTGAACCTGAGCTCCTGGGCTCAAGTGATCTCTGGCCTTGGCCTCCCAAAGTGCTGGGATTACAGGTGTGAGCCACTGTACCCAGTTTTGTTTTATTTTTAAACTGTTTTTGTAATTATAAAAGTGCCATTCTGTGTTTGGAAAAGTTGGAAAGTTAATTTTTACACATATCACCACCCTAAATTTTATTCCATTGTATTTTCTTCCACTCTTTTAAGCATATTTTGGCAAAGTTTTATTTATACTGTTTAGAAAAGTTTATATCCAATTTTTCTTTTTCATAGGTAATGGCATATTTTCATTTTATCCTGCAATTTTTGGTTCAGTTAGGCTTTTTTTATATCGTTTGTTTCGAATTTATATTACTATTACAAAAGATACAGAAATCTGTCCATATTTTGTTTGCTTGTTTATGCCCTGCTTTGTTTCCCAAAGGATTTAAATCCTTAAGAATATAGCTGTTCCCATAATTATGATGAAGTTTCTGCTTTCCAGAGAGTTGTGCTGGGGATTTTGTTCCCACTGGCACTATATGACCCTCAGTAACCTTTTTTTTTTTTTTTTGAAACAGAGTCTCGCTCTGTCGCCCAGGCTGGAGTGCAGTGGCACGATCTCAGATCCAGGCTCCAAGTTTCACCTCCTGGGTTCATGCCATTCTCCTGCCTCAGCCTCCCGAGTAGCTGGGACTACAGGCACCCGCCACCACGCCCGGCTAATTTTTTTGTTTTTTTAGTAGAGACGGGGTTTCACCGTGTTAGCCAGGATGGTCTCGATCTCCTGACCTCGTGATCTGCCCACCTCGGCCTCCCAAAGTGCTGGGATTACAGGCGTGAGCCACTGCACCCAGCCGACCCTCAGTAACATCTTTAAACTGCATAGTGTTAATTTAAAGAATCAGAACATCATCTTTTTTTTTTAATATATTGCTTTTCATTTCATTGCCAATGAAGTTGAATAAGGATATTTATTTTCTGAACATCAGAAGATTTGCAGACAAATGATTTGAGTAAAATCTGAGCAAGTTAGAAAATGTTTATTTCTTAGTTTTTTCAGAAGAAGTTTTGTTTTGTTTTGTTTTCTTTTGTTTGAGACAAGGTCTTACTGTGTTGCCCAGGTTGGAGTGCACTGACGCAATCTCAGCTCACTGCAACCTCCGCCTCCTGGGTTCAAGCGATTCTCCTGTCTCAGCCTCCCCTAGTGGCTGGGATTACAGGCACCTGCCACCGCACCTGGCTAAGTTATCTGTAGATGACATTTCACCTGAAGGAAGTTGGTGGTAACCCTTACCCATAACCAAACTTAGGATTTTTAGATATGGGAAAAGCAAGTATGATGACTTACAAAGCTCTGCCTTAAAGGGTAATACATTGGTTTAATCAGGTTTACTCCACAACAGGGAATTCAGGTAGCTTAGTTTTATATCTTCTTTGAGTCTAATGACAGTCTTTTGAGTTGAGGAGTTAGTAGCATTTTTTTTCCAGCCAAAATTCCCAGTTGATCTTTCTTCTTAATTCTCCAGTGTTCACTAGATTTGAAATTCTGCCCTGCTTGCCCATGGTGCTTTGTCTTATGGTAGTCTCATTCTCCAAAATCATTTATCTTGAACCTCAGTGTGACTTGTCTTTCCAGATCTCTGCCTTTGTCTGATCTCTGAAACACCAAAGCTCTTCCTTTCCTTTCAAACTTTCCTTGTGACCAGAGTCACAAACGTTGCTGTGCTCTGAGATGGTTGGTTGGAAACCAGCCCAAGCTGCATTTGGCACAGTATACACCAGTGAAGACAGGTTGCCAGGATGAAGCCATAGGCTGTCTCACAGTTACAGATGAACAGCTTCCTGCCCCCAGGTTCCCCTTCTACTGATGTAACTAAGGTCTCTAACCCAGAACTCCCTAGGCAATCCACTATAGCACCATTACCGATGGTTGATGGACATGCCAAGGTATTGACCTCTTAAGCCAGTAGTGGCTGGTTAGAGCTTGGCAAAGGAGCAGCCCCCTCAGTTTATCTCAGTGTGCCATACAAATAATATTTTCTCTGGATGTTACAGTGTGAAAAAGGGTGGGAAGTAGTGCCCTGTTGAGCCATATTAGAGCCCCAGGCAAAAGAAAAAAATGTGCATTCCTGTATATTTTTTCTTCTTTAATGGCTAAGTTTTTTTCCAGAATATTAAAGTAGTTGAAAAAATAGTGAAAAAAAAAAAGGGAAGTATGCATATTAAAACTCACTTTAAGTACTGCATGCATAAGACAGTTTCCACAAACAAAGTACTATCCAGTCCGGCATATCAGTTGTGGCCAGTAGTTGAGAAACTCCTGTCTAACCAGTGAAAATTTGATGTCTTATTTTTGTCCTGACATAATGAATAGAGAGTGAACCACGAGACGCTGGAACTGACCAACGTAGCTCTGGCATTATTCGCCTGCATACAATAAAGCAAATCATAGATCAAGTAAGTTATTAAAACTTGACCCATTTCATTATGTTATTGTGGTTTTGAGTGGGATGGGATTTGGTTAATTTGAAAGTAGAAGGTAGTTTTTCTGAGACTATTACTGACATACTATAAGAAAATTAAGCCCTTACTGAAAAGCATTATAATGATTACTTTCAAGAGAATAGTTACTGTAGGCATCAGAAGATGATTTTTCATTACCACAAAACAAGTGTATGATTTTTAGATGTAATTAACAGACTGCTTATATATTATATCAGTACAATTCAAGTTGTAGTTTGTTATTTACATTCATAAGGAATGTCAGGAACATTAAATTCTTAAACATTTTTATTCTAACTGTACGTGGATAATACTGTCAGATTGCGGTGTTAGGGCTAAGTCTTAAAAGTGAGCTTCATAGAAAGGTTTTTAGAAATTTGGCTAGAAATGGAATTGAGTTAACTTACAATTAGTTTTTTAATATGTGCTCCTGAGACATTAGAATACAAAGAGATCTGTTACCACTGAAATATAGTACAGACTTTTGACTTTTTCTGAATGTGATGGGGTGTTTTGTTTTGTTTTGGTTTGTATTTGTTTTTGTTTTTGAGGTAGGGTCTTGCTGTGTTGCCCAGGTGGGACTGCAGTGGTGTGATCTCGGCTCACTGTAGCCTCTACCTCTCAGGTTCAAGTGATTCTTGTGCCTCAGCCACCCAAGTAGCTGGGATTACAGGCGTGCACCACCATGCCTGGCTAGTTTTTGTATTTTTAGTAGAGATAGAGTTTCTCCATACTGGCCAGGCTGGTCTGGAACTCCTGGCCTCAAGTGATTCACCCACCTCGACCTCCCAAAGTGCTAGGATTATAGGCGTAGCGTGAGCCACTGCACCCAGCTGAATTTGGTGATTCTTAATTAATGATGTCTTGTGTCTTTGTATATATTTTTCTTTCTGTTTCTAGGACAAACATGCTTTATTAGATGTAACACCAAATGCAGTTGATCGTCTTAACTATGCCCAGTGGTATCCAATTGTTGTATTTCTTAACCCTGATTCTAAGCAAGGAGTAAAAACAATGAGAATGAGGTTATGTCCAGAATCTCGGAAAAGTGCCAGGAAGTTATACGAGCGATCTCATAAACTTCGTAAAAATAATCACCATCTTTTTACAAGTGAGTATGTTAATAAAGGCCTTCTTTCAGCTTACAATGTCTGGGCAACATTAAGTAGGCCAAAATGTTACGGTGTTCAAATACTAAAACTTACATGATACTTTCTTGGAAAGCTTCCTGTTGTGTTAACACCTGCTGTTTGGTTAAAAGAAAATATACAGTAGCAAAATAGAAATTTCAAATGTTTGCATCCTCAGATACCATCTTTCAGTAATGACGATTTAGCTGTAAGCAGGGTTGAATTAATTCTGACTTTTGGCAGTGCTCTAACCATAAAACTACATCGTTAATTTATTTTCAGCTACAATTAACTTAAATTCAATGAATGATGGTTGGTATGGTGCGCTGAAAGAAGCAATTCAACAACAGCAAAACCAGCTGGTATGGGTTTCCGAGGGAAAGGTAAGACATTTCCTATTACTTTTTTGACTAGTTCAGTAAATTATGTAACTAATCAGAGATGCTTTTGAGATACCAGTGCTTTCTAATTAGATCAACATATTGGAGAAATTTGGGGAAAGTTAGCTTTTAGGTTTTTATAATTTGTGTGTAGGGGTTATGAAAGTTGTTTCTGATGGTAAGAGAATTCTTAAATTTTCTCACCTGTTGAATTACCACTGCAGTAGGATTGTCTCCTAAAGAATCTTAAATTATAATGAAGAGCAGGTTGAGTTCTGATGCTGCCCCTGTCTGGCTATGAATGATGACTTTGAGCCTGGCTTCAGTTTCCTCCTCTGAAAATGAGGGGATTTGGATGGCCTAGATGAGCATCTCCCAAAGTGCTGTCCTCAGCATGCTCAATTCAGGACTTGCTCTAAGAGAGAAGGCACTATGAAGGCAAGCAGCGGATGGGAAATAAACCCTAGACCCCTCACGAGTATCCTCGTACCCACTGGCATTTAAAGGCTCTGAGACATCTTAAAAGTTAAAAAGCCGACTTCATGCATTTCCTTGCATTTATTTTTCACTCAACACCTGTTAACATTCTCACAACATACTGGGAGATATTGAACAAAGCAATAGATCCTTCCTGGCTTTGAATTTTGGTTTTCTATACGTCCAAATGGCCAGCTTTAAAATAACTACTTTCTATTGTCAGTCTTTCTGGTTTTATAGCAATCTTTGATGGGAAGGTCTGTTTATTTTGTCTGGAGAGTTAATCATTTCCTCAGAATACACCATTGAGGGAAGCTTTTTTTTTTTAAATGTCTTTTACCTTTTTCAGATCAGTGCAGTAAGTTTTGGTTATTAGGGAAGATTGAGAGTATCTCTGGTTTTTATTTTGTTCTTTGTACTTCCTTGTTGGTTTGGTTTTTGTTGTGTTTTGCCCCCGCATGGTCCCTACCTTCCTCTGCCTGGCTGTGGCTACAGATGCTCTGACAGTGCATGCTGCATGCTTAGGACCCCCCATGTCCTCTACCCAGACATACACAGCCTCTGCAAGGAGAGCTGTTAACACTGAGAGGCAGTGTCTATTGTTCTCACCTATAGTAATGTGTCAGAACTATGGTTTTTCTCATTATGAACCAGTCTGGGGGATGGACCATGCATACGAGAGCCTAAGACCACTCTGAATAACATGTCAGCTGGAACTGGATAGGAAAATGAAGGTGGAAACAAACCACACCACTTTACATGAACACACTATTACTAATTTCTACTTTTGCAGCACTTGAAAGGATTGTAGTCTTCATACTAACCTTCTATAGCAACACAATTCTGTTAACATCCTTTGGCAGGTCCAATGTTAATAGCTTTCACTAGTGAATTCTTAAAATGAAAGTAGTCTATAAATGTTTTCCCAAAATGCACAAAGTATACATTTGTAGTATCTGAGAGGCTTTTTTAAAATCCACAAATCTTAATTTTCTATAAAGTATTTTAGTGATAGTCTTGTGTGCTTTCTTTGCTTGGTTTTAAAATAAAGGTCCAACTTTCTAGCTTTTTATGTGAGGAAAAATAGGTTATTTATTATCAGGCTAGACTGATGCATTTTGTAAGCCAGAAAAGGTTGTTACAACTTAAAGCTTATCTTCCTGTCCTCTTCTCTTCAAGTATATTTCATAGAATAGATTCTTAAACTAAAACTACTTCATTTCACATTGACTTTCCTGAACCAACTACTTTGACCTAATTGCTAGAAAGAGTTCCTTTTTACAAGATCTGACACAGTCTTACATATTCCCTGCTAAACCAGGAAAAGTCATCCTGAGGCTTTCTTAACATATTTCCTAGTTCAAAGCAACCCATCGTTCTTGCTTACATCTGCATTTCAAACCAGCTTTAAAAACTTAAGTGGATTGATTAGTTCTAAGTTATTCTTGCCCAGACTTTCAATATTTCCTTGACTGGCTACTGGATTATAGTATTCAGAACCCTGGCAA
The DNA here is from genome assembly GCF_000001405.40 of Homo sapiens. Lineage (NCBI taxonomy): Eukaryota > Metazoa > Chordata > Mammalia > Primates > Hominidae > Homo > Homo sapiens. Next base: position 2,008,527 of record NT_187660.1, on the reverse strand, counting down.
GCTAAAGATTAGAGTAGATAGCAAGAAGACTTTTCTTCTGCAACAGCTGTTACCGAGTTGAGAAGCCATTGAGACTTGTTCAGAGGGATTGTGCTCTAACAGGATAGATCCCTGGATTCCCACTCTCCCCAGCCCAGCCTGGCAGATGCTCTCTTGAAAACTGGAGCATGGGGAGACCTGACACACCCTAGTCTTTCTTATCAGGAAGGCAGTGCTCAAGGTCAGAGTCTTAACGAGCCAAGCATGGGGACTGCGTGGAAAGCTCCATTCAGGCAACTTGACTCCCAAGACCATGCTTCTGGCACAGCAGACCTGCAGAGCCACACCAAACCTGCTAGTTAATAGCAGTGCATCTTTCTGGAGGACAAGAGTTTCATGTTTGTCCTTCATTCCATACTGAAGTGGAAGAAATACTTTCTGATTCCTGGATTCCAGATCCTTCAGCTCTCATGAGTAACTGAGCACGGTGTCTAGGCAGGGTCTTCAGGGAGTGTTCTTTTTCATCCAGGTACTAGTGTCACGTTAGTGTCCAGTGATAACCTGTTGATTGCAACTCTGTAGCTTCCTTTCCCTCAAATACTTCTCACTTTCTTTCTGATCTACTCAGAAGATAATCAACATAAACTATTAGAAACTGAGTTCTTAATTACTTAACAAAAGAAAAGCATTACTGTATTTCTTCCTCTCCATCTGTTGGATACTGTTTCTATGAAAAATAATAAATAATTTCTTCTTAATGTAGCAACCACCATGTAGGTGATGATTTTCCATTGTGTTTCATAACAGCTTTAAGGGCCAAATGTTTAACAGGTTGTTTTAGTCTGCTCTTGAACTGCTGTAAAGAACTACCTGAGACCGGGTAACTTATAAAGAAAAGAGATTTAATTGGCTCACAGTTCTGTGGGCTGTACAGGCTCCTGCTTCTGGGGAGGCCTCAGGAAACTTAAGACAGTGAAGGGGAAAAAGCATGTCTTACATGGTTGGAGCAGGAGGAAGAGAGAGAAGGGGGGAGTACTACACACTTTTAAACAGACAGAGCTTGGGAGAACTCTTATCACAAAATAGTATTAGGGGGATGGTGCTAAACCATTAGAAACCGCCCTCGTGATCACCTCCTACCAGGCCCCACTCCAACACTGAGGATTATAATTCAACATGAGATGTGGGTGGGGACACAAATCCAAACCATATCATTCTGTTCCTGGTCCCTCCCAAATTTCATGTCCTTCTCACATTGCAAAATATGATGGTGCGTTCCCAACAGTGCCCCAAAGTCTTAACTCATTTCAGCATTAACTCAGAAGTTCAAAGTCTCATCTGAGACAAGGCTAGTCTCTTCTGTCTAGGAGCCTGTAAAATCAAAAACAAGTTAGTTACTTCCAAGATACAAAGGGGACATAAACATTGGGTAAATACTCCCTTTTCAAAATGGAGAAGTCTGCCAAAACAAAGGAGCTCCAATCCCCATGAAATTCCAAAAGTAAGTAGATTAGTCATTAAATCTTAAAGCTCCAAAATAATCTCCGTTGACTCCACTGCTCACACCCAGGCTACAATGATGCAAGGGGTGAGCTACCAAGGCCTTGGACAGCTCTGCCCCTGTAGCCACGCAGGGCACAGCCCCTGCAGCTCCTTTCATGGACTGGCATTGTGTGCCTGTGGCTTTTCCAGGTGCATGGTGCATGCTGTTGGTGGACCTACCTCTCTAAGGTCTGGAGGACAATGGGCCTCTTCTCACAGCTCCACTAGGCAGTGCCCCAGTGGGGACTGTCTGGTGGGGGGCTCCAACCCCACATTTCCCCTCCACACTGCCCTGGAGGTGCTCCATGAGGGCTCCGCTCCTGCAGCAGACTTCTGCCTGGACATCCAGGCATTTCCATACATCCTCTGAAATCTAGGCAGAGGCTCCCAAGCCTCAACTGTCTCCCTCTGTGCACCCGCAGACTTAGCATCATGTGGAAGCTGCCAAGGCTTAGGGCTTGCACCCTCTGAAGCAACAGCCTGAGCTGTAACTTGGCCCATTTTGGCCATGTCTGGAGCTAGAACAGCCATGATGCAGGGCACCATGTCCTGAGGCTGCACAGAGCAGCAGGGCCGGGCCTGGATCACCCACAAAACCATTTTTTCCCTCCTAGGCCTCCAGGCTTGTGATGGGAGGGGCTGCCGCATAGGCCTCCAAAATGCCCTGGAGACATTTTCCCCCATTGTTTTGTCTGTTAATATTCTGTCCCTCGTTACTTAACAAATTTCTGCAGCCAGCTTGAATTCCTCCCCAGAAAATGGGTTTTTATTTTTTACTGCATAGCCAGGCTGCAAATTTTCCAAACTTTTATGCTCTGCTTCACTTTTAAATATAAGTTCCAGTTTCAGATAATCTGTTTGTGCACACATATGAACACATGCTGTTAGAAGCAGCCAGGTCGCATCTTGAATGCTTTGCTATTCAGAAATTTCTTCCACCAGATACCCTAAATCATCTCTCTCAAGTTCAAAGTTCCACAGATCACTAGAGCAGGGGCACAGTGCCACCAGTGTCTTTGCTAAAGCATAGCAAGAATGAATGACCTTTACTCCAGTTCCCAGTAAGTTCTTCATCTCTGTCTGAGACCTCCACAGCCTGGACTTTATTGTCCATATCACTATTAGCATTTTGGTCAAAACCATTCAACAGGTCTCTAGGAAATTCCAAACTTTCCCTCATTTTTCTGTCTTCTCTTGAGCCCTCCAAACTGTTCCAACCTCTGCCCATTACCCAGTTCCAAAGCTGCTTCCACATTTTCAGGTATCTTTTTGGCAATGCCCTACTTCTCTGGTACCAATTTACTGTATTAGTCCATTCTCACACTGTGATAAAGAACCACCTGAGACTGGGTAATTTATAAAGAAAAGGTTTCATTGGCTCACAGTTCTGCAGGCTGTACAGGCTTCTGCTTCTGGGGAGGCCTCAGGCAACTTACAATCGTGGCGGAAGGGGAAGGAAGCATGTCTTATATGGCTGGAGCAGGAGGAAGAGAGTTGGGGAGGTGCTGCACACTTAAAAAAACAGATCTTGGGAGAATTCTATCACAAGACTGTGTGAGGGAGATGGTGCTAAACCATTAGAAACCACCCCCATGATCCAGTCACCTCCCACCAGGCCCCTCCCCCAACACTGGGGATTACAATTCAACATGAGATTTGGGTGGGAACACAAATCCAAACCATATCAGTTGTTTCCTAAACATAAATATATTAGCTCTTATTCAACTTTTGAACTGTTGGGTTTATTTCATAGGTATTCTTCCATGTGCTATTCTGTCAGTGTGTCCTTGTTTCTGTGAGCTTAGTTTGGTAACATTCTCCCTCTTCCCCTTGCTTAAAAGGGCTGAAGAGCTAGTGAGTAGGTTTTATAAATCTGAGCAGTGTCAGAGTTTCTTCGTTGTCTTCCAGGGCTGGGCCCTGGAGTCTAACTTTGTCCTGGCTTACCGGCCACTGTTTCCTTCATCCATGCCCTTCAGATCTCAAGGGGTGCTCCATGTGTCTGCGTGTGTGCTTGTACAATCTTCTTGACTTTTCCTTACCAGAAGTTTCAAGAAGTAGATGTGACTTCTCCAGAGAAAGATATCCTTTTCAATCTGCCTTGTACGATAAAGGCCATCTCTTAAAGAACTACTGAATAAAATTTGTAATTTACTTTTATTTGACCCAGGCGGATGGTGCTACAAGTGATGACCTTGATTTGCATGATGATCGTCTGTCCTACCTGTCAGCTCCAGGTAGTGAATACTCAATGTATAGCACGGACAGTAGACACACTTCTGACTATGAAGACACAGACACAGAAGGCGGGGCCTACACTGATCAAGAACTAGATGAAACTCTTAATGATGAGGTTGGGACTCCACCGGAGTCTGCCATTACACGGTCCTCTGAGCCTGTAAGAGAGGACTCCTCTGGAATGCATCATGAAAACCAAACATATCCTCCTTACTCACCACAAGCGCAGCCACAACCAATTCATAGAATAGACTCCCCTGGATTTAAGCCAGCCTCTCAACAGGTAAGCAGCAAGCATTCAACGTTTTGTAGATAGAGGTGCATTATTAAATTTTAGAATGTGGTGATTGAGTTAAAAATATATATGTTGTCCTTTCTCCAGATTAAGAATTAATCTTCAATTTCAATTTGAGAGTACCAAGGGCTTAATTCTAAATTTTGTGTGTTTGTCTTAACACAGCAATGTACTGGATTTTTTTTTTTTCCCAAAAAGTTTAGGACATGAGGTCATAATTTTGTTATTCAGCACACTTAAAATGTATGTCTACCAATCACTATAAATTGAAGTGGAAAGTTAGCAGTAAACAGAAACACTATATTTAAAATATTTTAAACACTTCACAGAAAGCAGAAGCTTCATCTCCAGTCCCTTACCTTTCGCCTGAAACAAACCCAGCATCATCAACCTCTGCTGTTAATCATAATGTAAATTTAACTAATGTCAGACTGGAGGAGCCCACCCCAGCTCCTTCCACCTCTTACTCACCACAAGCTGATTCTTTAAGAACACCAAGTACTGAGGCAGCTCACATAATGCTAAGAGATCAAGAACCATCATTGTCGTCGCATGTAGATCCAACAAAGGTACCTGTGCTGCGGTGTTGCACTAATTTGTTGCTGTCCATCAATCTGGCACATGATCATTTTTGCTTTGCCCTTTAAGTGTTCCTTTTGCTTTTTTACTGCAGGCTTATACACTGTAATGCTTTCAAATCAATACAAATCATTTCAGTTTCGTAGTTTGCATGGCTTCCATTGGTATACTGATTATTTGAAAACAGGCCTTTTAATTGAGATTTGTGCTTATTATTTTTATTTTTGGCTTTCAGTATCTTCCAGAATTCCTTAATATGTAATCGAAACCCATCATAAACATATTTATGTTAATACAAATTATGATGCCCATAAATCTTCTTTAGGATTTTTCAGTGTCAAAATGAAGTGTAATCAATAGTGCATTAATTTTCTACTAAATTTAATATTTATCTTTAACTCACTGTTTATTTAGTACATGCTGAAACATAAAAGCCCCTACCTGCATTATAAATTTTGAGCTTTCACTTAAACCAGCTTTTTCCACTAATCTTGTCTATCCTGATAATAAATGGTAAAACATACCATTTTCACATATTAAATCATAGTTTAATATTTAATCACAGTCTAATAAAATAGACTAGAATTAGAAACAAGACTTTGTCCTTAAATGTGAATTTTTTATACAGGTGTATAGAAAGGATCCATATCCCGAGGAAATGATGAGGCAGAACCATGTTTTGAAACAGCCAGCCGTTAGTCACCCAGGGCACAGGCCAGACAAAGAGCCTAATCTGACCTATGAACCCCAACTCCCATACGTAGAGAAACAAGCCAGCAGAGACCTCGAGCAGCCCACATACAGATACGAGTCCTCAAGCTATACGGACCAGTTTTCTCGAAACTATGAACATCGTCTGCGATACGAAGATCGCGTCCCCATGTATGAAGAACAGTGGTCATATTATGATGACAAACAGCCCTACCCATCTCGGCCACCTTTTGATAATCAGCACTCTCAAGACCTTGACTCCAGACAGCATCCCGAAGAGTCCTCAGAACGAGGGTACTTTCCACGTTTTGAAGAGCCAGCCCCTCTGTCTTACGACAGCAGACCACGTTACGAACAGGCACCTAGAGCATCCGCCCTGCGGCACGAAGAGCAGCCAGCTCCTGGGTATGACACACATGGTAGACTCAGACCGGAAGCCCAGCCCCACCCTTCAGCAGGGCCCAAGCCTGCAGAGTCCAAGCAGTATTTTGAGCAATATTCACGCAGTTACGAGCAAGTACCACCCCAAGGATTTACCTCTAGAGCAGGTCATTTTGAGCCTCTCCATGGTGCTGCAGCTGTCCCTCCGCTGATACCTTCATCTCAGCATAAGCCAGAAGCTCTGCCTTCAAACACCAAACCACTGCCTCCACCCCCAACTCAAACCGAAGAAGAGGAAGATCCAGCAATGAAGCCACAGTCTGTACTCACCAGAGTTAAGATGTTTGAAAACAAAAGATCTGCATCCTTAGAGACCAAGAAGGATGTAAATGACACTGGCAGTTTTAAGGTAAATATGTCTTTAGTGCCTTGGATGCATGGGCACACCGTTTAAAAGGCTTCTTGGCTCTCCCCTCCGCCATTACATGATATCTATTCTGTTAATTATCTGTTCCTTAGGCATATTTGTCTTTTTTTTTTTTTTTTTTTTAAACAGCCTCCAGAAGTAGCATCTAAACCTTCAGGTGCTCCCATCATTGGTCCCAAACCCACTTCTCAGAATCAATTCAGTGAACATGACAAAACTCTGTACAGGTGAGTACACTTTGTGCTCTTTGTGGCATAGAACTGACCAGGAATTTAACCCTCTTAGTCAATAAGAAAACCTTTTACTGTGTTAGTAGAGGAGAGGTGTGAATAGGAGGAGTTTGTCCTTAAATAAAAACTATCAGCTCTCCTAAACAGTGATTCTAGGGGGAAAAAAAGTAGAACTTTATTTCTGACAAATCTGACAAATCTTTATACCTTTAGCAGACTTTCGGAAAGATATTCTCCAAGCAGATGATTAAATAAACATTTTTAAGCTCTGACATTTGTATTATGTTTTTTAGTTTTAAAAGTGCTTTTCGACATGTGAACTCTTAGTTTCCAGTGGTGAGGAAACAGACTCAGATTGGTTAAGATAACTAAATCATTTAGTGAGCATGCATAAGGTGCTTGCCCTTGTGCTAAGCACATCAGCATAATGAGGTGACACTGTTGTTGTTCTGCATTGTAGAGAGAGACACTGAGGCTGAGAGGGGCTAAGTAGCTTACAAGACTTAGAGCTGGAAGAGAAACCTGGCCTGCTGCTCCTCAGCCTGAGCTTTTTCCCATGGCCTCATTGCACTGCCAATAAGTGACAGATTAGATTTGAATACAGCTCTTCTGATTTTGTTTTTTGACTGAATATATGTTTGCACTTAGGATAAAGAAGAGAACTGTCTAATATGAATTTACTTAATGACTTGCTTTCTTCCTCATCTGCTTTGTATGCCTTCTAGAACTTTAGACCATATAGAGTTATTTGTTCATATGAGAATCATTGAGATCCTGGACTGAGTTCTTAAAAATCCCTTTGAAAGTTCTTAAAGTCTATCATTTACTGTTCTTGACCTTGGTATATGTACTTCTCAAGATGTTCACTGTCTCGGTTACATTGCCCTTTGTCTTTCTGATTAACTACTTCTAACCTGCTGTTCCCTAATCATGTAATCGTTTAGCTTATTATATTGTGTTAAAGGACTCATGAGCCAGAAGGGGGCTGCCTTTTGAGTATACTCTGTGAGGACATGGGATTTGAAATATCCATTTTAACTGTTGGGACTGCTCAGATCCTCAGTAATCACAGCAGTTAGTAATTATTGACCTTTTAGTCAAGATAAGACTTACATATTCTACTTCCTTCATAACATTAATATTTAAAAAGGTGTTCCGTTTGTCATTCATTATCTGTTAGGATCCCAGAACCTCAAAAACCTCAACTGAAGCCACCTGAAGATATTGTTCGGTCCAATCATTATGACCCTGAAGAAGATGAAGAATATTATCGAAAACAGCTGTCATACTTTGACCGAAGAAGTTTTGAGAATAAGCCTCCTGCACACATTGCTGCCAGCCATCTCTCCGAGCCTGCAAAGCCAGCTCATTCTCAGAATCAATCAAATTTTTCTAGTTATTCTTCAAAGTAAGCTATTTCACCTGGCTTTTAAAAATAGGATGCAGCATATTAATCCCGTGCAGTTCAATATATTTTGAAGAAAAATAATTTAAGTGTAATATATGATTTCTGTAGGCTCTAGTGGTTCAGCATTGTACATACTTTTTAGTTCTGGGATGTGTGTTTTGTTTTTAAAGTCTGCTATTAGATGTACATAGTTTTTGCATTCACAAAGATGCTAACATCACAGGGTTTTGACGGAAGACAGTGTCAACCACAAGGACCCTCATCGATAGGTAATCATCAGTCTTCACTTCTGTACACACACCTAATGATGTCATGCTGGTTCTTTTTCTTTTCTGTTTTTATTTTTTAAATATAAATACAGATGTGAGGAGGATCCTGTTTGAGGGAAATACTGAAGAGGTTTTTTGTTTTTTGTTTTTGTAAGATTTCTGATCCAGTTTTACAGGTGAGGGAAAATGACAGGGCAGAGCTGGGACTGAACCCCAAGTTTCTTGACTCCCAGTCATCTTTTCCCTGTGCTTGCTGCTCCCCTCCGATTACTCATCCCTGGGTTTCGTGTTGGTTTGTTCTCCTTTCTTGTGCCTGCGTGGGTTTGTGTCTCCTACTGGTTCTGTGTCTCTGGTTGAACCCTGACTGATAAGAGAATTTGGTACTGATAGTTGTGTCTAAGCCCACACGGGCACACAGGTAGATTCATACCTCAATAGAACAAAACCCACAAGAACAAAAACAGATGTGGATTTGTCAAAAGAAATTCATTTACACAGTTACAGGGGCTGGCTAAGCAAGTCCTATTTCAGAGGGCAGTTGGTCAGGAAGGGAAGATTTTGAGCTACTGGGGAGTGTGAGATCAGGGAAGGCCTAAATTCTCATTCAGAGGGCTCTGCTGATTAGGCCAGGCCCTCCCAAGACCATCTCCCCTCAACTGACTTGGGGACATTACACCTGAAAAATCCCTTCATGGCAGTACCTAGCCAGATTGACATATTAGAATTCATCACACATAGTATTGTGTCTATATTAAAAGCACCTAGATTTTTCCTTACTTAGTTGCGTGGGCTTGGGATTATCTTGGGAAATGACCTATTTGTCATTTACTATTGAGTGTAAATTGTTTTAGAACATACTTTAAAACCACTAACATTAAAACCTAATTTTAATTACCACTGCTTTTTTCTAAGACATCCTTTGTAGTGAAGACTTTTTTCACTGTCCTATATTTAAGGCTTTATGTTTACAGAGGAAAGCAGTTTATGAGAATCCAAATGCAAACTGAGAGTGCTGCAGTGGGGGTTGTATTAAATGCAAAACGTGTCTTGTACTAGTGTTGTGAACCACCCCTTAGCACAACACTAGAAAGGGGTTGTGGCATCTAGATGGTGTCTGGACTGAAGTGAGCTAGCACAATATAAACCCACACAGGTGCACAGCTGGGTTCATACCTCAACAGAACAAAACCCACAAGAACAAAAACAGATGTGGATTTGTCATTAGGAATTCATTTACATTTACAGTGTTACAGGAATTCATTTACACAGTTATCACAGTAACATCTAAATGGTGACTAGCCTAAAGTGAGCTAGGCACTGAGCCATAGGAGCTCACCTTTGGTAAGGCAGAAGGGTGTACCCTTTAGTTATTATTTTTACTAAACACCGTTAAACACATTCATTCCTGTCAGAAGAAGGCTCAGGTGTTTAGTTTAAAGATATCTCTTATTTATCGTTTTACATATTTGGTAAATAGAATACAACCTTAAAAAGATTATATGGCCAGGCGCAGTGGCTCGTGCCTGTAATCCCAGCACTTTGGGAGACCAAGGCAGGCTGATCATGAGGTCAGGAGATCGAGACCATCCTGGCTAACACGATGAAACCCCATCTCTACTAAAAATACAAAAAAATCAGCGGGGCGTGGTGGCGGGCTCCTATAGTCCCAGCTACTCGGGAGACTGAGGCAGGAGAATGGCGTGAACCCGGGAGACAGAGCTTGCAGTGAGCCGAGATCGTGCCACTGGACTCCAGCTTGGGCAACAGAGTGAGACTCTGTCTCAAAAAAAAAAAAAAAAAAAAAGGCTGGGCGCAGTGGCTCACGCCTGTACTCCCAGCACTTTGGGAGGCCGAGGTGGGTGGATCATGAGGTCAGGAGATCGAGACCATCCTGGCTAATATGGTGAAACCCTGTCTCTACTAAAAATACAAAAAATTACCTGGGCATGGTGGCAGGTGCCTGTAGTCCCAGCTACTCTGGAGGCTGAGGCAGGAGAATGGCATGAACCCGGGAGGCGGAGCTTGCAATGAGCCGAGATCGCGCCACTGCACTCCAGTCTGGGCGACAGAGCCAGACTCATCTCAAAAAAAAAAAGGAGTATATTTAGGTCTAAAAAGTAAGTTGTTTTGCCAGGGAATCAATCAAAATGCATGTTTGCTTTCTGTGTTAATTTGTTTTTCTAGAAAGAAGACTTAGCTTATTTGTGATGTATAACTTTAGGGTGTAGAACATTGCCTTGCATGCAGTAGGGGCTCAGTAATTGTTGAGTGAATGAAGCTCAAAACAGGGCATGGTATACTAGGTGCATCCACCACCCTTCTTTTCATTAACACAGCTCTGGAAGGAACCTGTATTACCTGGTCATTGTTTTCACAGGGATATATTGTGAAACAGATGACATCTGTCTTTGTGAATTTACTCAGAACTCAGTTTGATTTTACTCCCTGCTGCTGTGAGAGAGAAAAGTATAGTTTGGGCTGGATACCAGTATACTTTTTTTTCCTTTGTAGTGTGAAATTGAAACTCTTTATAATTGTGCTGCATTTTCCCATATAGGTATTTAATGGTTAGAGAAATGGAAAGGAGAATAAGGGTCATGGAAGATAACTAAGAGGGTAGTTGTTTCTGTAAGTTTCCCTTGTAATGCTTTTTCATACTCTTGTCCAATGAGTACAACTTCATCAACTGGAAAATAGCTTAAAATATAGGACTCTGTCCTGCATTTCAAAACCATTTACTGTTTGTCACTAAATAAGACTGCCTTCAGGCATTTCTTTCTTTCAGTAAATACAGGAGTAGCAAAATTTTCTTCCTTCAGATGATGTGTGCTTATGCTTCACTTAAAAACACACCTCAGAAATGGTGAGAATTAGATATGGAAAATAATCTTTGTTAGCACAGGACAGATGCCCCAGGAAGCAAGCAGATATTACCCAGTCTAACAGTTCCATAGAGCTGGATTAGAACTGGAAAGGTTAGGAGACAGTAGCTTAGACATTCACCTCCAAAGTAAATCAGAAGTTTCCAGGATTCTAAAACAGTGCAAGAAGAGCAGTGTCCCTCCAGGGCTGTGCACATGTCTCAGTCCAGAGATTGAGTCAACTTCTTCAGGACAACCAGGGATTTTTTGTTATCAAATCTACCTTTCAGGACTCAACTCACTATGTGAGACTTCCAGGTCTCAATAAATGATGGTGGTTTGTAGCTTTTAAAGAACTAAATGTGAGAGACTGATGTTCAGTTGTTTTTGTGTTTGTGAGACATCATTAGATGAGAGAGAGCCTGAGCATCAAGCATGCAGCTTCACCAGTAAGACTCCACCACCACAGGGCCCAGCTTATGATTGGAGATGGAGGAGGTCTTGCTAGAAAGGAACATGTGAAGCCTGGCCAGGTTTCAAGCCAGGCATATTTCTATCTCTCCATTTACCATTCCCCTCCCAGGGGCTCAATGTAGCTCTTCTGTTGTGTTACTTTTTCCTGTGTCTTCACTTGCAGAATTTCTTTGCCCAGCCTTTTTTTTTTTTTTTTTAATGGGACATGTCACTCCCACTTATTCAGAACCTGCTAATTATCCTTGATCACCACTCTTTGATTTGATAAATTTCTTTGCTCACTATTAGCAGCTGCAACAGAGGTGGAGAAGGAGCAAAGTTCAAACACATTGCTTTTCACTGCAGTAACAGTTAAAGTACATGAAGGATGGGCCAGCAGACGGGACATAACTAAGTGATTGTGTTTTATTTATCTTCAATTTCCTTGGCCAAATGAGAGTTAGTGATATGTTCCTTTATAGACCAAATTATGGTGAAATGGTGGATGTTGGTTGATATTTTTAAATGACATTTGAGTTCCATTTGCTGCAAATTTACTTAGTTAGATTGACCATTTTCTTTCATTTTTCTATTGCGCTTGCTTTGCCATCACCTAGATTTCTTGGCTCTTACACTAGCTATGACTACTTGAAAAGGAACGTCAAGTGGTAAGACTGGCAATTAATGTGAGGCTGTTCCATAAGGTGTCCCTCACTGTGTCACTGGCATTATGTGCACTTTCAGATTTTAATGTCATCATCAAGGGCTTAGTCTAAATTCATGAAAGCAAGATAAAAAAGCCAATCATAAGACTTCTTCAATGAAAATTTATGAAAATGACCAGGAGTATTCCAAATGTATATGTTATTGTTGGTGCACATAAAGCTAGTGCAGCTTTGGCATTCAGCAGTAAGGTTTAGATGGCAATGTTGCAATTATGGGTCTTTTAAAAAGATTTGTGTGAATTTTGTGTTACATATTAACAATTGGCAATCTGAAAAAATAAACATACATGGCACAATTTGACTTAAATGAACCTTGTAAAATAAAGCAGGATCTGCTGCTCTAGCAGTCATTTAACCAAAAAATGGACCTGGTAACTCAAGGGGAAATTTTAAAGTAAAAGCTCCAGTTTTTTTAGTTTTACCGAAACGCAGATATGCCCATTGTCTGTGGCTGCTTCAAGGCTATAACCGCATAATTTGAATAGTTCTAACAAAGACTGTATGGGCCAAAAGACCACAAACATTTACTCTCTGGTGTTTCAGTGAAAAAGTTTGCCAACCCCTAGTCTGTGACATCTGTTTTTATGGTGCTCCGAGTATGCCAGATGCCAGATACAAAATCAGAAGTGGGTCTAGGGCCGGGTGCGGTGGCTCATGCCTGTAATCCCAGCACTTTTAAGAAGCAGAGGCAGGCGGCTCACTTGAGGTCAGGAGTTCAAGACCAGCCTGGACAACGTGGTGAAACGCCATCTCTACTAAAAGTACAAAAATTAGCCAGGCGTGGTGGCTGGCATCTGTAATCCCAGCTACTCGGGAGGCTGAGGCAGAAGAATCACTTGAGCCTGGGAGGCAGAGGTTGTGGTAAACTGAGATCGCGCCACTGCACTCCAGTCTGGGCGACAGAATGAGACCCTGTCTCAAAAACAAAAAAAGTGGGTCTCAGGAAAATTTGTGCCATGATATGTTTTCAGAATATTTGCAAGACTTTCTTAAATCTGTCAACGTTACTATCTTTTGTAAATAACAATTAAACTATACCCAAAATTTCACCTGCCTTTGGTTGCCATCTTCTGGATGTTTTACTAATATTCTTAAAGTTTTTGTGTGTCTGGACATTTCTTGTGCCGATGAATGGTCGAATCTGTTTTTATATTTTGGTAGAGTAGCTACCCATACTCATGAGAATAAATTGTGAAATTTCTAGTTTTTTTTTTTAACTTAGAGATACATGGAGAAATGAGAACTTGTTTTGTAAATGTGAGTCCATTTTCAGGTGTTGGCATTTTCTTCATTTGTTAACAGGGGAAAGCCTCCTGAAGCTGATGGTGTGGATAGATCATTTGGCGAGAAACGCTATGAACCCATCCAGGCCACTCCCCCTCCTCCTCCATTGCCCTCGCAGTATGCCCAGCCATCTCAGCCTGTCACCAGCGCGTCTCTCCACATACATTCTAAGGGAGCACATGGTGAAGGTAGGAAGTTCGGAAGTAGACATTTTAACACAGTAATGCTTATGAAGTAAAATTCTGGTGGTTTCTAGGCAAAATGGTTTTTACATTAAAAAATACATGCTTGAAACCTTTGGGCTGGGAACAGTAAAAACTAAGAATTTTGTTAAAAGTATGTCTCCTGTTTTTACAAGACCATTATTTTGGACAAGCCTTTTAGCTAAACAGATTTTAATCTATTTTATGCTAGTCTCTAAATCTTCTGGAAGTAGTGTTTGCCAGTATATGTAAAGATGGTTTGTAAAACCTACTATGTTTTATCTCACACACCCAAATAGAAAAGCCATAATGTTTCATATAAAATGTATCCCATACACCTTGACTTTTGCATTTACATACCAGGTAGATCACATATAGCTCCAGATTATTCATCTTAAGAGCTTTGTAACATTTTACCCTCAGCATATAACACAAAGTGGTTATCTCTTCTGCTGTGGACAGGCATTTTCCTAGCACAGACTTCTCTTATTATTCCCTTAGGAGGCACCTCCTTGGGCTTGTGAGTCTTCAAGCAGATGTGTTATAGTTCTGGATTGAGGCTATCTTTTATTAAGATTTTTTTTCACACATGCCCATGTTTACAGATAAAGACAGTTTTAATTCTTACTTTCCAGTCCTTATGCCTTTTCTCTTTTTTTTTTTCCTCTTTTTGAGACGAAGCCTTGCTCTCGCCCAGGCTACAGTGCAGTGGCGCAGTCTCAGCTCACTGCAACCTCTGCCTCTCGGGTTCAGGTGATTCTCCTGCCTCAGCCTCCTGAGTAGCTGGGACTATAGGCGCACACCACCACGCCCGGCTAATTTTTGTATTTTTTGTAGAGACAGGGTTTCATCATGTTAGCCAGGCTGGTCACGAACTCCTGACCTCAGGTGATCCGCCCACCTCGGCCTCTCAAGAGTGCTGGGATTACAGGCATGAGCCACCGCACCTAGCCTTCTTTCTTTTCTTGCTGATTGCACTGGCCAGGACCTCCAATAAACTCTGAAATGTAAGTGGTGAAATTGGACCTCTTTTGCTAGTTCCTGATTTTAAGGAGGAAGGACTTCATGTTTTATCCTTTAGAATGTTAGCTCTAGGATTTTCGTAGATGTCCTTTATCATGTTTAAGACATTCCCTATATTCAGAGTTTGCTGAAAGCAGTCAGATGTTTTTCCTGCATGTATTAAGATGACCATATGATTTTTCTTCTCGTACTGTGGAAAATTATATTACTATATTCATGAGGTATTTGGATTAATAATTCTCCTGTCTTGTAGTGTCCTTAATTATTTCACAGAGTTCAGTTGGTACTGTGTTACACTGCGGCTGGCAGTGCATAAAAAATCCTGTGGTTCCACTTTTTAACCAATGTTTGGCATCATCAGACTTTTCGGTTTTTCCATTCTAGTGGGTGTGAAATAGTATTTAATGCTTTTTGTTGGTTTTGTTTTACATTTTTCTAATTAATAGTGAGTATCCTTATTATATGATTATTGGGCATTCTAGTTTTCACAAAGACTAGTGCCAATCTTTGGAGGCCAGGAATCTTAGCAGCTGGACCCTGACTCCAGGGCAGCAGGGTATATATATTCATGGCACCACCTGTCCATGCTGCCCTCATCCCTCAGCATCACACCTAGCCTCCAGGGCTCAAGAGTCAGGCTCTGGCTGTGCGACCCACATTTGGGCCTCGACTCCAGCACCAGGACAAGTTAAGCTGGGACAGGGCTATTATAACTTTTTTCAGAAAGTTATTTAAATGCTTACGTTTGTTTTTCAGGTAATTCAGTGTCATTGGATTTTCAGAATTCCTTAGTGTCCAAACCAGACCCACCTCCATCTCAGAATAAGCCAGCAACTTTCAGACCACCAAACCGAGAAGATACTGCTCAGGCAGCTTTCTATCCCCAGAAAAGTTTTCCAGATAAAGCCCCAGTTAATGGAACTGAACAGACTCAGAAAACAGTCACTCCAGCATACAATCGATTCACACCAAAACCATATACAAGTTCTGCCCGACCATTTGAACGCAAGTTTGAAAGTCCTAAATTCAATCACAATCTTCTGCCAAGTGAAACTGCACATAAACCTGACTTGTCTTCAAAAACTCCCACTTCTCCAAAAACTCTTGTGAAATCGCACAGTTTGGCACAGCCTCCTGAGTTTGACAGTGGAGTTGAAACTTTCTCTATCCATGCAGAGAAGCCTAAATATCAAATAAATAATATCAGCACAGTGCCTAAAGCTATTCCTGTGAGGTAAGACTTATGCCTTTGCTCAAAGCATTGGCCCTGTGATTTTTCTCATGTGAGTTTGTTGTAGTTTATTTGACTTGGGACTTTAAAGTGATCTTTTTAACTCAACCTTTAAACTGAAGAGTGTTGTTGCAATGAATGCTGTTACATAGAAGGTCCTCCAGGAGGTACAAGATGTTGGTAAAATAATAAAGCTAACAGTCGTGTATGGTTGGTAGGTATTGTCATCATCCCTGTTTTACTAAGAACTGAGGTTGAGTGACAGTAAGCAGTTTGCCCAGGGTCACAGCTAGAGTGAGGTGAGCCTCAATTTAGCTGCTGGTCATCCGACCTCTGAGCCCATGCTTTTTTTTTTTTTTTTTTTTGAGACAAGAGTCTCCCTCTGTCGCCCAGGCTGGAGTGCAGTGGTGCGATCTTGGTTCACTGCAACCTCCACCCCCTGGGTTCAGGCAATTCTCCTGCCTCAGCCTCCTAAGTAGCTGGGACTACAGGTGTGTGCCACCACGCCTGGCTAAATTTTTTGTATTTTTAGTAGAGGTTTTCACCATGTTGGCCAGACTGGTTTTGAACTTCTGATCTCAAGTGATCCATCCGCCTCCACCTCCCAAAGTGTTAGGATTACAGGCGTGAGCCACTGCACCCAGCCAGGAGCCCATACTCTTAACCAGCCATGACCTTTTGTAACCTCCTGACCTACTGGTAAGGTGCATGTGGAGGACATCTAAAAACATTAAGTATCTATGTTCCTCATTCATTATTTGTTCCACAATGATGCTAAGAAGAAAAATAGAATAACCTCTGACTGTTTAAAGAGCAGCAGTTAGTGAGATGGCTGAGCAAATGAGACAAAGTGAGCCCACCTGGAGCCTCCCTGCAGCTCCTCTTTCCTGTCTTTCATTCCACGGCGATTGACCAGATGGATTCTGGCCATACATAAAAGCTCATCTCAGCCTCCTACAGCCAGTTCCATTTTCACGCCACCATAAAGCAGAAGCACTTGCAGGCAGGGAGAACCAAAGGTCAGGATGGCCACCTGAGTCTGCTTTCCAAGAGAAAGGATGGTTATGGCGGTCACTGCCTTCCTAGCTCTGCACATCCACAGATGGTCAGGGGCGGACAGAGCTGGCCTCTGCTCTGCAGCTCAGGCTGCGCTCTGCTCCCTTGATGTTGTGTCGTAGGATGTCGTCCCTGGCACTCCGGTCATGCTGGAGTGAAACGGCAGCTACCTTCATGTAATTCTGTTTCGTTGGTCTTTCTGCTCACCTTTGAGCCCTGGCTCAAAACTGTACTTTCAGGAAGTTGATAGCCTCTACTTTTGAAGCAGTCATTGATACCACATCCCCTTTGCCTTTGGCGTTCTGTGATTACTAAGTTAATCTACTGTCTCTCTTTCGTGGATGTTTGGGATATGCCCATACAAGGGTCTTCGCCTCATGGAACCTTGGAAGCCTTGCCTCCTACAGCCAGAGCGGGCGCTTGGTCCTCAGGGAATGCTGAGGCAGGACCATACTCAGGCACACTTAAAATCCTAGGGAGATTTTATCAAGTCTGAGATGCTGTCAGCCGTGAGATGCACCATTGTTTTGTGTCACTAAAAATGGAAGAACAGCCAGGCACGGTGGCTCATGCCTCTAATCCCAGCACTTTCGGAGGTTGAGGCGGGCGGATCACTGGAAGTCAGGAGTTCCATCCTGGCCAACACGGTGAAAACCCATGTCTACTAAAAATACAAAAATTAGCCGGGCATGGTGGCAGACGCCTGTAATCCTAGCTACTCAGAAGCTGAGGCAGGAAAATTGCTTGAACCTGGGAGGTGGAGGTTGCAGTGAGCCAAGATTGCACCGCTGTACTCTAGCCTGGGTGACAGCAAGACACTCCATTTCAAAAAACAACAGGAAGGGAAGAACAGGGCTACCAATTAAATTGTGACTTACCAGTTTTAAAGTTCCAATTTCATGGATTTTAAAATGTGCTTCATAAAACTCTGTACCTGTTTAGTATCCCTTGTCCAAACTTCTTGGGTTCTGAAGTGTCTCATATCTTGGGTTTTTTTGGATTTTGGAATATTGCCAAAATGCTCCAATGAGCATTTCCTTTGAGCTTCATTTTGACACTCAAAAAAAAGTTTCCGATTTTGGAGCATTTCAGATTTTCAGGTTAGGGATGCTTCACCTGTAGTTGGGTGTTCAAGGCATCAGATTTTACACTTTCAGGTTGCAATTCATTAATGAAGGTCGTTTGACTGATTGCCTTCAAAAATTGAATTTTTGACATTTCTCTAGAATTTTTGAAATTTTCTAGAATGGAATTTCTCTAGAAATAATATTCTCGCCAGGCGCGGTGGCTCACGCCTGTAACCTCAGCACTTTGGGAGACCAAGGCAGGTGGATCACGACGAGATCAGGAGTTTGAGACCAGCCCGGCCAATATGGTGAAACCCCATCTCTACTAAAAATACAAAAATTAGCCAGGCTTGGTGGCGTGCGCCTGTAGTCCCAGCTACATGGGAGGCTGAGGCAGAAAAATCACTTGAACCTGGGAGATGGAGGTTGCAGTGAACCAAGATCGTGCCACTGCACTCCAGCCTGGGCGACAGAGTGAGACTCTGTCTCAAAACCAAACAAACAAACAAAAAAGAAATAATATTCTCTGCGATAACCCTGTCAGTAAAATCTGTTGCCAGAAACTTATCTTGTTAAAGTAACTTCTTGATTATATGGAGAAATAAAAGTGAAAGCACGTAATACAGTAGTAGTAAAAGCAAAGCACCTGTGTATTATTAGGAATTCACTCACTAGCCATTTCTGAACTTTCAGTCCTTCAGCTGTGGAAGAGGATGAAGATGAAGATGGTCATACTGTGGTGGCCACAGCCCGAGGCATATTTAACAGCAATGGGGGCGTGCTGAGTTCCATAGAAACTGGTGTTAGTATAATTATCCCTCAAGGAGCCATTCCCGAAGGAGTTGAGCAGGAAATCTATTTCAAGGTCTGCCGGGACAACAGCATCCTTCCACCTTTAGATAAAGAGAAAGGTAAATGTGTTTATTTTTCTCCTTAGTTTTGATAACTTAAGAGTTGCCCTGTGTGCACTTCAGAGCTTATAGTGCTTGGCTAATAATGCAGCACCTCTCTATCTCCAGATGAGTGCTGTAGCGAGGGGTGCCCTGGGGACGGTGTTGCAAGCAAGCAGTGGGTGGCCTGAAGCAAGGCTGTGGTGACCACACTGCCTGCTTTTACTTTTGGTGTGAAATAAAAAATGATGGCATAGGACAGGCCACGGGATGTCTCACCTGCTGAGCAGCCTAGGCTGACCTAACCAAATTTGTCTTTGAATCAGTCAGCCTTTGCGTCTCTGGAGATGGGTTAGGTAACACCCACTCAGAAAGGCTTTGCTGTGCCTTCACCTGATTGGAGAACCTAAACCTCTTGACAGGTACTGTCTTATTCATCACCCCAGAACCTAGCACTAGTACATGCTCAGCAGAGTGCATGAAGGAGTCTCAGAGGAGATGACAGCATGTTTCTGAGCTTCTTAAGGAAACTTATTTTCATAATCCTCCTGGATCTACCAGGATATTATAACGAAGTGTGTTGTGATTTAGCATCTTTTAGCAGTGCTTTTACTTCCTAAACAAATTTAGTTCGCTTTTTTGTATTTTGCCGGAATACTGACATCTGATTCTGCACTCTGATTTTGGGGATATCCTGTTTTAAAAACCAGTAGGACTGACTGTGTTGGCCCTGCATGAATCTCTTTAACCACCTATGGAGCAAACAAAACATTTTGAAAATGGAAAATATATCACATTCGCAACAAGCACATTTGAATATGTTTTTTATTATAGACCCATATGATTGAATGCAGTAGCCACTGCCTGCACGTGGCTAGCTAGCACTTGAAGTGTGACAATTTGGGATTGAAAGATGCTGGAAATGTGAAATACACACCAAGTTCCAAAGATTTCATATATTGATTACATGTTGAAATAACAGTGTTTTCGTTATATTGAGTTAAAATATTAAAATATTGTAAGATTTGATATCACTTGTTTCTTTTTACTTTCTAACGTGGCTACTGGGAAATTTAAGATTCCATATGTGGCTGCTGTTACGTTTTTTTGTGGTCAGTGCGACTGTAGAGAACTAACTCCATTAGGCTTTCAAGCATATAATTAGAAGCAGGGTGAGGAAAACTGGGATTCTAGAAGAAAGACCACATCCATCCTCTCTGCCTATCCCCTTTTCCAACTCCAGGTGAAACACTGCTGAGTCCTTTGGTGATGTGTGGTCCCCATGGCCTCAAGTTCCTGAAGCCTGTGGAGCTGCGCTTACCACACTGTGCGTCCATGACTCCTGACGGTTGGTCTTTTGCTCTAAAATCATCCGACTCCTCGTCGGGTATGCTGTCTTCACTCTGTCCTTTGGGAGCTTTGGGGACTGTCGTTGATTAATACCTGGGCTGATGATGCTGCCCATGCTGTGTGTTAGCAAATCTCTATCTCTGTTCCTGTGGCCTTGTAGGCATCACCAGTGTTTTCACATTTATTTGTGGTGCATATATTGTAAATAAATATGGAAAGGTAGAAGACTTTCTGCCTTTTAAAAATTGATAATTTGGGCCGGGCGCCGTGGCTCATGCCTGTAATCGCAGCACTTTGGGAGGCTGAGGCAAGTGGATTACCTGAGGTCAGGAGTTCAAGACCAGCCTGACCAACATGGTGAAACCCCATCTCTACTAAAAATACAAAAATTAGCCAGGCGTGGTGGCACACACCTGTAATCCCAGCTACTCGGGAGGCTGAGGCAGGAGAATTGCTTGAGCCAGGGAGGCGGAGATTGCAGTGAGCCAAGATCGTGCCACTGCACTCCAGCCTGGGCAACAGAGCGAGACCGTCTCAAAAAAATTTTTTTTTGATAATTTGGCCAAATATTGACTATTTCTTGGTGTTCAGAAAAATGATTTATTCTGTCAAATTTTTCAGGATGCAGTGGGAGATATTGTCCTGCACAAATAGGCATTTTTACCTTATTAAAATGACTTTGTTCCTTTATATAACTATTTCTATTTTTGGTTACTATTGTTTAATTTATTTTTTGTTTGTTTGTTTTGATTTGGTTTTTTGAGGTGGAGTCTCGCTCTGTCGCCCAGGCTGGAATGCGGTGGCACGATCTCAGCTCACTGCAACCTTCGCCTCCCAGCTTCAAGCGATTCTCCTGCCTCAGCCTCGATTACAGGTGCCCACCACCATGCCTGGCTAATTTTTGTACTTTTAGTAGAGACGGGGTTTCACCATGTTGGCCAGGCTGGTTCGAACTCCTGACTTAAAGTGATCCACCCGCCTCGGCCTCCCAGAGTGCTGGGATTACAGGTGTGAGCCACCGTGCCTGGCCTGTTTAATTTCTTAATCTACAACGTATGTATACCAGAGAAACTTAACAAGATCTTCCATTGTGATCATACTTGGCCATGGTTTTTCAGTGTAATACTTTAAATTACTTCTTTTATACACTATTTGTAAATGACTTTTTCTCCTGAGATAATTTCAAAGCTTCCACTGCATTTTCACATTTCTCACTTCCTTGAGTGACTTAAGTCAGTTAATAATTAGAATTTTATTTTGGGTGTAGATCACTTTAAGCGAACCTGATTTAAAGTCTAGCTTCCAAATCTTTGATAAATCAGATGAGCATTATTTAGTTTTAGTTTGGTACAGTATGAAATAAAAGTTTGTGGTCTAAAGATTATAGCAAGAGCATATTTTAATGTTATCAGAGGAAAAAATTACATGTAAATACATATTTCCTCATATTTACAAGTACCCCATTTTCTGGAAAAATGAAATGCTTTTGGCTCCAGATATTGCTTAGGTAATGTCTAACGTACTGTAAGCAAAGTTCTCAGCTGGCACTGTTGACATTTTGGCCAAATGATTGTTGTAGGGCCCTCCTGTTCGTCGTGGAATATTTAGCAGCTTCCCTGGGCCTCTACCCCTAGATGCCAGTGGTAACAAGCAAAACTGTCTCCAGATGTCCCATCAGGGGCAGGGTCATTCCTGTTTGAGAGCTACTTCTGTAAGGGAAGCAAACGTCCACAGCTGTGACTCTCAGCTTGCTTGGACACCACAGAGACATATAGTCGTCCCTGCCTTCACATCTAATAGAAATCACCAAGAGCTTATTAAAAACTTAAATCCTGAGACCTAACTAACACCCAGTCAATGAGTTTTTGAAGCTGCATGATTAATTTTGTTGTCCAGCTGGAATCAGAGCTGAGCAGCTCTGGTGCAGTCTCGTTTTTTTGCTTGTTTTTTGTAAGGGGGAAGACAGTCTTCAAGAACTAGATTCTGCAGAACTGGGCTTCATTTGTTGGTTTATAGTTGAGTGTGAGAAATGTGTCCTCATTCTCAGCTCAAATAGGTGATCACATAATTATCCTCCAGACTTTCGAAACTGGAAAAAAAAAAAAAGTGCTACTGATAATTATGTGGGCTCTGGCAAACTGGGACTGTCCCAGGCATAAGATTGCCATCACTCACTTGTATTCATTTTTTGAAAAGGCCAATGCACTTGATAATGTAATAAAGGAGAAGTCTGAAAATTAAAAACAAAAAACAAAAAACTGTTCTTAATGGTGTGAGTTAGAAAGAACGTTTTAAAAAAAATTTTTTTAGAAGTGTGAAACACCTTTGGAATTGTTAGATGCCAGCAGATCTGCTTTGAAATACAGCAATGTGTTTTGATACAAATTCAATATGCTGAAGAAACAGAAGAAAATTATGTCTAAATATACGTATTTGCCCTATAATTGCAAAGCATTACGGATAGCAGTTTACTGAACTGTAAATGACATCAACTTCTTTTCTCTCATAGGTGATCCTAAAACCTGGCAAAACAAGTGTCTTCCCGGAGATCCAAATTATCTCGTTGGAGCAAACTGTGTTTCTGTCCTTATTGACCACTTTTAACTCTTGAAATATAGGAACTTAAATAATGTGAAACTGGATTAAACTTAATCTAAATGGAACCACTCTATCAAGTATTATACCTTTTTTAGAGTTGATACTACAGTTTGTTAGTATGAGGCATTTGTTTGAACTGATAAAGATGAGTGAGCATGCCCCTGAACCATGGTCGGAAAACATGCTACACACTGCATGTTTGTGATTGACGGGACTGTTGGTATTGGCTAGAGGTTCAAAGATATTTTGCTTTGTGATTTTTGTAATTTTTTTATCGTCACTGCTTAACTTCACATATTGATTTCCGTTAAAATACCAGCCAGTAAATGGGGGTGCATTTGAGGTCTGTTCTTTCCAAAGTACACTGTTTCAAACTTTACTATGGCCCTGGCCTAGCATACGTACACATTTTATTTTATTATGCATGAAGTAATATGCACACATTTTTTAAATGCACCTGGAATATATAACCAGTGTTGTGGATTTAACAGAAATGTACAGCAAGGAGATTTACAACTGGGGGAGGGTGAAGTGAAGACAATGACTTACTGTACATGAAAACACATTTTTCTTAGGGAAGGATACAAAAGCATGTGAGACTGGTTCCATGGCCTCTTCAGATCTCTAACTTCACCATATTACCACAGACATACTAACCAGCAGAAATGCCTTACCCTCATGTTCTTAATTCTTAGCTCATTCTCCTTGTGTTACTAAGTTTTTATGGCTTTTGTGCATTATCTAGATACTGTATCATGACAAAGACTGAGTACGTTGTGCATTTGGTGGTTTCAGAAATGTGTTATCACCCAGAAGAAAATAGTGGTGTGATTTGGGGATATTTTTTTCTTTTCTTTTCTTTTCTTTTTTTTTTTTTTTTGACAAGGGGCAGTGGTGGTTTTCTGTTCTTTCTGGCTATGCATTTGAAAATTTTGATGTTTTAAGGATGCTTGTACATAATGCGTGCATACCACTTTTGTTCTTGGTTTGTAAATTAACTTTTATAAACTTTACCTTTTTTATACATAAACAAGACCACGTTTCTAAAGGCTACCTTTGTATTCTCTCCTGTACCTCTTGAGCCTTGAACTTTGACCTCTGCAGCAATAAAGCAGCGTTTCTATGACACATGCAAGGTCATTTTTTTTAAGAAAAAGGATGCACAGAGTTGTTACATTTTTAAGTGCTGCATTTAAAAGATACAGTTACTCAGAATTCTCTAGTTTGATTAAATTCTTGCAAAGTATCCCTACTGTAATTTGTGATACAATGCTGTGCCCTAAAGTGTATTTTTTTACTAATAGACAATTTATTATGGCACATCAGCACGATTTCTGTTTAGATAATACACCACTACATTCTGTTAATCATTAGGTGTGACTGAATTTCTTTTGCCGTTATTAAAAATCTCAAATTTCTAAATCTCCAAAATAAAACTTTTTAAAATAAAGTGCTGGCTTGGTCTGTTTGCCCACTGTTTTCTAGTTTCATGCAGCTTTATAATCCTGTTTTAAAATCCTGCACACAAATCCCTATCACCCAGCGTCACCTACCACCTCGTCGTCTGGTGTTGCATGCAGAATTTCTCCCCTTGGCCAGCATGTACAGATGGGTGGGCAGTGCTCATCTGAAGGGCTCAGACTGAAGTGGGGCAGAAGGACCTGGAGACAGAGTGGGAGAAGGCAGCAGGCCGACTTCCCCCTGTGGGTAAACACACACCCCTGCGTGGAGAAACACCCCTGCATGGGGACACACGTGCGTTTGTGTGTGTGCGTGTAACCATTTGTATATGGTTTTATTCCCCAGATAAATAGCACGGGCATTGTTTAATGTCACCCACATTTGGGGGAAGAAAATGGGTTTAGTGAGCATAAATATTCCATTGTGGACATCCTACTTACTTAACTGCCACCCCTGTTGACATTTGGATTATTGCTATAGTGTTTCAGTAAACACCTTTGTGGACTGAATCCATCTATGTGGATTTTATTTTTTTCATCTTTGTTAAGGTATAATTTACATAGAGTAAGTTACTGTTTTTAAAATGTATAGTTCAAATTTTGACAAACACATACTGTTTATTTACCACGGTTAATACATACAACAGTTTCTTTATCTTCTCTAATCATTTGTACCCCTTTATACTCAACCCTTCTTCCAGCCCCTGGCAGGATGATCTCTTCTGTTTCTATAGTTGCCTTTTTGACAGTGTCATATAAATGGAATCATACAATATGTTGCCTTTGAGTCTGGCTTATTTCACTTAGCATGATGCATTTGAGATTCATGTATGATGTTGCAGGTTCTTTTTTATTGCCAGGTGGTATTCCATTGTGTGGCTGTACCAGAGCTTGTTTATCCATTCCCCAGTTAAGGAACTTCTGGGTTGTTTCCAGGTTTGGGAGATTATTAGTAAACTGCTATAAACATTTGCGTACAGGTTTTTGTGTAAACGTTACTTCATTTCGCTTGACTTCAGTTTGATGAAGTCTAGTTTAATCAGTTTGTTCTTTCATAGATTATGCTTTTGTCATATCTTCACTAAGATGTTCTATCCTAAGAGAAATCTTCACTTAGCCCAAAGTGTAAAGACTTCTCAAGTTTCAGAATTTTTTGTTTTATATTTATGTCTGTGATCCACTTTGAGTTAACTTTATGTGTAGTATGATATAGGTGTTGAGTTTTCTGTTTTAAATGTGTCCTTATTGTAAACACAGACACACATATATAAGGCCTAAATAAGACAGTTTTCATTTAGATAAATTAGGGAAACAATTTATTGTGAAAGGGACACAACTCAGTAAGTCTGTTTTTTGTCCCCCTACCTTTTAGTATGTGGCATGAACACCTGGTCAGGTGTAGATACCTAGAGCTCCTTCCTAAGGACATTTCTGTTGCCTAACCATCTTCCCACAGCACTGAGCATGGTGCAGTGAGTTCATTCAGATGGCCAAGCTTTAGGGTCAGAATTCTGCTTTTGCCCTTCCCCTATACTAACGTTACAATCAACAGAAGGCTTAGTGAACATCCACTAATGCTGCGTGAGTCAGTTCCTCCTCTTGACCTCTGAGCAAGTACTTAATGCAGTACACAAGGCACTGAGCAGATGGAGATGACTCAGGTGAGGAGACACAGACGTTGACACTGGGTGGCTTCCGTCTAGACAGGGAGCAGTTGGCTAGGAAGGGATGTGGCAGTAAATGCAGGAAGGCCACCTAGCAGGCAGATGGGGAGTAAGTTTTCGGTTTTCTTGACTCGCAGTTTGAAAACCATTTACTGGATGGGAAGCCAGGCTCTGTTTTCCGTCCAATTTGCAGAAAGCAAACCAGAGAGCTGTGTACACAGATGCATCCGGGCACACGTTACTGCGGCTGCCCAGCAGCCCTACATGTAGAGAGTGACCTGGCACTCTGTTTCCAGGCTGCTTAGCCGGGTTTCCCCAGATGGAGTGTGGGAAGACACATTGTTGATGTGCTGATTTTTACAGAACCACATTGTTGTCTCCTGATCAATTTGATCACAGCAAAAACTCAGTGGCATTTTTGACTCTTACCTACTCGTGCTTTCCTTTGGAACTACTTGACAGTGAAGGAGCTGTTGCCCAAGATGCAGGAATACCATTTGGTTTAGGGGAGGGGTTTTTTGTTTGTTTTTGGCAGGGGAATTCACTAGGAAGGTATATATTAAACTTGGAAGATTTCTAGTTCAAAACTAAAATGCATAAAACTTTAAATGTTTGTTTTCCATTTCCATTTTGTAGATAATTAGGGCTTTCTTTACCAGTGACCATGAAGGTGCCCCCTAGTGCTTGTTTCTCCCAGCTGATGGGTGTTCATTCAGGTTAGCCAGAAGTTGACACAAACAAGGTGCTCAGAAGAGAGGTCTGTAACCAACTACGACAAGCCTTCCACATTCTGACACTCTCCCTTCCCTCCCTTTGCACCATAGGCTGTTCTGAGGGAATTGTGTCCATAGTTGTCTAGGAAACCACGTGCCAATAAAGACAAAAATTGAGTTTTGTTGCACCAAGTTTTCTGCCTACTGGCGCAATGCCAGGCAGGGAAGATGTGTAAGGTTTTCACTTGGTGCATGAGAGAAGTGCACCTCGTGAGACGCACTAGAGCCCCCATGTGGAACGCCCTCCTCTGGCACTCACCCGCGGAAAAATAGGAAGAGGTGGGTGCACAGGTGGTGATTTTAGCGTGTTTGTACCTTGGCTTGATTGTCACCGTAAAGTTTTGAGGTAGTTTGATCTATTTGTCCACATAGCACCTCCTGGTCTTAAGTGGATTTGAAAACATGCAGGTATAAATCATTTCATACCCCCTTAAAAACAGAGAAGGAAAGAAAATGTGGAAACTGACATGTGGTCAGTATGCTGCTGCTGTTTAGTGTTGAGGGGCGTGCCAAGTATTCACCCTAGCAACTCTTCATTTCTTGTCAGTGGGGGTGTGGCAGAAACCGGCTGGAACGACGGCAGTGGGGTTCCTAGAGAGGACTTTGAGGACATGGGGTTTCCCAGAGCACTTCTGAGAATGAGTGTCTTCCATGTTGGATAAGGACAGCTTGAAGATGAGCAGGAACCAAGTGGAAAGCATGAAGGTTGAGACCCAGGGAGCAGCCCCAGTCTTGATACCTACCAAGCAGCGGTTGCCGTTGTAGTGGGAAGCTGAGGGCTTTCAGAAACATTTGAAACCGAGTGCTTTAAAGCAAAATTGAGTTTCTTTGCAGCCTGCTCTTCAGTAGAGGACACATGCACCAAACAGTCCCAGGGCTTCATTGGTTTTTTTTTCCTGGAGACGGAGTCTCGCTCTGTCACCCAGGCTGGAGGGCAGTGGGGCAATCTCGGCTCACTGCCCCACCACGCTCGGCTAATTTTTGTATTTTTAGTAGAGATGGTTTCACCATGTTGGCCAGGCTGGTCTCAAACTCCTGGCCTCAAGTGATCCGCCCACCTTGGCCTCCCAAAGTGCCTGGATTAATTACAGGCATGAGCCACTGTGTCCGGCCCATTGGTTTCTTCTTGATAGGCCCAGGGAGGAGGGTGGAAGCTTGGTCAGTAGGATCCAGTGCTGCTGCCCCTGGGGGACAGGATTTGGTTCTTATGTTTTTGAATATTTAAACTCAGTTGAAATGCTCCTACCAAGCCTTGAGGAGTTGCTCCCCAGTTTTAGCAACCATTAATGTGCCACATTTATGACAGCACAAACTGCAAATTTTCCAAGGAAGCATCTTGGACCTGAGTCCTCTTGAAACACTTTTGTGGCCTTTCCAAGGAGGACCACGGGAAACACAGGGCAGGCACCAGGAGGAAGCAGAAAGTGGATCTGCGTCCACCGTCTTGACGACTTAGTGGGATAGAGGCAAAAAGAACCCTGTGCAGGGAGGGCAGGACTAAACCGAAGGCCCTCACCTCAGTCAGGGAACCAGGAGAGCACAGCCTCCAGCCCATCACAGCCCAGCAACTTAAGTGTCCACCACCCAGGCAGGGGAAAGGTTAGTTTTTATTTTTTTTTTTAGCATATTTTCACGCTCAGTTGCAACAACACAGCATTTGCGAGAATAATACAGAGAACTTCCCTTCTGCCCTTGACCTAGACTCCCTGAGTGTTGCCAATTTTCCACCTGTGCAGTGCACTCTAGGTAGGTAGGTATGTAGTCAGCTGGGGCTACGGTAACAAAATACCACAGACTGAGTGGCTTAAACTGAGTGGCTTAGATCAGGTCCAAGATGCTTCCTTGGAAAATTTGCAGTTTGTGCTGTCATTTATTTATTTTCTCATCGTTTTGGAGGCTAGAAGGTGCCAGCATGGTCAGTTTCTATTAAGGGTTCTCTTCCTGACTTGTAAACAGCCACCATCTCTGTGTCCTCAGTGGGCTGTCCTTGATACATGCACATGGAGAGAGCAGACACGCCCTCTGGTGTCTCATGAGGATCCTAATCCTGTCAGATCAGTGCCCACCCTTAGGACCTCATTCAACCTCAGTTACTTCCTTAGAGACCCCATGTCCAAATGCATCCACAGTGGGGGTTACGAATTTTAAGGGATATAAACATTTCTGCCCATAACAATATTCTTCTGAATCATTCGAGCATAAGGTTGAAGACATGATGCATATTACCTAAGAACAAGAGTCTTCTCTTATATAACTACACTACACTTAACCTCAGAAAGCATTACAAGAATTGACTTTGGCTTCATCTATTTTCTTCTATTGGCTCTCTGTTTTTCATTGCGTGGAGTTTGCGCTAGTCTTTATTATTTCTTTCCTTCTACTTGCTCTTGCTTTGGGTTCAGTTCTTTTTCTAATTTTTGAAGGAGGAAGCTGGGTTTAGTGATTTCAGATATTTTTAAAATAGGCATTTTAAAGCTATAAATTCCCTCTAGATACTGTTTAGCTGTACTTCATAAATGTTGATATTTTTACATTTTCATTTAGTTCAAAATATTTTCTATTTTCCTTGTGATTTAACCCCTGAGTTATTTAGAAGTAATTTTTAAAATTTTCAAATATTTGGGGCTTTCCCAAATATCTTTCTGTTGTTTTTAATTAATTTTATTCTGATGTGAAAACATACTTTGTGTTATTTGAATCCTCTTCATTGAGGCCTTTTTTGTGGTCGAGTACAAGGTCTATCTGGAGAATGCTGCATGTGCTCTTGAAGAGAATGTGTATTCTGTTGTTGGGTGGGGTTTTTTATAGATAGAGGAGAAGTAAGTTGGTTGCTGCTGTTCTTCAGGTCTTCTGTATCCTTGCTTGTTTTCTGTCTAGTTATCTCAGTTACTGAGAGTGGGGTATTGAAGGCTCCAACTATTATTGCATTGCCTTTTTCTCCCTTCAATTCTGTCAGTTGGGTTTTACATATTTTGGAGCTCTGTTGTTAGAAACATGTATGTTTATATTTGCTATATCTTCCTTTTGACCATTATGAAATATCCCTCTTTGTTTCTAGCAATATTATCTGTCTTAAAGTCTATTTTAACTGATATTAGAATATCAGTTAAATTTTCTTATGGTCCCTGTTTGTATGGTATATCTTTTTTCATTCTTACTTAGTTTTAAGGTATTTGTGTCTTTTAATCTAAATGGTGTCTCTTTATACAAAACATGTAGTTGGATCTTGTTTTATTACTATCAATTTCTGCCTTTTGATTGGAGTGTTTAATCCCATTTACATTTAATCTAACTATTGTTATGGTTTAATTTCTTCCTGCCACTTCTCTATTTATTTAAAGATTATATGACTTAGGCTTTTTTGTTCTTCTTTCTCCTTTATTGCTCTCTTTATTCCTAGAGCAACCAATTCCAACAAAAAAGTAAGAATGAAGCAATAAAAAAGGAATTAAAAGCATACTAGAAAATATCTATATACAGCATATAAGAAATATAGGTATTTTCTACTATGCTGGGGTTAAATGCAGGTTATCTTCTGGTGTCATTTCTTTTCAGCCTGAAGGAATTCCTTTAGTATGTTTTATAAGACAGATCTGCTTGTATTGAATTTCTTCAATTTTTGTTTATTTTGTCTTCACTTTTGAAGGATAGTTTTGCTAGCTAAAGAATTCTTGGTTAATAAATATTTTTCCTACAGCACTTTGAATATGTCATTTTAATGTCTTCTTCACTTGAGACAGCTGTTAAACGTAGTTCTTCCCTTGTATGTGATAAGGTTGTGGGTTTTTTTTTTTTTTCTTTGCTGTTTTGAAATTTTATCTTTGTCCTTCAACTCTGTATGCATCTAGCTATAGATCTCTTTCTGTTAATCCTATTTGAAGTTTGTTGTGCTTCACTGGTGTATTTTTCATCAAATTTGGGACTTTCTTGCTATTATTTGTTCAAATATTTCTTCCCTTTTCTCTCTTTTCCTTCTGGGACTTCTATGACATGTATTTGGTATGCGTGATGAGTCCCAAATTTAGGTCTGTTTTTCAGTTTATTTTTCTTCATTTTCTTTTCTTTCTATTCTTCAATTTGGATGGGTTTTATTAATCTCCTTTCAAGTTCACTGATTCTTTCTCCTGCCAAATCAAATCTGCTATTAAACCCTAAATATTTCAGTTATTGTACTTTTCAACCCCAGAATTTCCATTTGATTTTTTTTTTTTTTACAATACCTATCTTTTTATTGATAGTCTGTATTTGATGAGTCATTGCTCTTAAAAATGGGCTGGGCGCAGTGGCTCATGCCTGTAATCCCAGGACTTTGGGAGGCTGAGGCGGGCGAATCACCTCTCACTTGTTCGAGATCAGCCTGACCAACATGGTGAAACCCTGTATCTAGTACAAATACAAAAAAATAGCCTGATGTGGTGGCATGTGCCTGTAGTCCCATCTACTCCGGAGGCTGAGGCACGAGAATCGCTTGAATCCAGGAGGCAGAGGTTGCAGTGAGCCGAGATCGTGCCACTGCACTCTAGCCTGGGTGAC
The DNA here is from genome assembly GCF_000001405.40 of Homo sapiens. Lineage (NCBI taxonomy): Eukaryota > Metazoa > Chordata > Mammalia > Primates > Hominidae > Homo > Homo sapiens. The sequence goes on along the minus strand of NT_187660.1, from coordinate 1,977,300 downwards.
AGAGTGAGACTGTGTCACTCCAAGAAAAAAAAAAAGTCACATCAAATTAAAAGAAACGGTTTCTTTTAGGTCTTTAAACATTTTATCATAGCTGCTTTGAAATCTTTGTCTACTAAATTCAAACATCTGGGCCCCATCAGACAGTGTCTATTGATAGCTTCCTCCCAGCTTCCTCCCGACTTACCACCCAAATAGGGATCACACTTTCCTGTTTCTTTGCATGTCTCATAATTTTTAAAACTGGACACTTTATGTAATATTGTAGCAACTCTGGATTCTGCTCCTTCCCCTTACCCCCAAGGGACTGTTGCTGTATTTTTGTTTTAGTGACTTCACTGAACAAATCCTGTAGAATCAGTCTCAACCTCAGTGTGCAGCCACTGATGTATCTGTTCAGTTTGGGGTTTTTATTGTTGTTGTTGTTGTTGTTATTTTCAACTCTAGCTTCCTCTAGTGGTTGCCTGTGGGTTAGCATATGTGGTCAGCCAATGATTGGTCAAATGTACTTAAACACCTTTAACCACTAAGGCTTCCACGCTTCACCAGTGGATTTGTGTGTGGTTTAGGGAATGCATTTGGAGTTGAGGCAGTGTTACAAATGTGCCCCAGCTTTCACAGTCTGTCAGGTTTCACATCTCCTCTGCACAGGCACAAGGCCTCATGTTCAGCCAGAGATATATAGTCAACCCCCAGCATCAACAGGGGATTTGTTCCAGGACCCAGAATTTGATCCCACAGATATTAAAACTCACAGATGCTCAATTTCCTTACATAAAATAGAATAGTATTTGTATATAACTTGTGCAGTCCTCTCACAGACTTTAAATCATCACTGTGTTACTTATCATACCTAATACAATGTAAATGCTATATAAATAGTTGTTACACTGTATTGTGTATTTGTATTTTCATTTTTATGGGTACTGAGGTGTATATATTTATGGAGTACATGAGATATTTTGATACAGGCATGCAATCTAATAATCACATCAGGGTAAATGGGATATCCATCACCTCAAGCATTCATTGTTTCCTCATGTTGTAAACATTCCAATTATGCTCCCTCAGTTATTCTAAAATGTACAACTAATTATTGCTGGCTATAGTCACCCTGTTGTGCTATCAAATACTAGATCTTATTCGTTGTATCTAACTATATTTTTGTACCCATTAATCTTTCCCATTTTCCATGCTCCCCCACTACCCCATGTATTATTATTTTTCATTGATTTTTGAGGCAGAGTCTCACTCTGTCACCCAGGCTGGAGTGCAGTGGCACCATCTCGGCTCACTGCAACCTCCCCATCCCAGGCTCAAGCGATTCTCCTGCCTCAGCCTCCCTAGCAGCTGGGACTACAGGCGCCTGCCATCACGCCCAGCTGATTTTTATATTTCATGTAGAAACAGGGTTTCACCATGTTGGCCAGCCTGGTTTTGAACTCCTGGGCTCAAGTGATCTGCTCATCTTGACCTCCCAAAGTGCAGAGACTACAGGTGTGAGCCACCTCCCCTGGCCATTTTTTAATATTTTCAATCCATGGTTGGTTGAATCTGCAAATGCAAGGCTGACTCAATGGATAGCGGGGACTGTGCAGTCTCTCCTGGGTATTGTGCACAGCCCTGCACATGCACCTGGTCTTCCAGACTGCCATGGACATGTGGGCACTTATCAAGGCCCACTATGGTTCTCATTCTCCAAATCTCCCAGATTTCTGGCTAGTCTACTGGTCCGATGTTTGCCCAGCTCAGATTACCACATCAGGCTAGCTACAATATTGACCTTTCCCAAGATTGCCACTATTCCTGCTTCAAATCCAGCCAGCCCCACAGGGCAGTAAAGCTGCTGGGCTCCATGGCATGCCCTGCCTAGCAGATTTACACAACTGAGGTGGGAAGTGGGGCTATGAGAAGCCCAGGCAAAAATGCCATTTCTCATGCAGGGGTTTTTTCCTTAAGTAAACATGTCTCAACATGCTGTCTGCTTTTGGCTGTTTTCCAGTCCTGGAATGATGGTTTTGACCATTTTATCCAGTTTTGCTGTTACCTTTTAGGGAGAGGATTTGCCAAACTCCTTACTCTGCCGTTCCAACTCCAGCCTTAGGAGATGTAACATGCATGCATGCATCTGGTCTCCTACCCATATTCCAGTTAGTCATTTGACCCACTGACACCCTGTAGAGCACTTCCCCTCAGTGAGACCCAGCGCAGGGCCCATGTTGCCTGCACATGCCACATGTCTTCAGTCTCCTTCACCTGAGCCAATTTCTCAGGCCAGGCGGGGTTTCAACAGTGGTGAATTCAATTACTCTAGGAGCAATAGGTTATTAAGACTCGTTTGATGTACATTTTGCATATGGTCCAATTCAGAAACACTTCAGGAGCACCTGCTATCCTCCAGACAACGTGGTGACAGGACCCTGACCTACCTAGGGAAGGACAAGTTCCAATGGTCTGCACAGTCAGCACACAGTACGACCCTCAGCAGGGAATGTGGGGTCTTTCCAGGCTGTGGGTGCCAGGGGCTGCAAACCACAGGAAGAGGTAGGGCCAAATGTCCTGGGGAAGCACCTTTCTCTAACTTCCTTCAGAAAGGCAGGTTCCTATGGGGTTCAGTTCTTGGGATACCAGCTTGAGATCTCAGTCCAGTGTCAGGGTCCATTTAAAAATGAGAAACTTCTGGGAGGCCAAGGCAGGAGGATTGCTTGAGCCCAGGGGTTCAAGACCAGCTTGCACAACATAGACCCTGTCTCAAAAAAAAAAAAAATTTTTTTTTAGATGAAGTTTCGATCTTGTTGCCCAGGCTGAAGTGCAATGGCACCATCTCGGTTCACTGCAACCTCTGCCTCCAAGGTTCAAGCGATTCTCCTGCCTCAGCCTCCCAAGTAGCTGGGATTACAGGCACCCACCACCACGCCCAGCTAATTTTTTAAATATTTTTAGTAGAGGCGAGGTTTCACCATGTTGGCCAGGCTGCTTTTGAACTCCTGACCTCAAGTGATCCAACTGCCTCAGCCTCCCAAAGCGCTAGGATTACAGGTGTGAGCCACCATGCCTGGCTCTCCCCCAAAAAATTTTTAATTAGCCAGGTGTGGTGGCACATACCCGTAGTCCCAGCTACTCAGGAGGCTGAGGCAGGATGATTGATTGAGCCCAGCAGGTCGAGGCTGTAGTGAGCCGTGATCGTGCCACTGCACTCCAGCCTGGGCAACAGAGTGAGACCCTGTCTCAAAAAATAAATAAATAAAGACGAGAAACTGAGACACAGAGAGTCCCATTGGCTGACACACACACAGAGGTGGGCAGAGCCAGGGCAGGCACCAGGATCCCCTGACTGCCAGTACTCTTCTCAAGATGCCAATCAGGGCAACAGCTCCAGAAGCACAAAAGGGACACCACACGTGTGCTTCATGTCATAACCAGGCAGGATTCCTTAGGGAACACTGAGGCAGGGCAAGACTTAAAACACAACTTCCCAGTCCCAGGGTAGGCCCCAGGTGGAGCTGGCAGGGGGACGCGGTCTCACAGTGGGAGCAGGACCCATCAGTGTCCACCCAAGTGAAAACTCTCTGTCTCTGTGGCCATGGGCTGGGGCCATGAGCCCTGAAGGGCCTGGTCTTCCCCTGGTCATGTACCCCTCTGGCCCTTGCTGTGGGTGATGTGTTCTACAGCCTTACCAGCCTCAGTTTCCCCAAGCATACACTGGGAGGCCATGAAGGAAAAATAGGTGGAAATACTCCAAGGCCTCCCGGGGTACTTGAGTACCCCAGTAGATGCAAGGACAGATCACCATGAGGGTGGCAGGGAGCCAGGGAACCTGGAGCCCAGGAGTGCCCTAGGCTCCTCCGTCCCCACTCCAGGGTGCACTTGAGGAGGGAACTCTGCAGCTGGGCAGGCAGCCTGTGCCCGCACTCCCACCTTCTAGAAAGACAGGCTCCTGGCAGCACAGGGCTGGGCTGGCATGGCGGATCCATTCCCTGACTCCTTACGGAGCGCCGGGCTCACTCAGGAGCAGGAGGTATCCACACACCACCTCTCACAGGACAGGGCCATGACCAACCCAGAGAGGGAGGGCTCCAGCGCGTGCACACCCAAGCCTCGGAGGAAAGTGGAGCAGGACAATACGGTGCTGGACCACCGGGCTCACGCCCTCCCTTCCCCCTCCCCTCATCCACGCATGCTCCAGCACAGTCACTCCTCTCTCCCCAGTGTCCCCATCGTAGACCTGCAGAGACCACGATGATGGCGTCTACTTCATGGAGCAGCCGCGTGGCATGGATGCTCTGTCACAGGTCAAGTGTTTAGAACAGACCTACTCTCGGGAGGTGCTGTTAACCATCTGTCATCCCTGTGTCAGTGGCTTTGTTATCTCAGGAACCAATTCCCAGCAGAGTCACTAAAAATGCTATCTGCAGAATCAGAGTCATGCCAGCCTGGCCTGTCCCCGAGCCGGTGCTGGGCCCTGGCGTGAGTGAGGCCCTTCGGAGTCACATGGCGTTGAAGCACAGCAAACCCAAGCCAGAGGCCCCGTCCCAACAAACAGGCAGCCAGGCCCGGAGAGTGTCTGTAGCTGCCTCTTGCAAGAAGTGAGGCCACAAGCTTCAGCGATTTTCTTCAAAAGGAAGTTTGAGGCCAGGAGCTGAGAGCAGCAGAGCCAGGCACATGTCAATGATCAAAGCCAGGAACGTGGCATGCAGGTTGATGCAGCCGAGTGGCCATTGCTTTGAAAAGTTAGACCAAGCCACCTCCTCTGCAGGAGCAGCCCCCGCGTGGCTTCAGCTCCTCTTTTCCACGTGTGCGCCTGCTTCAGGCCAACTTCTCGGTCCTCTTGGTTGGAATTTGGAGGAGCAATGCAACTCCATTTAGTGTGAGGCCAGGAGAGGTCAATGGGGTCCCGCGGCCAGGCTCAGCCTCACCAAAGGCAGGTGATTGCTATGGCAGGGTGGGGCTCTTTCACGTGCTTCAATAAATTCTCCAACAGTTGCCAGCCAGTAGCGACACCGCGTGGCAGGGCGTGCCTTCCTCCCAAGGCACACCTACCTGCCAGGCTGCGAGGGGACAGGACTCACCCATAGGTGCAGCGTGGCTCCCTCCCAACAGGGAAGCCCCAGCCCATGCTCGCAGATACCCAAGGGCCTCGGGCACTGCGTGGCAGCGCGCCCCTTCCTCCCAGGAAGTCCCAGCCGGACATCTCTCCTCGCCTCTGGCCCTTAGTGGGGCCAGGTGACCCATGCCACCCCCTCACTGTGCCCCATTCCCAGGGCTGGCCCTGAGAAAGCCTCCCACGCTGTCCTCCCTGCTTTTCTTTCCCCAACAACAGCCCCACCTGACAGCAGGAAAGGAAGAGACAGGAAGTGTTGGGTTTGGCTCTGGTGCGAGCACACTGACCCCACACTTGAGCTCCCGCCCCCAACACTGCTCTGGGGTACTGCTAAGCACACTGGCCTGGCCCATGCCTCCTTCCAAGGAGTGTTAGCCAACCAAGAAAAACGCCCCCGCCTGCAGACCACACCAGCAGGTTCTGCTCGGGCAACATGAACCCTGGGCTGGGGTTTGCTCAGGGCTGGCTGTCAGTTTCTGGTGACCTTTGGGCACATAGAAACTCTCACCTGGGGAAAGCAGCAGATCCGTGCCAGGGGCTCACCCTGCCATGAGCCACACCTGCCTGCCAGGCTGCCAGGAGACAAAACTCACCCACAGGTGCAGGGTGGCTCCCTCCCGACAAGGAAGCCCCAGCCCACACTGGCAGCTGCCCAAGGGCCTGGGGCGCTCGTGTGCACAGGCCACTAAAGTCACCCAATGCCAGCCAGCCTTGGTGAAAATTACCATTTGCTCAACTGAGATACTGGGTCCATGACTCCAAGGGGAGCTCGTTCTGGTTGCTCTGGGTATAGAGACTCTGAACTGTCCTGCCACGTAAAGAGAACAGTCTCGTTTCTCACACTCTGCGAAAAGACAGGTACGTGGCCCGCTCGCTGCCTTCTCCAGCCTTTGCACAAAGAACTTACAGCTTTTGAGTACAACCCACAGCTTACAGGGTCTTAGAAGCAAAATTCGTGTTTGGAGCAATTGTCAGACTGCAGCTTGGCAACACACTTCCTATGTGCCTTTGCTACTATTTGAACAACTGCTATCAGCTGGAAGGGTTATTCCCTCCTGCCGTTAGGGCATTGCTTTCCCTGGATCTAGAACAAGACTGACCAGATGTGTCTGGAGTTGGTTGCTGCCATTGGGTTCTTCGTTTCGCTGACCAAAAATGAAGCCGTGGACCTTCCCGGTGAGTATTACAGCTCTTAAAGGTGGCACAGACCCAAACAGGGACCAGTAGAAAGATTTATTGTGAAGAGCAAAAAAATAAGCTTCCAAAGTATAGAAAAGAACCCTACAGGTTGCTGCTGCTGGCTGGCTAAGTGCTGAAGACCGGGCCAGCTTTTATTCCCTTATTTGTCCCCTCCCATGTTCTGTTTCTGTCCTATCAGAGTGCCCTTTTTTCAATCCTCCCTGCGATTGGCTACTTTTGGGATCCTGCTGATTGGTGCATTTTACAGAGCACTGATTGCTGCATTTTACAGAGTGCTGATTGGTGCATTTTACAGAGCACTGATTGGTGCATTTTGTAATCCTCTTGCTAGCTACAGAGAGGTGATTGGTGTGTTTTACAATCCTAGCTACAGAGTGCTGATTGGTGAGTCTTACAATCCTCTTATAAGACAGAAAAGTTCTCCAAGTCCCCACTCGACCCAGGAAGTCCAGCTGGCTTCACGTCTCACAGGGGCGTCAGGCCCAGAGAGGTCATTTTGGAATGACCAAAGGGTATCATTGGTGGCCCCTTTAAGAAAATATTCTGTTTCCAGAAGGCCCTAGAAACTTCCCTTCCCATGCATAGTCAACTAAATTGGCAAGAATTCTGCCTACTTGGTTGATACTCTCTTGGATGATGACTCTTATTTGCAGGGGTGCTCTCTCCCCACCTTCCTGCTTTCTCTGTCTTATTTAATGTCCAGGAACAAAAAGGGTGGAAAAATTAAGAGGTGGCCTCAGTCCTGTCCACCCTGGGCGAGGTGGTCAGATCCTGCTGGCGACTGCAGCTGTTTCTCTCAGGTGACTGGGGGGGCTTCCCGCAGGACCACTTCAGCCTCCTAGATGAGACTTTCTGCAAACATTATAATTCTTGTCAAAGTACTGCAATTTGAATTTCATGGCAGTTCTACATTTTATGCTAAAATGACTCATTTCCCCGTTGCAGGAGGATGATGAATACCCTACAGATGGCAGCTGCTCCTGTTCTCAGGAGCCTGGTCATTAGGAAGAAAAGGATAAAAACCCCAAACCTGTTATCTACTGAGCAATTCTGAGCTGCTCTGGAAATTTGAAAGGCACTGGGAAGAAAAGTGTCACCAGTTCTGCTGGGACGGGGCCAGGGTGTGGGTGGGGGATTCGGGCAGGGCTGGCTGCTCGCTCGCCCCCTCCCTCCCTGGAGGGCCCACTCTGCACTCCTGCCCTTCTTCCAACTTTTCCTCCTTCTTATTATCTTCGGATCTTCCTTCTGTTCCTCTACAGCTGAGCCTTCCTGAGGAGGTAAAGGAGTGTCCCTGGTGCTTGGGCAAATGGAACCGGTTCAGCCCATGCTGTCACCACGTGCAGGGCCCTCTCTCAGTGTGACTGGTGTGACAGGAGGAAGAAGGGCAGTGAGCCGTGGCCCAGCTATTGCAGGTGAGAGGGAAGCCAGCCGTGTGCCTTGGTACACGGTCACCACCAACCCTAAGGCCGCAGCCTACCCCAGACCCACCACCTCGCCATAAGTCAGCTGCCCGCTCCCGCCGGCCCATTCACCGCCCTTGTCCACAGGGGCCAGCGGCTCCCACGGGTTTCTGCTCCACATCAATAGAAACAGTCATTCAAGCTGGAGCTGGAGGCCCCCAACAGCTCTTGTTGTCTTGTTGTTGTCCACACATCACAACTCTCTTCTCTACTCAGGGACAGCCAGAGCAGCTTCCTGCAGTGCAAGCCCTGCCTGACGCCCTTCTGCCTTTCTCATCGGGTCTCAGCTCGTCCTGGCCACACCCGTCCAGGCCTTTTCTGCAGGAAAGGAACTTTTGCTCAACCATCCATTTTGAAAGTGGAGACTCTATCTCCATTCTAACGCTCCTTTTCTTTTAGACTTTTAAACACATTTTTTTTTTTTAATAGAGACAGAGTCTCGCTCTGTTGCCCAGGCTGGAGTGCAACAGTGCGATCTTGGCTCACTGCCAACCCCCCGCCTCCCGGATTCAAGTGATTCTCTTGTCTCAGCCTCCCAAGTAGCTGGGACTACAGGCATGTGCCACCACATCCGGCTAATTTTTTTTTTTTTTTTTGTATTTTTAGTAGAGACGGAGTTTCACCATGTTGGCCAGGCTGTTGTCGAACTCCTGACCTCAGGTGATTCGGCCTCCCAGAGTGCTGGGATTACAGGCGTCAGCCACCGCGCCTGGCCTAAACACAATTTTACTGTGAAAACAAAACTGGAAACTGGATGGTGTAATGATCTTCTACATACAATCGTCCCGCAGTATTTGTAGGGGATTGGCTCCGGGACCCCCAAAGATAACAAAATCTGAAAAGACTCAAATCCTTGATAAAATGGTACAGTATTTGCATGTAACCTCCACGCACCATCCTATATACTTTAAATCATTTCTAGTTTTCTTGTAATATCTAATACCATGTAAATGCTATGAAATAGTTGTTATATTGGTTTTTATTTGCATTATTTTTTATTATTGTATTTAAAAATTTTTTTTCCAGAGTATTTTCAATCTGCAGTTGGTTGAATGGGCAGATAGATACAGAACCCGTGGGTAATGAAGGCCAAATGTACTATCTTGATTCAATAATTGCTATGCTAACATTTCTCCACATTTGATTTAATTTCAACACACACACACTCTAAATATGTTTGTTGCTCTACCATTTGAGATTAAGTTGCAGACATTGTAGTAAAGTTGGCATTGCAGATTGGCAGAGGAAAGATGGGCTCTTTAGTGAATTATATTGGGACAGCTGTCCCGCCTCTTCAGGGAAAAATAAATTGTAGCCCTATTGAACTCTTTGACCAAAATTAATTCTGGATGAAACAAAAATTTAAATCTGAAAAGTGAAATAATAAAAATGCTAGAGGAGAGTATAGGTGACTATTTTTATAATCCTGAAACAAGAAAAGCCTTTCTAAACATGCCACAAAATCACAAGTCATGAAAAAAAAAACAGATAAATATGACAATAAAAATAAATACACATAGGCCAGGTGCAGTGGCTCATGCCTGTAATCTCAGCACATTGGTAAGCTGAGGTGAGCAGATTGCTTGAGTCTAGAAGTTGGAGACCAGCCTGGGCAACATGGCAAGACCCTGTCTCTACAAAAAATTTTTTAAAAAGTAGGCACGGCAGTGCACGCCTGTGGTTCCATCCACTCAGGAGGCTGAGGTGGAAGGATCGCTTGAGCCAGGGAGGTGGATGCTGGAGTGACCCAAGATCATGCCACTGTACTCCAGCCTGGGTGACAGAGCAAGACCCTGTCGCAAAAAATACATACATATATACACCCATACATATATATGGGTAAGTAAAGTGTAAACTGTGCCTCTTTACTGACTTTAAACAAAAAGCAATAGTCATGTTTCACTTAACAACAGGGACACAGTCGAAGAAATGCGTTGTTAGATGATTTCATTGTTATGAGAACATCACAGAGGGCACTTACACAAGCCTAGATGGTCCAGCCTCCGACACACCTAGGCTATATGGTGTAGCCTGCAGCTCCTAGGCTACATACGTGTACAGCATGGCACTGTGCTGGATACAGTAGGCAGCTGTAACACAGCCATGAGTATTTGTGCATGTAAACATAGAAAAGGTACAGTAAAAATGTGATATTATAATTTTATGGGACCACTGTTATATACGATCTGTTGTTGACCAAAATGTGGTTATGTGGTTCATGACTATACTTATGGATAGCACATCAAGTCAATGGGGAGAATATTTTGTCACGCATTAATAGTAAAAGTAGTTCTCTTAAGATACAAAGAGCTCTTGCAGATCAGTTTTTAGAAGATGACAAATCTAAGGTCAGAGCTCAGTAACTGACAGTTCCTGGAAGAACAATGGCCAATAAGCATAAAGACATACTCAACTTCACCACCACCGAAGAAATGTCTGGAAGACAGCGAGTCATCAGTTCCCTTCATGGATTGTCTCAGATTGGCCAAGACTAAAATGAGGGATAATCCCTGGGGCTGGGCAGGTGTTAAGAAGCACATTCTCATCTGCCACTGGAAGAGAGTAAAGTGGTTCTGCCCTCTTACAGACAATTGAGAAAAAAAAAATTGAAAATAAAACTTTGAAAGCCTTTAGACCCAGCTCAGCAATCCTGCTGCTGAAGATTTATCTCACAGAAAAAAAAAAAATGCAAGCAAGCGTGTGAGTTGCGGCCTACAGGGATGTTTGCTGCAGCACTGGGGGGAAACCTGGAAATGGCGCCCTATTCACTGGATGCAGGTGGCAGGTGAGCTCTCACAGTGGGGCTTAGCCCCTGAGGGTTCTTGGCTTCACCCAGGAAAGAATGCAAGGGCCAGCTGGTGGCATTATGCAGCCACTTTTCCTGAACTGGGCCAGGGCTGACTCCTCAGCAGTGCACCCGGAGTCAGCAGCATATGGGCTGAGGCAGCTGCACTCACAGCCACTTATACTGACTTCTAATGACATGCACATTAGGGGCAGGTTATTTGGAAATCTCTAAGGAAAAGGCAGCAACTTCCACAGCATTTGTAAACTGTCATGGTGCTGATGGGAGTGTCTTGTGCTAATGGACAATGAGGGCAAGGAGAGGTTGCTTTTAGGGCCATGTGCTAGTTCCCACGGGTTTCCTCCTTCATCCCGTGGGGACCAGGAAATAAGTCCTGCAGGCCTCTGACCTCAAACTAAGATGGGAATAACGCACAAAGGGTGGAAAACCCCAGCCTGGCCATGACGTGTGGTCACAAAGCACAAAGCAGAGGCACACAGTGACTCCTGCAGCTCAGCATGGGACCTGGGGCTCAGAGACGGAACCTAGGGGCTGGGTCCCTGCTGTGCGTTCTGACTCCACGGCACCCTCTCTCACTGTGACCTCGTATGGGCCGCTTTGCCTCTGTGTGTTCACATTCTCATCTTGATGAAGGGAGCACAAGTATCCAGCTTGCCATGGGCTGAAGTGTACCCCCCAAATTCATATGTTGAAGCCCCAATCCCTAACAGGATGGTACTGAAACCTGCCCTAGGATTAGACAGGATTTGTTAACCAGCAAAATTTCTTGAGCTCATTTTGCAGGACAGTGGAGAAGACGACAATTTGCTACAATCCCCTCTATTTGCAACTAAGTGGGCTGCCAGGAGGGACCAGTTGGAGCCAACATGGCTGACTAGAGTCTGCAGAGTGCACTGACTCACCCACGAGCCACCTTTTGATGTCAGAGGGCCCAAAACCCCACTTCCAGGTCATGCTAATGCCAACATTGTTTTTAAACATGCAACCCATGAAGCAGCAGGTAGGGCGACAGTGAGTGACCGAGGGACTCAACAAAGCCCCTTCCTTCCAGCCAATCTTCGTCCCGCCCCGAAACCCCACCCTCAAAATCTCTCTCTTACATCTATGGTGGCAAGGCCAGTGGGAAGACAGATAGGAACATTTCCTCCGGTCTCCATGTCACTCAACTGGCAATAAAGCCTTCCTATTGCAAAAACTTGGTGCTTCGGTGTTTGGCTTCCGTTCCTTGAGGGCAAGTGGACCCAGTTTGGTTGGGTGACAGAAGGGGCCCCCAGTCCCTGGGCCACGGACCAGTACCTGTCCATGGACTGTTAGTAACTGGGCCGCACAGCAGGAGGGGAGCAGCAGGTGGGTGGGTGAGCATGACCGCCTGAGCTCTGCCTCCTGTCAGATCAGCAGTGGCATTAGTTCTCATAGCAGCGCACTCTATTGTGAACTGCGCATGTGAGGAATCTGGGTTGCACACTCCTTATGAGAATCTAACTAATGCCTGATGACCTGAAGTGGAGCTGAGGCGGCGATGCTAGCACTTGGGAGTGGCTGCAAATACAGATGAACATTAGCAGAGAGGTTTGACAGCACAGAGACCATCATAAATCAATTGCTTGCAGAGTCATATCAAAACCCTATCTGTGAGTGGCAAGTGACAAGCTGCATGCAGTGGCAGGCTTTATTGAGGCAAGTGAGCTGATGGACTTCAATTGTACAGCTGCATCTGGTGGCCTTCAAAGTATGTTTGCGACAACTTCAAATCTCCATACGTTCTGGATTACAGCCAAGGCAGAATCTCCTGTGATTGTTCCCAAAGCACTGAAAAGCCCACTTCCATTTCCAATATCCTGTGTTTGTGAAGCAGAGTTTTCTGCAATGACATCGACCAAAACGAGATTACAGAGCAGACTGGACATTAGCAACACACTTCGGGTGTCATCGTCTTCCATCACCACCAGATGGGACCGTCTAGTTGCAGGAAAACAAGTTCAGGGCTCCCACTGATTCTACATTATGGTGAGCTGTATAATTATTTCATTATACGTTAGAGTGTAATAATAATAAAGTGCACAATAAATGTAATGCGCTTGAATCATCCCGAAACCATCCCTGCAACCCAGTCCATGGAAAAATTGTCTTCCACAAAACCAGTTCCTGGTGCCAAAAAAGGTTGGGGACTGCTGAGTGATAGTACCAGGAGGCGGGGCCTTTGGGAAGTGATCAGGCTTCATAAGGCGATGAGGGTCTGGCCCATGATGGGATTGGCGCTCTTAGAGTGACAGCAGAGAGTTTGTTCTCTCCCTCTCCCTCCCTTTCCCCTCTCCGCTCCTCCTGGTCCCCACAGAGGGACTAACCATGTTCCCAACTACCCCATGAAGAGCTTTTTCTTCAACAAAACCTGCCACTTTGAAGTTGTCTCAAGAAATTCTCTCCAAAGCAAGCCTGTCATCCAGCTCTAGATTCCAGGCTTTGAGGAATCCAAAGATAGCAGAGGTTTCCCTTATTAAAAGAAAAGCCCCTGGTCCTGGTGCCTGATAGCCCAGCCTCTGATGGATGAGATTCATCTTCACTTATCTGTCTGTAGTTGCTTAAATGACATTGATCCATATAAAAGGACAATGTACAAACTCACCATTTTCAGGAGTAAGGAAAGTATTTTCCTTCTCTTTGGGTTAAAAAAACAAACAAAACAGTAAATCCTGTGCACCCACCCACCCACCCCCCGCCCCCCAAAAAAACTATGACTTCATTGTTGAGAGGAGAAAAATGTATTTCTTTATATTTAAAAATAATGTTTTGGATATTTAAAAACAATGTTTTGCTTTGTTTACCACATCGAGCCAGCACCCCAATGCACTGGCTAAAGCTGACTTTCTTTTAGTCTCAAAGGAGAAATTCTTATTCCTGATTTCCTTCTGAACGACAGAGTTTTAAAGTTTTTTTCTTACACCACGATTGGGCTTGTAGATTTCTTTATCTGTGAAACGATTTTCATCCCAACCATTTGGACTACACCCATAAGCGGAAGAAAAAAGCCTTGAGTTGAGAGGGAAACGTCACAGAGCTCACGACCGACTTCACAGTGGAACAGACACGATCACTGATGGCACCGCCAGTGGAAAAAAACTTCGTCCATTTCAGAAATCCTTTTTTTTTTTTGAGACGGAGTCTTGCTCTGTCGCCATGGCTGGAGTACAGTGGTATGATCTTGACTCACTGCAACCTCTGCCTCCTAGGTTCAAGCAATTCTCCTGCCTCAGCCTCCCAAGTAAGTTGGGATTACACGTGCCCGCCACCACTCCTGGATGATTTTTGTATTTTTAGTGGAGACACGGTTTCACCATGTTGGCCAGGCTGGTCTCCAACTCCTGACCTCAGGTGATCCGCCTGCCTTGGCCTCCCAAAGTGCTGGGATTACAGGCATGAGCCAGCGTGCCCGGCCTCACTTTTCTCTTTTTAAGTGACCATTTCTTAGTTGACAATTTGGAGCTTGAGAATGCAGGGACAGCACAGGTAATATCTGACAGCCTCAAGAGTGGCAGGAGGCCATGACAACCCCCTCACCTGGTGCCTGCACAGAAGCAGGGAAGTGTGAGCTACATGTAGAGGGAGGATCATAAAAACAGGCCCAAGAACAAAGGGCTCAGAGCTCTGCTGACCTTATAGGATTCCCGTTTCTGTGTTTCCTGTGCAGTGCCCTTCACATGGCCTGCTTGAGACCTTCCATCAGCCCAGTCTGAGGTCCCTTAGGGGACGGTGTAGACCCCAGGAGGGAAGGGCTGGCTCTTCTCTAGGATGTCAGGAGGACCAGAGCTGCTGGGGCCCCACCTCGTCTGAAAACAACACAGAGCAGGGAAGAGCCAAGCCAAGGTGACAAAGGAAAGTGGAGTCCTAATCACACTATTTGAGGATGCCTGGATCCAGCTGCACCTGAAGCATTCCCCGGGTGTGCTGGTTATGCAGGACAGTCCTTTCCTCTTCTGGGGCCTAGATTTCTATCACTGAGCTCCAAGCAAGCAGACATAAAACCCAAAGGCTGCCCAGCACTCTGGGCTTGGAAATCAACTCTGCCTCCAGTCTCTTGTCTTGGGGGTTCCAGTGTGGAGACACACATAAGCCCTGCTGCTGATGTGTTTACATGATAAGCTTTCGTTTTCCTGCTCCCTGAGGTTAGGTAAGAGCACAGATACTCAAACACCTGCACATGTATTTGCTCCCAAGCCACACTGGAGATTTCATTGTAAGCTTGACGTGTTTATGACATGACAGCAATTGCCACCTCCACCCCACAGGCCACAAAGGCTGGCCTGGCAGGGAGCCCTGAGCTCTGGGACTGCCGCCCCATGCTGACCCTCCCTTCCTGTCACTGCCAGCCACTGTCTTCCTCCCCCGGCAGGCCTCCTCAGCTCCCGTCACTGTGTGTTTGGCAGTCCCAGGTCTCACTCTGCAGCAGGCATCACCTTCCCTGCTGCCACCATCTCCTCCCTGCTCCTCACCCTGGGACCTCGCCCTTCGCCTTCTGCCTCCTGGTGGGTTTGACCTTGTGTGGCAGGGCAGGGAGTGAGGGGAGCTGCAGGAGGCCGAGAGCAGGAGAGCCAGGTGACTATCCCCATGCCACCCGCGGCTCCCTCTGCATGGGGTCCCTGCCATGAGGTCCTCAGCTCCGTGTTTTTGCTACAGGGACCCTGGCCAACACACCTGTTGGTCAGGCATCTCCCTGGCCTGCAGCCATGACTCCACCACCAGCCTGCCTCCCCACCAGAGCAGGCCTCCTGTCAATGGAACCTGTTATTTTCCCTGAGGTCTCTCTTCCTCCCACCTGAGCCACCACCATACCAGCCCCTGCGAGGTGATGCCTCTGGTCTTCCCAGAAGCAGTCTCCTCTCCCTGGATGCTCTTCCCTCTTACCTGGGGACCACTTTCTCACTCAATTCTCCCTTCCTCCACGAAGCCCTCCAGGACTGCTGCCAGGGGCCGACCCCCTGTGGACTTGACCCCACCCCTTCATGTACACCCAAGACACCTCCATCCTCTATGTTTCCCAGCCACCAGCATCCCCTGCCTGACCTGCACACAGACAGTGCCCAAGCAATGCTCAAGTCAACGGACTCATCTGTTTGCTAAGGCCAAAATTGTAAAGAAAAGCAGTTGGGTTGGTTTTAGAAATGATTATTCTAAGATTAAAGTGCCAAATCAACACATTACCTATGAAGGAGAAGAAATGTTCACATATCAAAACTCATTAGCTCTGATATGAAAAGAAGACATGGCCACCAGCAGTTTTAAAATAAGTATCTCTGAAATGCCACGCAGCTTCCTCCTTTCCCTCTGAATCACCATTCGTTCATTCTTCCTGGCTGCCTTGGGCTGAGTGCTGAGGAGGTCTAGCAACATCAGAGCGGCAGGAGCGGCTGTCCATTAGCAGCATTTGGCACGCTGGAGGGAGCTGCAATTAGATTGAGCTATCAGAGGGGGTTTCCATAAATCTCCCGGCATTCTGCTTCATGATTCTCAGCTATCCTTTCTTCCCTTTGCAGGCAAGAGCTGGGAGGCGTTTTGTGGACCAAAAGCACTTTGTTCTGCAGAGCACTTTCGGCCTGTGTGGGAGGATGCCCTGGCACATGGGGAGAGGCCATGGGTGTGTGTTCATTATGCACTTTCTCCTGCAGACCTCTTAAGAGTCCTGAGCCTCCCCCGCCAGTTTCCATTTGCAGAGACCCCATTCACACGTAGCTATTTTACACATGCTCCTTGATAATCAAACCAGAACTGCTTGGACATCTGCATGGCTATTTTGGGGCTTCTAGGAGACTGAGGAAGACAACCTTATTTTCAACAGTCCACAAAGATGTGACATCATTCTGAACAGTAAGGCTGGCTGGGCTCGGTGACTCATGTCTGTAATCCCAACATTTTGGGAGGCCAAGGCTGGAGGAACACTTGAGCCCAGGAGTTTGAGACTAGCCTGGCCTACATAGTGAGACCCCTGTCGCTAAAAAAAAATTTTTTCTTTTTTTTTTTTGAGACAAGAGTTTCGCTCTTGTTGCCCAGGCTGGAGTGCAATGGCGCAATCTTGGCTCACTTGCAACCTCCGCCTCCTGGGTTCAAGCAATTCTTCTGCCTCAGCCTCCTGAGTAGCTAGGATTACAGGCATGCACCACCACGCCCGGCTAATTTTGTATTTTTAGTAGAGATGGGGTTTCTCCACGTCGGTCAGGCTGGTCTCCGACTCCCGACCTCAGGTGATCCGCCGGCCTGGGCCTCCCAAAGTGCTGGGATTACAGGCATGAGCCACCGCACCCGGCCAAAAAAAATTGTTTTTAATTATAAAAAGAGAGTAAGGCTTTCCAGGAGGTCAAGCAAGTGTGGTGATTGCTCCGTGAACCGTGAGAGACCAATACCGCAGCATTTACAAAACCCCCGCTGGGACTCAGCACAGTGCCCTTCCTCCAAACCTCAACTCCGGCAGGGGCAGAAGCAAGGCACCTGTGAGGCGCATCACTTTGGACACACCACTTTGGTTTGTTTGCTTTGGTTTGACCCCAGGCGGGAAAATCCGGGCCTGGTTCTCCTCCTCTCCCTCCCTCCCCTCCTCTCAGCTCTTACCTGGAAACTGCTCGGGACAAAGCCGGGTCCCCGCTGCGCGTGCAGCCTCCCAGGCCCTCCCCGTCGGCCTCCCTGCCTCCCCCCGCAATTCTCTCGCCTCGCGGGCAGCCTCGGCGCTCACGCACCCTGCAAACCCCTATCCCTCCGGGCCGGAACACCCCAGCTCTACGGCTGAGGGTGCAGGGGCGCCGAGGGCTGGGCGCCCGGGAGTTCCACAGCTCCCTGCACTTGATGATCTTCTGCAGTTATTCCAGAAGTAAACCGCCGCCTCCTTCATTTTTGCTTTGTTACGGGGTCTGGGCTCTGTCGCCCAGGCTGGAGTGCAGTGGCGCGATCTCGGCTTACTGCAGCCTCGACCGTCCTGGGCGCAGGTGATCTTCCCACCTCAGCCTCCCCGAAGTGCTGGGACCACAGGCGCGCGCCACTATGCCAGGCTAATTCTTAAATTTATTGTAGAGATGGTGGGCGGGGGGTGGGGGGGCGTCTTACTATGTTGCCAAGGCAGGTCTCGAACTCCTGGGCTCCAGCGATCCTCCCGCCTCGGCCTCCCTGGGTGCCAGCCGCCTCCCTATTTGCTGTCTGGGGCTTTGCCTTCTGGCGGGCTCCGTAGCAGTGACCGGCCCCTCGCTGCGGGTGGACATGCTCGTGCGAGTCGCGCGGGCTCGCGGCGGCCAGGAGCCTGTGGGACGCTGCGTGGGAGTTCCCATCCCGCGGTCCCAGGACCCCCGGCAGCAGCTGCCACGCTCAGGGCGGAAAGTGCCTGGGTGGCCAAAGCGGGGGCCTGGGGAGAGAGCCAGCCCCGGGAGGACGGCACTGCAGAGGCGGCCAGGAGGCAGGGGAGGCTCGGCGACCCTGGCAGGCGCTGCGGGACGCCGAGGACTGGGGCGGCGTGCTGGAGATCCGCGGCCAACCGTGGGGTGAGCAAGGGAGGAGGGGAGGGAGCGGCCGAGGGGCCCAGAGCTGCAGCAGGAGGTCGGGGAGCGAAGGGCAGGCGCGCCCAGGCCCCGGCGGGGGAGGGGAGGTTCTGAGTCCGGGGTGGCGGAGAGGGGAAGCCAGCGGGGCTGGCGGAGGGGCGGATCCCACGGGAAGGGGCGGGGAGCGCCGGGGACTAGGGGCGAGGAGGCCGCGGGACTGGGCGGAGCAGGGGCGCCACAGGTGCGGGGCGCTAGTGCGAGAGGCGGAGGCAGCGGGGAAGGAAGGGAGGCCGGCAGGGGGAAGCCCGCCCCTTCCTCCGCGCCCCCTCCTCCCTCTCCTCCCTCCCCCTTTTCCCTCCTTCCCTCCTCCACACCCCCTCCTTCCCTCCGCCCCCCCGGCATGCCTCCTTTTCCCTAGGGAAAAGTGCCCGTTCTTTTACTCTCCCTTCCATCCCTCGATATTCTTAATCCCTCAGGCGGCTGGTCTCACAGGAATTTAAAGAAAGAAAAAATCTGATTAAAAGTCTGTGCTCAAGCCGGGCGCGGTGGCTCACGCCTGTAATCCCGGCACTTTGGGAGGCCGAGGCGGGCGGATCACGAGGTCAGGGGTTCGAGAACATCCTGGCCAACATGGTGAAACCCCGTCTCAACTAAAAATACAAAAATTAGCTGGGCATGGTGGCGGGCACCTGTAGTCCCAGCTACTCGGGAGGCTGAGGCAGGAGAATCGCTTGAGCCTGGAAGGCAGATGTTGCAGTGAGCTGAGATTGCGCCACTGCACTCCAGCCTGGGCGACAGAATGAGACTGTGTCTGAAAACAAAAACAAAAACAAAAAAAACAACTCTGCCCATCAGGCAGCAGGACAGGGTGGAGCGTTTGCTGCTTCTGGCTGGGGTAGCGAGGAGTTGATACAGGCTTCCTGGTCCCCTGGGGCACAGGACTTGACTGCTGGCAAAGCCCCCCCCCCCCCCCCCCATCCTCTGCAGGCTGGGGAAGGGCTGAGTCCCACACACCCTGGGAGGCAGGAAGTATCCCAGGACACATTTCCTCAGTCACCCTCCTACCTGATCCACTAGAGAAATGGGGAAGGGGGACCACACACTCTGGTTTCTCCAGATTTCCTGGATTGCCCTGAACACACACACAGCAACAGGACGGGTACTCAAAGGCTACCACATCCCAAACTCAACCTTCAGAGAAATGGTAGATCTGCCTTTGCAAAATTATAACAGACAACTATGACAGTGAAAGAGATCTCACCTAACTGACTCCATCTTGCTTCCAACCCCCAAGCTGTCCTTGTCATTCCTGGGCATGAACTAACTTTGGGAGGAACTTGGTTTATTGTTTTGCTTTGAAACAAAAACAATAACAGCCCTTTCCCAAAACAAACTCCCTTCTTGCCTGGGGACTACACTGCCTTTGCAGGACTAACAAATTAGCTGTAAGGTTAGAAATTAGGGTTTAGGAGTCATGCATCTGGAGACTCCAAGATTCTGAGCCATCCCAAATTGCTCCTGAGAATAAACTCACTATGGTAAGGCCTAAGATCAGTGCTTGAGATGATTTGTAGACCCTGCACATGATGATCGATGATCAGCTGGCACCACATGGGATCCTGTGGCCTCTACCCAGGAACTGATTCAGCAAAAGAGGACAGCTTCGACTTTCCGTGATTTTGTCAGAGGTGTTTGAACCACAGCGACTCCATCTTGAGTAGGGGCTGGGTGAAATAAGGCTGAGACCTGCTGGGCTGCATCCCCAGGAGGTTAGGCATTCTTAGTCACAGGATGAGGTAAGAGGTCAGTACAAGATACAGGTCATAAAGACCTTGCTGATAAAACAGGATGTGGTAAAGAAGCTGGCCAAAACCCACCAAAACCAAGATGGCGACGTCTTTTAATAATTAGAGTATAATGAGCTGTGGTCATCCTCACTGCTTATTATACTCTAATTATAATGTTTAGCATGCTAAAAGACACTCCTACCAGCACCATTACGGTTCACAAATGCCATGGCAACGTCCAGAAGTTACCCCCTATGGTCTAAAAGAGGGAGTAACCTTCAGTTCCTGGAATTGCCTTCCCCTTTCCTGGAAAACTCGTGTATAATCCACCGCTTGTTTAGCATATAATCAAGAAGTAACTAAGTATACTCCCTCGAGCAGCTCATGCCACTGCCCTGCCTATGGAGTCACCAACTTGATGGACTTGCCCTGAATTCTTTCTTGCGTGAGATCCAAGAACCCTTTCCTGGTGTCTGGATTGGGACCCCTTTCCAGCAACAATTTTATCTTCTACCCAACCAATCAGCATTCCCCATTTTCCAACCCCCCCAACCCACCAAATTATCCTTAAAAACCCAGATCCCCAAGTTTTCAGGGAGACTGGTTTGAGTAGTAATAAAACTCCAGTCTCCTGTGCAGCCGGCTCTGCGTGAATTAAACTCTCGACTGCAATTCCCCTGTCTTGATAAATCGGCTCTGTCTAGGCAGTGGGTATGGAGAGCCCATTGGGCAATTACACATGGACCGTGTGTGGTGACTCCATGTTCAAGCAGCCAGAAGCTCCCTGGTTGAGGCACCCTGGATAACTGGAATTTCCCATACTTGATTTGACTTTTAGAAAAAAAAAATAGAGAATGCAACAGTGTTTTTCTTTATTTTTCACCTGGAAATCATTTTTAACCTTTGAGGGTAGTCAAGGACCCATTTGAAAATTGGACAACTGATTTCCTCAGAAAAGAAGACCTTAAAAATAAAAATTGTACATGCCATTGTGGGATCCATAGGCCCTTGGATAAGAATCCCTGTAGTAAACCGGGCGCGGTGGCTCATGCCTGTAATCCTAGCACTTTGGGAGGCCAAGGCGGGTGAATCACTTGAGGCCAGTAGTTTGAGATCAGCCTGGCCAACATGGCAAAACCTCCTCTCTACTAAAAATAAAAAAAATTAGCCGGGTATGGTGGTGTGTGCCTGTAATCCCAGCTACTCGGGAGGCTGAGGCATGAAAATCATTTGAACCCAGGAGGCAGAGGTTGCAGTGAGCCAAGATGGCGCCACTGCACTCCAGCCTGGGCGACAGAGTGAGATGCTGTTTCAAACAAACAAACAAAAAAAGAATCCCTGCAGTAAACCGTCTCCTTCCAGCCCCTGGAAGCCATGGCAGCCAGCTGTGCCCACTGCCAATTCTGTGCCACTGTAGGTGGAATTCAAGGCAGACGGGGGCTCCTTGGGGGACACTGTGGCATGTGCTGCCTTTGATGGGGATCACAGCCTCTCAGCCTCTGAAGCTGGGAGAATCGCTGGGATCACCTGTCCAAACAGAAAGCCCACAAGGACCCCAGAGAGGTTCAGGGGAAATGAGTGGCTCAGATCTGGAGCCAATTTTTATGTTAAAAGGTTTCTTTTCTTAATAAAGGCCCATTGGGACCCAGATGAGTAATGAAATGTTGGAACAGCAAAGCAAACAAAAGCCACCCTGCTGAGAAATGAAGAATGGGCTTGAGCTGTTTTTACTCAAACACTTCTCACACCAAATGTGGGATTTTTTCCCGCACCAGCCAGTTCTCAGTACCAACTGAGTGTCCTATGATTCAATTCAATTCTGACACTAACTAATGTCAGATTGAACAGGTTCAAGGGCTCAGTCCCACAAGATCACCTACACCGCAGACGCCAGTCCCAAGTCTTAGGTACTCAGAGAACCTACACTTCTGTCCGACTTGGCTACAAAGTCAGGAGGTTCTTACAATCCCCACCTCCCTCAGGTCAATAATTGGCTAGAACAGCTCATAGAAACCAAGAAAACACTTATTTACTATTACCAGTTTATTACCATGGACACAGACGAACAGCCAGGGCTAGGTCTGGAAGGGTCCGGAGCCCAGGAGGTTCTGTCCGCATGGAGTCGGGGTGTGCCACCCTGTCAGCACATGGCTGTGTTTGCCAACCTGGAAGTTCTCCAGACTTCGTTGTTCAGGAATGTTTAGGGAGTTTTCATGACATGGGTATGATTCATTAATCATTGACCACTGGTGATTAACCCAATCTCCAGCCTGTCTCCTCTCCCCAGAGGAGGTTTGCGGGGAGTGGGGCTGAAAGTTCCAACCTCCTAATCCTGCCTTGGTCTTTCTGGGACCAGCCCTCATCCTGAAGCTGTTCAGGGGCTCCCAGCCACCAGTCATCTCATTAGTACACAAAAAACATTCATTATTCTCACTGCAGAGATTCCAAAGGTCTTAGGCCCTCTGTGCCAGGAACAGAGACAAGGACCAAATCTATGTTTCTTATTGTATCACCATGCTTCACATCTTAGCCTTCCCCAGGCATGAGGCCCTGGGCAGCTCATGGTCCTCTGTGCCTAGGGTACTGGGACCCCTCACTGCAGGCCCTTTGTGTAGGCTCCTTGGAGGGACCCGAGCAATTCTCTACCACAATTTTTGTTTTCATTTTCTTTAAAGAGAGTTCCCGGGTGGCATAAACCTCGGGCCCCACACATCTGCTTCAGCGTGTAATAATTTGGCTTTTCTCATCCCAGAAGGGACAACAGTGCCCTGAATGAGTAACCCCCAGCCCAACAACCTCTTAAGTGGTGGCATTGTAAGTCGAGAGCATATTCAATTTCCAAGGCTGGCCTGTGTTCACAAATACCTAGTCCTCGAAAGGCCTGAAACATCTTGTGACTCAAGCTTCCCCACCCTTCAGGGTTTCTATAGGTCCCTGGGAATCACCGCTGGAACCACTGTTCTGGGCGAGACCCTTCATGCGTCCTGCCCCAGAGCCATCTTACTTCTAGGCAGAGTGGACTTGCCTCTGGAACCCTGTTTGGGAACCCAGGCACCTTTCTCTGTTGCTTACCTTCCCTCTCCCCTGTCTGCCAACCGCACTGCTGTCACCTCCCTTCAGTCCCCAGCCCCCACCATGGATCCTGCCTTACAGGGGAATTTGACAGGCTGCATTTAGCCTAGATTAAAATGGCTTTAGAATATGATATTCAAAATCTGCATGTCACTCAAGTTTATCATAAATACAAGATGCGATAAACTTGCTTGACAGCTGAGCTGACATGGCTTCGGAATGAATAGCATCTTGAAGTTCTGACTCATGATGAAAACGCATGGGGATTGCAGGGACAGGCTGGAGTGTCATTTTTAAGCACAGCCAACATGATTTTGACAGGGCAGACACACCGTGGGATCGGCTCTTTGCTGCTCCAGACAGCCACTGCCACGTACAGCTAATGCTTCGTTATTTATGGTAATAGGGACCGGGATGACATGGATCATTGAAATGAGCATGTCATTAACAAATAAGATGCACTGAGGAAGTAATTCAATCACCTCTCTCCAGGTTCCTTTTAAGGGAGCCGCTGGAAAACCCTCCACAGGTCCTCCCTTCGGGCCCTGCATCCAATGAATGGGGTGGTGGACAGTGTCCATTCCTTTCCTCCAGGAGCCTCCTGGGGAACCAGACAAGGATCACCTCTGGATAAGCCTCGGATGTGATGGGGAATTCCTTAAGAACTCTCTCTGTCCATTTTCTGTTGCATATAATAGAATATTTGAAACTGAGTAATTGCTAAGAAATGAAATTTATTTCTTACACTTCTGGAGGCTGGGAAGTCCAAGGTTGAATGGCTGCATCTGGTGAGGGCTTCTTGCTGGTGGGGACTCTGTAGAGTCCCAAGGTGGTGCCGGGCATCACATGGCGAGGGGGCTGAACATGCTGGCCCATGTCTCTTTCTCTTCTTATAAAGCCACCAATTCCACTCTGTGATAACACATTAATCCATTAACCCACCAGTCCATCAGTTCATGAATGGGTTAATCTATTCACAAAGGCAGAGCCCCCATGACACAATCACCTGTTTTTTGTTTTTGTTTTGATTTGTTTTTTGAGATGGAGTCTCGCTCTGTTGCCCAGGCTGGAGTTCAGCGGCGCAATCTTGGCTTACTGCAACCTCTCCATCTCACGGGTTCAATCAAATCTCATGCCTCAGCCTCCCAAGTAGCTGAGATTACAGGCATGTGCCACCACGCTCAGCTAATTTTTGTATTTTTAGCCCTTTGAATCTTCCCTGGTCGTAGTTATGGGAGCGGGAGAAGAGGAATTCTGGGGAGGGGCAATAAATGATGACTAGGGAAGATTCAAAGGGCTTGAAGAACACACCACGGTCTGCGGTAAAGTCTGCTGGGCCTGCAGAGCAGACAATGGTTTGTGACAAAAGTCTGTCCAGGTGTGTTGACCGACTTTAGTTTTCCTTTCTGAGATATGGGTGCAGTTAATGAAAACTCAGGGAAGTGACTGGAGGTGATTGTTTTTCTTTCATAGACCCAGACTTTAGACAGATAAGGGAATGTCAGAGAAGCCTATGCTTTGGGGCAGGAGGGAGGAGAGAGACCTTGAAGCTCCTTTTTCAGTTCAGCATGTACAAAGCATCAAATTCGGGGCATCAGCTTCCGAGCCCCAGCAATGTTTTCAAAGTTAATCCATGTTGTAGTATCAATCAGTATTGCATCCCTATTTACCGCAAATAGTCTCTTGTATCGATATATACCACAACATGTTCACCAATTCATCAGTTGACGGGCGTTTGAGTGGTTTCCATCTTTTGGCTCTTAAGGAGTAATATTGCTAGGAACATTGATGTACAAGTGTCTATGTGGACATGTTTTCATTTGCCTTGGGTATACCTAGGAGTGGAATTGCCGGGTCACGGTAATTATATGTTTAATTTTTTGAGGACGCACCAAACTGTTTTCCGAAGTGGCGCCATCTGCTGGAAAGTATGGTTCTCCTTTTCTGCTTTGTGATTGGTGGTGGTTATTTCTGTTGCGTTTCCCCGGACTGGCAATAGCAGACAATGCAGTGGAGGCCTAGAGGCCCGAGCGGCCTGTTGGTTGTGCAGATCAACTGCTCCCTCTTCTGTTGCTAGAGTGAAGGGCAGTTTCTTTAATCAACGACACCCTTTTCTTCCACGATTGATTGGCTAGGGTGCTCTCTTGCTGGGTCCTTATTATTACTTTTTTAAGACACTTTTTCCTTTCTCTGCCTTCTAGATGTGGTGTAGACAGGAGCAATGGGTGTCTTCTCTCCTTGCTCACCTGTACAGTTTTAAGGAGAATGGGTAGGGAGATTCTAATTTAGACAGCTGCCACTATCCTCTGGGGCATAGTTTCAGATAGTGGAAAATGACATGGGGTGAAGAAAACAGGCCAAGATGTAGAGCAAATAGCGACTCTACATCTATAGGATATAGGATGTTTTCATGCATTGAAGTGTGTCTCCCAAAAACATATGTTGAAGACAGCCGGGCATAGTGGATCCCGCCTATAATCCCAGCACTTTGGGAGGCCGAGGTGGGTGGATCACCTGAGGTCAGGAGTTCGAGACCAGCCTGGCCAACATGGTGAAACCTTGTCTCTACTTAAAAAATACAAAAATTAGCTGGGCGTGGTGGCAGGCGCCTGTAATCCCAGCTACTTGGGAGGCTGAGGCAGGAGAATCGCTTGAACCTTGGAGGCAGAGGTTGCAGTGAGCTGAGACCACACGCCATTGCACTCTAGCCTAGGTGACAAGAACGAAACTCTATCTCAAAAAAAAAAAAAAAAAAAAAGGCCAGGCGCAGTGGCTCACGCCTGTAATCCCAGAACTTTGGGAGGCCAAGATGGGCAGATCATGAGGTCAGGAGATTGAGACCATCCTGGCTAACATGGTGAAACCCCGTCTCTATTAAAAATACAAAAAAATTAGCCGGGCATGGTGGTGGGCGCCTGTAGTCCCAGCTACTCGGGAGGCTGAGGCAGGAGAATGGCATGAACCCGGGAGGCAGAGCTTGCAGTGAGCCAAGATCCCGCCACTGCACTCCAGCCTGGGAGACGGAGTGAGACTCTGCCTCAAAAAAAAAAAAAGGAAAGAAAAGAAAAGAAAATATATGTTGAAGCCCTAACCTGGCACCTGTGAATGTGACTTTATTTGGAAATAGGGTCTTCACAGAAGTAATCAAGTTAACATGAGGTCATGGTGAATTAGAGTGGGCCCTAATCCAGTGTGACTGGTGTCTTTATAAGAAGGGAAGGTTCACAGGCATAGTGGGAGTGCTAGGTGACAATGGAGGCAGAGATTGGAATGACGCGTCTATAAACTAAGGAGCATCACAGGTTTATGGGAACCACCAGAAGCTGAGAAAGATAAGTAAGATAGATTCTTTCTCAGAGCTTTCAGAGCGAGAGAGCGTGGCCCTGCAGACACCTTGATTTTGGATTTCTGGCTCTGGAACTGTGAGAGACTACATTTCTATTGTTTATGCCCTCCAGTCTATGGTTACAGCAGCCCTGGGAAACTACAGTGTCAAGGAAGGCCACTCCAGGAACTGATAACTCAGGGAAGAGCTTTCTTGGCAGAGGACATAACAAGTGCAAAAGTCCTGAGGTGGGGACTGGCCTGGCAGGCCCAAGAAACAGGGATGCTGGAGGGCTGGTGCAGGCACGGTGAGGACTTCAGATTTGATTCCATAAGGGAGAGGAGGTTATTGTAAGCAGGGAGCAGCACAGTGAGATTTTCATGATCAAAATAGTCTAGCTTGTCTATGGAAAATAGAATTTGGGAGAGAAGACAATGGGGGAGACATGACCTTTAGAAGGCCACTGTAACTGTCCATGGTGGCAGTCTGGGCGAGGGTGGGGGTGAGTGGGGGGAGGTGTAATGAGGGTGGATTTGGAAAGCAGACCCAGTAATATTGCTGATGGGTTAGATGGGTGAGAGAGCATGAGCGGAGTCAAGTCTGACTGCTGGATCATTGGCCTGAGCTGCTGGTGACACCCCTGCTGGGATGAAGGTGGCTGGGGAGGAGGGATACTGAGAATTTAGTTTTGGGCATGTTACCTTTGAAACGCTGATTAGACATTCAAGTGTATAAATAATTTTTTTTTTCACAAAAGACGATGTAGGCCAGGTGCGGTGACTCACACCTGTAATCCCAGCACTTTGGGTTCAGAGGCTGGAGGATCACCTGAAGTCAGGAGTTCGAGACCAGCCTGGCCAACATGGTGAAACCCCATCTCTACTAAAAATACACAAAAAATTAGCTGGGTGTGGTGGTGTGTGCCTGCAATCCCAGCTACTCAGGAGGCTGAGGCACAAGAATTGTTTGAACCCGGGAGGCGAAGGTTGTAGTGAGCCAAGATCGCACCACTGCACTCCGGCCTGGGAGACAGAGCGAGACTCTGGCTCAAAAAAAAAAAAAAAAAAAGATGATGTAAACAAGTTCCTTGCATTCCTAACATACACGTGCCTATAATTTGCATAACGCAGACAGGAACATAGGAACCTTCAAAACAGGTCCTCTAAATGTGTTTAACCACAGAAGCAGGAAAAAAAATCATTACGTTAGAGTCCAAGATGTGGCCTCCCTGCTTTCCCCTGTGCTGCCTGCGTGAGGAATGGTTGCATGGCAGCTGGCATGCTGTTCAGGAAGAAAGAGATCTCAGCCAGCTCCTCAGAGTCAGCGCAGCTCTCCAAATATGACTTTAACGACATTTCAGAGCACAACCCAGTTTTCCTCCCACGAGGAGATTCAGAGGGGTGTAAGGGTTCCCTGGAGGGTCTCCATTACCACCAGCAAGAAAACAAGTGGTAGCGATTGATGTCTGCTACCCACCATGAATGATCTGTGTCACCCCTCTAGAGAGAGCCATTTTATCTAGGGGAGCGCAATGGCTAGTTAACAGACACCAGAAGAGTTGAGCAAGATCTGCATTTTGCCTATATTGCAAGTACCCAGCAGCTGCTCTGTAAGTGGTATTCAGGGCATGAAACCTATGGTGAATTTTTTTTTTAACTGTTGAACTAGGCTCTGCTGATAGAGAACTTCTCCTACACAGCCAGATACGCAGAAGAAGGGCACTAGCAGAGAGGAAGGTGCAGGAAAGAGAGGGCATGAGATGGGGCACTGCCCCTGCAGAGGTCTCTGGCTGGGAGCCAGTGCCCAAAGGGCAGGGCTAGCCATGAACTCCCCAGGTGTGGGAGAGGATGGGAGGGTGGGCACAGTTGCTCCTCACTTGGAGCAAGTTCCCAACCGATGACTGCAATGTTCTCTTTGAAGTGGAAAGAGAGACTTAAGGACTTCAGAAAACCGGAGACTTGAAATAGCCACTCCAGAAGGTGGCAGAGAAAGTTGGATTGGGGACACACCAGGATTGCTGGGCGCAGCTGCATCCCAGACAGTGTAACATCTGACTTTGAGATTTCTCTCTGGCAGTGCCCAACAGTGCCTGCCCAGAAACAGAAAAGGCAGAAGTTTGGTCCATTCAGGCCAAATTTGGCCAGATAAGTATCAAAAGACAAAGGGCCAAGAGAGTTCCAAATATTGCCAAAGACCCTGAGACTGGCCGAGGACCAGTCAATGCAGGCTGTTATAACTATCACAAAACCCACATTTTAGGGAGTCTGCCCAGGTCCCACAGTCCAATGCGGGTCCGAGTCAGTGGGCGCGTTTGTGTTGGGGATAATGACTCCCTCCACCCCATCACGCAAGCACCCAGGCCATACCCACACTGCCATCTTCCACACGCGGCTTCCGAGTCTCCCAGCGTCGGCATCCAGCCCAGGGAGGGAACATCAGGCAGTGCGCAGGAGCGCTAAAAAAAAAAAAAAAGAGAGAGAGAAAAATAAAGAGTCTCTTTCCACTACAGAAAATTATAGTTGGCTTGCAAACCAGCCTCAAATACTGCCCAGACCCATTGGGAAACAGCAGCTGTGGGTTCTCCAGTTTGGTGCAGTGAAGTTTAAAGAGATAGAGGAATTTAGCTGTTGACCACAGACCAGAGTGCACCTCTCACGTTTAAGGTGTGGAATGACCACATGCACATCAACACAGCCGTCCCTACTCACAATCACAGTCACAGAGCCATGCTGCAGAATTAAAAGCTCACAGCATTGAGAAAATGAGGCACTTAACGTTTATAGCACAAAGGAATTCACATTTAAGAATGCATCAGATTGTAATATATGCTGGGAGCAATTTATTATCAAAATATGAGGCTTCATACCCCCATGCTATTTTTTTTTTTTTTTTGAGATGGAGTTTCACTCTTGTTGCCCAGGCTGGAGTGCAATGGCGCGATCTCGGCTCACTGCAACCTCTGCCTCCTGGGTTCAAGTGATTCTCCTGCCTCAGCCTCTCAGGTAGCTGGGATTACAGTCGCACACCATCATGCGCAGCTAATTTTGTATTTTTTTTAATTATACTTTAAGTTTTAGGGTACATGTGCACAACGTGCAGGTTTGTTACATATGTATACATGTGCCATGTTGGTGTGCTGCACCCATTAACTTGGCATTTACATTGGGTATATCTCCTAATGCTATCTCTCCCCCCTCCCCCTCCCCCACAACAGGCCGCGGGGTGTGATGTTCCCCTTCCTGTGTCCAAGTGTTCTCATTGTTCAATTCCCACCTATGAGTGAGAACATGCGGTGTTTGGTTTTTTGTCCTTGCGATGGTTTGCTGAGAATGATGGTTTCCAGCTTCATCCATGTCCCTACAAAGGACATGAAATCATTCTTTTTTATGGCTGCACAGTATTTCATGGTGTATATGTGCCACATTTTCTTAATCCAGTCTATCATTGATGGGCATTTTGGTTGGTTCCAAGTCTTTGCTATTGTGAATAGTGCTGCAATAAACATACATGTGCATGTGTCTTTATAACAGCATGATTTATAATCCAGCTAGTTTTGTATTTTTAGTAGAGATGGGGTTTCTCCATGTTGGTCAGGCTGGTCTCGAACTCCTGACCTCAGGTGATCCGCCCGCCTTGGCCTCCCAAAGTGCTGGGATTACAGGCATGAGCCACTGCACCCGCCACCCCACCATGCTATTTATTACTAAAAATGATTCTTAGAAGACAAGTCTGCCTCTCCTAAAGCTCTCCCTATATCCTTGTGAAGCACACCAAGCATGTGTGTGTGTGCTGCATGGAGAGGCTGAGGCCCAGAGCAATTACAGCAGATCAAGTACCCTAGTGGGTACAGAGCTCAGCTGGGCTGGGCACGGGATTCCGGGCAACCGTTAGAATCAGGAGCCAGTCCTGGCCAGGCGCGGTGGCTCACACCTGCAATCCCAGCACTTTGGGAGGCCGAGGCGGGCGGATCACCTGAGGTTGGGAGTTTGAGACCAGCCTGACCAACATGTCTCTACTAAGAAAAATACAAAAATTAGCCAGGCGTGGTGGTGCATGCCTGTAATCCCAGCTACTCAGGAGGCGGAGGCAGGAGAATTGCTTGAATCCAGGAGGCAGAGGTTGCAGTGAGCAGAGATTGCGCCATTGCACTCCAGCCTGGGCAACACGAGAGAAACTCCATCTCAAAAAAAGAAAAAAAAGAAAAAGAATCGGGAGGCAGTCCTTATGGGCTCGTGTGCGTGGCATGGATGGAGAGGGGCAGCAGAGAGCCAGCAGACAGAGTTGTGAACACTGCTGGGCGAGGTGGCCCTGTGCAGCCCAGGCAGGCTTCTGAGAAGAAGAGGGAGTCTTCTGTCTGGAGCCAGGTTGCAGGGTGTAATGCACTAAAATGGTGGACCTGTCAAGGATGACACAAAGACCATACAAAGGAGGGGCGAGGATGGTCATGAATATCACTATGCTGGGATATAACTTTATCCTATTATAAAAAATATTTTTATTTGGGGAAAATCTTCACATCGGATTTTTTAAAAGCAGGCACAATAAGACTGCAGCAAAACCAAAACTTTTGGATGTATATACTATTTCTTCTCCCAGAATCTCCATTTTCCTGTAGTAACCCATGGCAGAGTAGCTTTGTGAGCCTCAGTTATGCAGCTGTATTTTATTTCATTTTCTTTTTTCTTTCTTTTTTTTTTTTTTTTTTTTTTGCGACAGGGTTTCACTCCCATCACCCAGGCTGGAATGCGGTTGCACGATATTGGCTCACCACAACCTCCACCTCCTGGGCTCAAGCAATCCTCTGGCTTCAGCCTCCCCAGTAGCAGGGATTTTAGGCACCCACCACCACTCCCAGTTAATTTTTGTATTTTTAGTAGAGATGGGGTTTCCCCATGTTGCCCAGGCTAGTCTCGAACTCCTGGCCTCAAGTGATCTGCCTGCCTCGGCCTCCCAAAGTGTTGGGATTACAGGCGTAATACACCATGCCTGGCGCATTTTCTTTAAGTAAATAGTTTTCTGATGTCTTAGGTAGACATGGACATGGAAAACATGGGTGTTTTAAAGGTTAATGTGTGTGTCACTGACTACGTTTGTATTGAAATGGAAAACAACAGTTATTCCATTGGGCAACAGTTTTCACACTACTTTAATAATGACCTTACAGTAAACAGTAATAATGAAGTGGAGACTGTCAGCCATTGGTTTTATGATTTCTGTGTATTATAGCCTTGGATGCTTGTAAATGTGTGTGTATGTGTGTAGCTCATTAAATATTCTACTGAATTGTAACAGTCAACCTAATGTTACATACCTCTTTTTTGTTTATACTCAGGTTTTAAAGTATAATCTCAGATAAATTAGCCAGCTGAATTAAAACACAGTGAGGGTATCTGAATTTTATGTGATAAAATTACATCTTCTCGGCCGGGTGTGGTGGCTCACACCTGTAATGCCAGCACTTTGGGAGGCCGAGGCGGGCAGATCACGAGGTCAGGAGTTCGTGACCAGCCTGGCCAACATGCTGAAACCCCATCTCTACTAAAAATACAAAAATTAGCCAGGCATGGTGGTGTGCACCTGTAATCCCAGCTACTTGGGAGGCTGAGGCAGGACAATCACTTGAACCCAGGAGGCAGAGGTTGCAGTGAGCAGAGATCTCGCCATTGCACTCCAACCTGGGCAACAGAGTGAGAGTCCGTCTCAAAAGAAAACAAAACAAACAAACAAAAAAATCTTCTCAGAGGATGCAATTGTCTGATTCTTTCAAATGAACCTTTAATTTCCTTTTTCAGTTAAAACATCTTTGGCCTTGTTTACTAATTTTCATTAAATGGAGAATTCTTTACAAATCAGCAAAAAAATGCTGTAATTACAACCACACTCTTAATTCATGTAAATATCATTAATGCTTTACAATAATTATAGAGTTGTCCCTTGGTATCTGAGGGGGATTGGTTCCAGGACTGCCAGAGGATACCCAAATCTGTGCATCTTTAAATCTTGCAGTTGGCCTTCTGGAACCCACCTATAAGAAAAGTTGGCCCTTTGTGTATGCAGGTTTCACATCCCATGAATACTGTATTTTCAATCCTCGTTGGGTTGAAAAAAGTCCTCATAGAAGTGGACCCACGCAGTTCAAACCTGTGTTGTTCAAGGGTCAACTGTAATTATTGGATTCTAATTGCCAATGATAACAATAAAGTGCTACTTTAAAACTACTTTTCACACAGAGTGTATTTGCACTACTACTTGTCAGAAAGAAATCCAAAGAAATGCTCACTGGATTTGTTCATTACTTTACAATTTTAATTTGATTCAATTTTGAAGAGGTAATATAGTCACATGGTTCGAAACCCAAAAGATACACATCTGAAAGGTACATGTCTTAGTCAATTTTGTGCTGCTGTGAGAGAATACCTGAGACTCAGTAATTTATAAAGAAAAAAAAATTATTCTCTCAGTTCTGGAGGCTGCGAAGTCAAAGATCAAGTCACTGGCATCTGCTGAGGGCATTTGTGTGTGTGTCCTCACAGGATGGACAGCAGAAGGGCAAGAGAGAGCAAAGCCCTCCATCAAGTCCCTCTAGAAGGGCACCTAATTTCAGTTAGAAAAAGGAGCCCTCATGGTTGAATCACATTTTAAAAGTCCCATCTCTTAATACTATCACATTGGCAATACTTGAATTTTGGAGGGGGCACATTTGAACCATAGTGTAATGGAAAGATCCTTGCATTTATTTATCCTTGCATATTATTTATAATAGCTCAAGCCAAAAACAATTTAAATGTTCACTGATAGCAGGTACATAAACATAGTGGTGGCTGGGTGTGGTGGCTCACGCCTGAAATCCTAGCACTTTGGGAAGCCAAGGCAGGCGGATTGCTTGAGCTCAGTAGTTCGAGACCAGCCTGGGCAACATGGTGAAACCTTGTCTCTACTAAAAATACAAAAAAAATTAGCCAGGTGTGGTGGTGCACACCTGTAATCCCAGCTACTCGGGAGGCCGAGGCACAAGAATTGCTTGAACCTGGGAGGCGGAGGTTGCAGTGAGCTGACATATAGCACCACTGCACTCCAGCCTGGGTGAAAGAGCAAGACTCTGTCTCAAAAAAAAAAAATATAGTGGCATATTCGTGCAATGGAATATCATACGGTAATAAAAATGAACAGCTACTTACACATGCTGTAATATGGACAACTCCCATAAGCATAAGGTTGAGGCATAAAATTATTTATACTATATGGTTCAATTTACACAATGCTACAAAATAGGCAAAACTAGTCTATGGTGTTAAAAGTATGATAGTAGTTACCTTTAGGGAGGCAGGAATGTAATATTTTGGGAAAATGCATTATTACTGTGGTTCCAGTCTGTTCTGTTTCATGACCTAGACAGTGGTGATAGTGGTTTTCTGGGTGTATTATTATTATTATTATTTTTTATTTTTTTGAGATGGAGTCTCGCACTGTCTCCTAGGCTGGAGGGCAATGGCGTGATCTCGGCTCACTGCAACCTCCGCTTCCCGGATTCAAGCAACTCTTCCGCCTCAGCCTCCTGAGTAGCTGGGATTACAGGTGCATGCCACCACACCTGGCTAATTTTTTTGTATTTTCAGTAGAGACGGGGTTTCACCGTGTTAGCCAGGATGGCCTCGATCTCCTGACCTCGTGATCTGCCAGCCTCAGCCTTCCAAAGTGCTGGGATTACAGGCATGAGCCACTGTGCCCAGCCTCTGGGTGTATTATTAAAGGAATGATAAGGACCACCTACTGACTGAAAATGTAAGCACTATATTTATTTCAATTGAGTGGATCCCCACAGGGAAAAAAAAATCAGGAATTTTATGTGCTAGAAAGGACAGGTTCATTGTGATTTTGCCAGTTAACAATTGCAGCGCACAGCCTGGACTGGGCAGAATGCATCCATCTGTATGTTGTGTGAAGTGAGTCTCATTGCTCTTTAGTTGGGAAAGAATTTTCGTTAGGTTGGGTGAGGATCACCTCTTGGTTGTTTATCACCTTTGCTAGTGTATTGCTCAAAGTTTATAGTCATTTAACAGCTTTGGCTGGTCAAAATAATATTCATGTTTGATCAAACCCCAGGCAAGTATTGCTATAATTATAAAGTTTTTTTTATAGTCCTTTATAATGTCCTTACCTCATTCAGAGATGAAAGGTTGACCTGAAAGGATGAGAGAATTATCAGGCTTTCAGATTCAGATCACATTCAGATCAGTCTTGGGTGTTGTATTGAGTAGATTGTTTTTTTTTATTGATTTGTTTTATATTTAATGAAGTGTGATTTATATACAGTAAAATTCTTGTTAGTATAGAATTCTATGAGATTTGAATCTTATACAGTTGTGTAACCACTACACCCACCACCCACACAATCAAGATACACGATGATTCTATCACCCCTAAAAATTCTACCTTCCCCCATTCCGCTTTTTGATAACCACCTCCTCCTAAATTCCCAGTTGTATTCGTCAATTATCCCTCTGCTATAAGGACATACTCGAGACTGGGTAATTTATAAAGGAAAGAGGTTTAATTGACTCACAGTTCTGCAAGGCTAGGGAGGCTAAGGCCTCAGGAAATTTACAATCATGGTGGAAGGAAAAGTAAACATGTCTTTCTTCACAAGGTGGCAGGAGAGAAAAAAATGAGTGCCCAGTGAAGGGGGAAACCCCTTATAAAACCATCAGATCTCATGAGAACTCACTCACTATCACAAGAACAGGATGGGGGAAACTGCTCCATGATTCAATTATCTCCACCTGGTCCCCCCCAAGACATGTGGGGATTATGGAAATTATAATTCAAGATAAGATTTGGGTGAGAACACAGCCAAACCATATCATCAGCATTGGCAACTCCTGATTTGTTTTAACGTTTTTCCCATTCTACCATATCATATGGCCTTTAGAATCTGACTTCTTTCACGTATTAATAGCACAATAGCACATTTGAGATTCATTGATGCTGTTATGTGTATCTGTAGTTCATTCCTTTTTTACTGCTGAGTAATATTTCATTATATATATGTATATATACATACACACACTATAGATAGTATTTCATACATATATGTCACAATTTGGTTATCTAATTGAGAGGTGAGGCCAGTTGGACTTCCTGGGTCTAGTGGAGACTTGGGGAACTTTTCTGTCTTACAAGAGGATTGTAAAATGCACCAATCAGGAACTTTTCTGTCTCACAAGAGGATTGTAAAATGCACCAATCGGCGCTCTGTAAAACGCACCAATCAGCACTCTGTAAAACTCACCAATCAGCGTTCTGTAAAATGCACCAATCAGCAGGATTCTAAAAGTAGCCAATCGTGGGGAGGATTGAAAAAAGGGCACTCTGATAGGACAGAAACAGAATATGGGTGGGGACAATAAGGGAATAAAAGCTGGCCACCCCCCCCCCCCGCCCCCCCAGCCGACAGCGGCAACTCGCAGGGGTCCACTTCTGTGTGGTGGAAGCTTTGTCCTTTGCTTCTTTATAGCTGCTACTGCTCACTTTTTGGGTCCGTGCCATTTGTAAGAACTGTAACACTGCCGTCTTTGAGAGCTGTAACACTGGTGGGCGCTTTGGGAGGCTGAGGTAGGTGGATCAGGAGGTCAAGAGATTTGCGACCATCCTGGCTAATACGGTGAAACCCTGTAGCCACTAAAAATGCAAAAAGAAAAAAAAAAAGCTGGCGCGGCGTGGTGGTGGGCGCGTGTAGTCCCAGCTGCTCAGGAGGAGGAGGCAGGAGAATGGCCGGAACGGGGGAGGCGGAGCTTGCAGTGAGCCAAGACCGCGCCACTGCCCTCTGGCGTGAGGAACAGCGGGAGACTCGGTCTCAAAAAGAAAAGAGCTGTAACACTCACCACGAAGGCCCGGCTTCGTTCTTGAAGGCAGCGAGACCACGAACACCCTGGCCGGCAGCAACTGCAGACACATAATCACAAGGTGAGGGAAATTTGGGCTATTTATGGAGTTTTGTGGTCATAAAAAGCTGCTTTAAACGTTTGTGTACAGGTTTTTGTGTGAAGATGAGTTTTCAGTTCACTTGGGTAATACCTAGCAGTGAGATTAGAGGGTCATAGGGTAAGTACATGCTTAACTTTAGAAGAAACGAACTGTTTTTCAGAGTGGCTTTACCATTTTGCTTTCTTTCAAGCAAGATAAGATATGAGAGAGTCTGTTGCACCACGTCCTTGCGAGCATTTGGTGGTGTCAGGTTTTTAGCCATTTTAATACGTGTGTACTGGACTCTCACTGTGGTTTTAATTTGCACTTCCCTGGCAAATAATGGTAAATTATGTTGAGCATCTTTCCATTTGCTGTGTTGGCCCAAGTTTCTGTCTGCTATCAGAATTCTTCTACTTTAAAAATTTACTGGCCAGGCACAGTGGCCCACGCCTGTAATTGTAGCACTTTGGGAGGCTGAGGCAGGCAGATTGCCTGCACTCAGGAGTTCAAGACCAGCTTGGGCAACCTAGTGAAACTTCGTGTCTATTAAAAATACGAAAAACTACCCGGCTGTGGTGATGGATGTCTGTAGTCCCAGCTACTCGGGAGGCTGACACATGAGAATTGCTTAAAGCTGCGAGGTGGAGGTTGCAGTGAGCTGAAATCGTGCTACTGCACTCCAGCTTGGGTGACAGAGTGAGACTCTGTCTCAAAAAAAAAAAAAATTCCGTTAACATTTCTTATATTGATAGCACAGATTTTCTGGTAATGCATTCTCTCAATTTTTGTTTATATGAAAAATTCTTTATTCTTTATTTTTGTAAGATATTTTCACTGGGTATAGAATTCAAAGGTGGGAGCTTTGTTCTTTCTGCTCTTTAAAAGTGTTATGCCTGTGGCCTACATAGTTGTTTTTTTTTTTTTTTTTTTTTAAACGGAGTGTTGCTTTGTCACCCGGGCTGGAGTGCGGTGGCGTGATCTCGCTCACTGCAACCTCCGCTTCCCAGATTCAAGTGATTCTCATGCCTCAGCATCCTGAGTAGCTGGGATTACAGGCATGCACCGCTGCACCCAGCTAATTTTTGCACTTTTACTAGAGACAGAGTTTTGCCATGTTGGCCAGGTGGTGTCAAACTCCTGGCCTCAAGTGATCCACCCCCCTTGGCCTCCTCAAGTGCTGGGATT
Source organism: Homo sapiens (assembly GCF_000001405.40). Taxonomy (NCBI): domain Eukaryota; kingdom Metazoa; phylum Chordata; class Mammalia; order Primates; family Hominidae; genus Homo; species Homo sapiens. The sequence continues at coordinate 1,939,890 of NT_187660.1, read as the reverse complement.
ACAGGTGTGGGCCACTGTGCCCGGTTTGTTTTTTGTTTTTTTGTTTTTTAATTCTAGCATTTCCATTTGATTCTTTCTCATAGTTTTTATTTTTTAGTTGAAATTCATGATTGGCTCATGTATGTTGTGAATTTTTCCACAAGCCTTTCACATATTAATAATAGTTATCTTAAATTTCCTGTCTGACAGTTCCAACATCCAGTGATATCTAAGTCTGGCTCTCTTGATTGCTCTCTTTGACTGGGGATTGCTTTTTGTTGCTTTCTTGTGTGTCTTGTAATTTTTAGTTGAAAGCAAAACATGTTGTGTTACACAGTAAAGGCTAAAATGAACGGCGTTTTACATAGAGATGGGAGCACATCCTCTTCTGCTAGTGTGGGGAGCTGAGTCAATATAGGTGATATTTGAGTTGGGCTTGGGTTCTGTTGTTGCTATGGTGACTCTAAGTGAACCACAAGATTCAAAATTCTCTAGTTTTACCTTGTGCATAGATTAGGGTTGTGCTACCAGAGAGTTTTTCTTGTTACACTCTCAGCTGTAGTCCTGTGGTCCTGTGTCTCAAAGAGAAAGGGCACATGGAAAAAGCTGAGGCTACTGGAGGGATGAAGAATTGGGGCCATCATCACGCTCTACCAAAGGTGCTAATTTTTCAGTTGTGTTTTTTCAGATCACTTTAGAATCCTTTCAATTCAGGATCATTTGATGTTTGTTGAGATGGTGCAGCAGCATTTCAGAAGCTGTTTACAAATCATTTGACAACAGCAGTGAATAGAAACAGAGATAGAAACAGCATAACTAATAGATACAAAGTACCCCTCCTTTTGTCAAACTCAAGCCATGAGACTAGATTTCAACTGTATGCATTATCCCACTTGGACAACCTGTTGGCTTGTCCTTGAATTTTATGTAAGGAACTCTCATTGATCCAGCTGCAACAGGAGGTATTAGTCAGGACACAAATATCACCTTGCTCTGCTAGTGTATAATCAAAGGCAATTCTGTTGTCTAGTAACACTTTATCAAGAAAGTTCAGGCTAATTTTTTTTAGCCTAGAGTGCAAATATAGTTTTATTTGAAATGATTACCATGGCAATAGGAATTTTGTATACTGCAAGATAAGGAAAGATACCTTACATAGAGATATGGATCTCACCATCTCTAATTCCTCCAAGTAGATTTGCATTCCATTGAGAGCGTAGGATGGGTGTAAAACATGCTTGATAGAAATGGGGAATTTAAAAATTCATGTAAGTTCTTATTAATGCATGTCTTTCTGCAAGTTAAAAACTGACCAGATTCAGTACAGCTTTTATATGAAATCTTTCTGTCAAAGCGTATGTTCTACTTTCAGTATACAATGAATGTTAATTGTTTAATATATATGAATTCTCCAACCGCACAAACATGTTTGCCTTCCTCAATGTAGTATTGGCACAAAATTTGGTAATTGGTCCAAATTTTAGTTTCCAGTTTTGATTTGGGTCTGATGAAATTTTCCATGATATGAATGCGAAAGTTTGAGAAAACAATTTTACCGTTAGTCACAGAATTTAGTGTACAATTACAAAAATTTAAGTAGAAACATCAAAAACAATTAGAGAAAACCTGATCAGTTTCTCAGTTCAAACTTTGGACAAGATTTTAGGCCTTGGATGGGTCTAATATTTAAGATAAGTATAATTATAGCAATATTATAAATTATTTAAGATAAGTATAGCTATACTGATCTGTATAAATGAAATATGTTCAATCCACATGATTGAACAGAACATGTTAGCATCATAAGCTTGGAAATCTTGAGCAGAAATGTGGAATGCTTGATATCCAGTAATAAGGGACACATTAGAAGTCAGAGATGCATTTAAAAATCCAGATTCTTTCCGATTTCTGGAGCTTTACACTCTTAGATGGAAAATGCCCTGGTAAGCGTAAGCTCTCTCTGGACCACGTGTATTAAGGACAAGAATAAAAAACATGAATAAGGCATTGTTGGTGTGTGTATTAGTCCATTTTCACACTGCTGTAAAGAACTGCCCAAGGCTGGGTAACTTATAAAGGAAAGAGGTTTAATTGACTCACAGTTCAGCATGGCTGGGGAGGCCTCAGGAAACTTACAGTCATGGCGGAAGGCAAAGGGGAAGCAAGGCACCTTCTTCACAAAGTGGCAGGAAGGAGAAGGAATGCAGGAGGAACTACCAAACACTTATCAAACCATCGGATCTCATGACATCTCACTCACTATGATGAGAACAGCATTGGGGAAACTGCCCCATGATTCAGTTACCTCCACCTGGTCTCTCCCTTGATGTGTGGGGATTATGGGGATTACAACTCAAAATGAAATTTTGGGTGGGACACAGCCAAACTGTATCAGTGTACTGTCAGCCAGTTTAAATCAACAAAAAGGAATCCAAATCGATATAAGGGTTAGAGACAGAAGCAAGAAACAAGAAGAAAAAAGAAAGAAAAGAAAATTTGTGGTTTTGGTCATTGGGTCTTACTCTGATGATCTTGAGTGGAAGCTGCTTCAAGTATTAATCAGTGTGGTGCAAAGTACTTGGGTAGCTGCTGTCAACCTTCAGACAGTTTTCTTCATCTGGAGTTTTTTGTTTTGTTTTGTTTTGTGTTAAGGTGCAGTTTGAGATTCCCAGTGATATGGACTCCCAGTTGGCCCTTGCAACCAAATCAATTTCTTTGTCCATCTTTTTGCACAGGGGATACATGGATCCAAGGATACACTTCTTGCAGTTTTACTGATGTCTGTTATTAAGAACCTTTCTTATGGGATCTTTTGGGTGTTATTTTTCTGGCCAGAAACCTCTGTGGTTGGTGGTGCCTTTGTCTGACTTTTGATCCAGTCTATTCAGCTTATTCCTCCCACTCAGCCTGGCAGGCTGTACTTGGCTCATGCTACCGGCCTGGATCCACGGCTGCCAAGGTTGAGCCAGGCGTGGAGTGGCAAGGTGCATGAGCAAGTGAGTGTGGAGTCCGGCCGCTGCACACAGTCAAGTGGGCCGGCTCCTGAAGTAGCAGGAGCAGTTTCCAGGTACCAGCACAGGCAGCAGCTCTCTGCAAGGCTGCAGCTGGAGGAGGCACACCACAAGCAGCTTTGGCTGGCCCTGGGGGGAATGCAGTAGTGCCTGGAAGCTCAGAGACTCCAAGAACCGCAGGGCCTCAAAGAGGGAGTCACAGCCCTGGCTTGGGGAGCCCCCAGGTCTGGGCTCCCTAAAGGGCCTCAGCTCTTCTTTCCCACTCTTCACCTGCAATGTGGAGAGCAAGCGGCGTGTTTCAGCCCTGTTTGTGTTACAGCACTTCTAGACTTGCCATTTGGCACCTTGAGTTCTTACCCTGCAACCAGGAAGACTGAGGCATGCAGACAAGTGGAGGGTGAGCAAGATGAAGAGGAGCTTTACTGAGCAGTAGAACAGCTCAGGGACCCACTGTGGGTAGCTCCTTTTTGCAACCAGGGTGTCCTGACGAGTGTTCAGCCCTCAGCAGAGAGGAGAAGGCCCTGGGGTGGGTGGCCCCTCTCTGCTGGCAGGTTGTCCTGTCATTTCCACAGCTCTTTGCAGAAAGGAGGACCTGGAGTGTGTTTCTCCTCTCTGCAGGTAGTTCATTGCTGGAGTGGGAAGGCTCTCTCTGCAGCTGGTTGTCCCATTGTCTCTCCTGCTCTGGCTGAGCCTGGGGCTTTTATGGGCCTCAGGGTGGGGAAGTGCATGCTGATTGTTCCATGGACAGCCATGGGCGGGCCCAGGAAAAAGCACCATGAGTTCCCCCTCCAATCCACAGGACTGGCGGCCTGGCCCCCAGGCTTCAGATCTTCTCCAGCCAGAAGGTGGGGCTTCACTGGGGACCCACCCCCTGCCACCCAGGAACCCGTCTGCGTCCTGCTGCTGTCCATGGTGCCCAGGCTGCTTGAACTAAGGGGCACCTGCAGGCCAGCACCAAGCTGCCCTCAGCCCCTCCTTGGCTTCCCCTCCCATGCTCGTGGGTGCCCAAAGCCTGTAGGGGGCTGAGGCGGTAGGGAGCTGGTGTGTCGGTGCTGCCCCGAGTGTGTATACACCCAGCTGGGCTGTGACAGTGCCTGGGCTTGGCCCCAACCATGCTTCAAGATCAGAGAGGGTGCTGAGCTGGGAAGAGGCCAGGCAGCAGAGCAGAGACTCCTGAGCCTGTGGAGATGGGGGGCCTTCCCAGGCCCCCAAGGGTGCAGACTGCAGAGATGCCCGGGTCTTGCGCCTGGGAGGGCAGCTGCAGAGGTACCCAGGGAGGGCGGGGCTTCAGCCCACTCTGAGAATGGGAGGCCCAGGCCTGCCTGTCTGCTGCAGCTGGCATCTTGGCAGCTGCCATTCTAGATGGGCCGCTTCTGCTATCACCTTCCTAGGATCCTTTCCAGAATGTCTCTAGAGAATATTTCCAATTGGTGTCTTTTCCAGAATACCTAATATCTAGGTTGAAGGAGTGTAGAGGTTTTGAAGGTGAAGTTTTTGAAAATCTAGTTTGCAATCATGGAAGATAAGAATGATTATTGAATTTCTCTTTGACAGTATTTAGCTAGGTCTGCCTGAAGCAAGCTCCAATCAATTACGAGTGGTAAAACTTACCGGTGCATGGGTCTTCTAGTTGTTAATTCATAAGGTTACAATCTGTAAGTTCCAGAACAGGCTGACCTGATGGCCACTAGAGGTAAAATTCTCAGCCATGGATGTTTAAGAGCTTCAGATAACTTAACCAGTTTTATTATTTTTATGTTTTAGAGACAGAGGTCTCTATCTGTTGCCCAGGCTGGCATGCAGTAGTGCAATCATAGCTGACTGCAGTCTCAAACTCCTGGGCTCAAGCAATCCTCCCACCTGAGCCTCCCAAGTAGTTAGGACTACAGGTGCATATCATCCCTGGCTAATGTATTGTACTTCATTTTATTTTTTTGGAAACAGGGTCTTGCTATGTTGCTCAGGCTGCTCTTGAACTCCTGGTCTCAAGCAATCCTCCTGCCTCAGAAGCAGTACAGAAAGCAAGAAGCAATAAGAAAGAAAAATGAAAAGCTCCCGAGTAGCTGGGATCATAGGCGCACATCACCACCAATTTAAGTTGTGTACCTACATTTGTACCTCTACCTTTTCTGGAAACTGAAGAGTAAGGGTAACAAGAATTTTTTTTTTTTGTTTTTTGTTTTTTTTGAGATGGAGTCTCACTCTGTTACCCAGGCTGGACTGCAATGGCGTGATCTTGGCTCACTGCAGCCTCCGCCTCCCAGGTTCAAGTGATTCTCCTGTCTCAGCCTCCTGAGTAGCTGGGACTATAGGTGTGTACCACCACGCCTGGCTAATTTTTGTATTTTTAGTAGACATGGGGTTTCACCATATTGTCCAGGCTGGTCTTGAACTCCTGATCTCAGGTGATCCACCCACCTCAGCCTCCCAAAGTGTTGGGATCACAGGTGTGAGCCACCGCGTGTGGCCTAGATTTTTGACGAAGTAGTAACACCTCACCAAGTCCCTTTATGACTGCTCCAGTAAATGAGTACCTTTAATATTAGTGAGTATGATTGGCTTCCCAGGTGGGAAAAACCATTGTCTAACTTTTTTTTTTTTTAAGTTTAGTTATTGCAGTGGCTTTTCTACTTGAGAAGAGCTCACCTCCAGAGAATTTACAGGCAACCTTTAGCGCATATGCATAATCTCGTGACTTGGGAAAGTGGATAAAGCCCATTTTCAAGTGTTTAAAAGTCCTCTGGGATATAGCTCAGACCTGTGTCCCACCATCACAATTTTTTTGTGGGGGTGGTTATGATAGTACAGATGAGGCATATACCTTTCACATCTCTAGTTACCAAGGGGAAATGTCCCCACCAACTCTTATCCGTGGTAGAAGCTCTGTTGTGCATTTTGGTCAATTTCTACCTCAGATTTTTGGTGTAAGCAAGAGGCCATCCTTGCTCCATTAGAGACCACTGAAATTGACAGAACAACCTGATTTTAGCCAGCATTTCTATTTTCTTTTCTTTCTTTTTTCTTTCTTTCTTTCTTTTTTTTTTTTTTTTTTGTTGTTGTTGAGATGGAGTCTTGCTCTGTCACTCAGGCTGGAGAGCAGTGGCTCGATCTTGCTCACTGCAACTTCCATCTCCCAGGTTCAGTCGATTCTCCTGCCTCAGCCTCCAAGTAGCTGGGATTACAGGCACACATCACCACGCCTGGCTAGTTTTTGTATTTTTAGTAGAGACAGGGTTTCACCATGTTGGCCAGGCTGGTCTCAAACTCCTGACCTCAGGTGATCTACCCACCTCAGCCTCTCAAGGTGCTGAGATTATGGGTGTGAGCCATCGCGCCTGGCCCAGTGTTTCTGTTTCTTGAATCTAGGGCTAAATACTCTGTCTGAAATAAATTGTATGTAAAAAAATCTATTCATGTTTTTACATTTCCTTCATCATAAATAACTCCTAAGAACAAGGAGAAAAGTGCACTTCCTTTGTTTAATATCTGCCAATGCACTCCCATCACCTTCTTTATTATGGCTTGTACTATGTGCCTTAACTTTTAATTGTATGCCTCTTTTGAGAGCATCAGTGCTTCTAACAAATCTACTTTTTTCTCCCTTTTTTTAGGCCTCTCTGATGAGGTCAGCTATTCCTTCAGTCCCATAGCATCACCAAATTATATACAACACCAAGGCATAATAGCTGTGTGTGTGTGTGTGTGTGTGTGTGTGTGTGTGTACATGTGTCCCTTTTGGCATCAGCTCTGGTAAGGGCTACTAGTTCTACTATTTGAGATGGCTCAACTTTGGGTGAAAGGTTATCATCTAGTACAGTTTTTTTTGTTGTTGTTTTTTTTTTTTAGAGTTTTCGCTCTTGTTGCCCAGGCTGGAGTACAATGGCACAGTCTTGGCTCACTGCAACTTCCGCCTCCCTAGTTCAAGCAATTCTCCTGCCTCAGCCTCCCAAGTAGCTGGGATGACAGGCACATGCCACCACGCCCAGATAATTTTTTGTATTTTTAGTAGAGATGGGGTTTCGCCATGTTGGCCAGGCTGGTCTTGAACTCCTGACCTCAGGTGATCTGCCTGCCTCAGCCTCCCAAAGTACTGGGATTACAGGCATGAGCCACTGTGCCCGGCCCTAATACAGTTTTATGTAATCATTGCGTAACTTCAATGGTATTGACCTTGATCATTTAAAAGCAACACTTGCTGCAGATTCTCTAGGAGAACATCAACTAGATCTTCCTTGGAAATACTCGACTTCATGTTTGCTGTACTATAGTCCTGGGGCTCTTCTTCAGGTGGTGGAAGCAATACTGCAAGACTGAGATGATAACACTGACACATGGTGGGTAACATGAGAGACCAACAACAGCAGCCAGCCTGAGCTAATGGGCTTGCAGAGCAGTGCTGGCTGTTGCTTGTCAGTAGTATGGACTGAACAGCCTGGGCAACCCATGGAGTTAATGGTGCGACAAGGATAATATCTACAGAAGCACTGACCGTTTTGCAACCACTGTTAAGGCACATAACAAGGAAGAAAACCCTAGCCACTGAGTCTAGAGAAGTGCCTAAATCAGGAGCGGTTTCTGGTACTTCCCATGTTGTTGAGCTAAAGCCTCTTTTTGGTACCCCATGGCACCTCCTTTTTGCTTCAGCTAAAGGAAATGTGCCAAATGGGCGTAAGGTAAATGATGATGATGTTCAGGTGGAGCCGGTATTGGGGCCTGTTGTGATTTAGATTTCAAAGTGACAAGGTCAGTTTCATCAAGGAAGTTTTCTGGTTGCGTGTTTTTGTTAAGTTCATGGAGGAGTCAAGTTACGCTGGAAAAACTGGGAATCCATTGCTTTTCATACCTCTTAAGTTTCCCAAATCCTATGAGTGTCCAATTTTTGGGTAGAGTGTGCCTGTTGGTGGAGAGGTCACCTCCTAAATCATGTCCCACCTCTTGGCAAAATGGTCATTTTTCCTTTGAGGCTTTATCATATGTAGCCACTTGCTCCTTTAAAAGGTGGATTGAGTCCTCTGGAGGGTTTTCCGGGAGAGGTATATATGAGGCAAAGTCTTCTATATTGAATGAAATTGTACCCTTTTGGGAGTATGTCCTTTAAATCATGATTTAAAGACTGGAAGGAATATAAGGTGTCTCTGAGGTATTACTGCCCAAATACCTGTATACTGTTAGTCATTCTAAATAAAGAAAATACCTATCGACTATATTTACAGATATGCCAAAGAAGGCTGAGAAAGGTCTCTCACAGTACATTTGCCTGTACTGTACATTACAGTACATTTGCCTGTAAGTGAAACTGGAGATAGAATAGCATTAGAGTGGGGCACTGCGGGAAACCTAGGGATAACTTTAGGAATGTTTCTTAAGTCTTGAACAAATGAACATCCCATCCCTTTCCATTAGGTTTGTAAAAAGGCGATACATAGACTTCTGTGAGACACTTTTGATTTGAGAATGTATAATTGGTTTTATTCCTTGAATAACTTCTGCTTTCAGAGGACATTAGAGTGGCTTAGGCAAGGACTTGAGAGGATCTACCTGTGTGTTTTTAGGCTCTGTTCCTATTGTATGTCCTCCATTAACAGAGCTTTTGCTCATAAATTGCAATGTACCAGCCAGAGTAAGTTATCTACAGTTTCAAGAGTCATGGTCTAGGCAAGTTTAGGAAAGTCAAGTGTAGAAATAGCATGCTGTGAAATTGGGTGGTTCTTGCAGGTGGGCACTTAATATGACAGCTGCATTTATATAAAGGGCCTGTTCCAGGTGGGTGGAGAGGCATGAAACCACGGAGGAGAAATCAATGTTGTCTTCTGTTGGTCCTCATATGGTGGTCAAGGCAATGGATAGAGAAGTGGGTTTGAAATACCCACTGTAGTAACCCATTGATTTCTCTGAGTGAGTGATTGTTTTATTGCAGTAGGGTTCAGGATAGACAGAGTGGCCCTTGTGTCAACTAGAAATAGGCCTTTGTGTCTCTTTATGTCTATAGATATGGTAGGCCATGTCCTAAAAGTGCCTCCATGCCCCAAGATTTCCATCCCTGGTTATTCCATCAAATGTTCATCTAGGTACTGCCAACAAGGGATTTTGCAGTTATAATTAAGTTCCCAAGTCAGCTGAACTTAAGATTCAGAGATTAACCTGTGAGATTATCTGTGTGAGCCTAATCTAATTACACGAGTCCTTAAATGTAGAGGACTTTCCCCAGCTGATGGGAGAAGAGGCAGGTAGAAGAGAAGGCAGAAGGAGAAAGAGCCCAACCACAAGAAGGAACTGAAGTGCCATCACTGGTTTGAAGACACAGAGGGCCTCACGTAGAGAAGGACAGTGGCTCTTCACCCCTAGCTGACAACCAGAAAGGAAACAAGCTCCCCAGTCCTACAACTGTATGGAACGGAACTGTGCCGGCATCCCGAGTAAGCACGAAATGGGTTATTCCTCGAGCCTTCAGATAAAAACCCAGCCTGGCCCACACCTCAATATCAGCTTTGTGAGACCTTGAGCAGAGAAGCCAGTCAAGCCACCTGGACTTCTGACCTCCAGAATGGTGAGGTGATCAACGGGTGCTGTTTTAAGCTGCTAATTTTGAGGTAATTTGTTAGGCATCAATAGAAAGCTAACACAATCAATGATTTCTTTTCTTCTGAATCAGAGAACAGAAGACATAGCCAAGCACTCTTATGGCCTTTGGAATTATGCCAGCAAGAGCTCTGTTGACTACAACTGGCCTTTTACTTTCAAGACAAGACCAAAAACATAAATCTGACATTTGCCCTGCTTCCAGTGTGACCTGCCACAGTCAGGAAAAACCTCACATATTTCACTCTGAAATAAATCATGTCTTATTCTAGTACCCAGAATCAATAAAATACTGAGCATTTCCCACAAAAGTATTATGTCTTTCAGAAATATGGTAATCACGGCCAGGCGCAGTGGCTCACGCCTGTAATCCCAGCACTTTGGGAGGCTGAGTGGGCGGATCATGAGGTCAGGAGATTGAGACCATTCTGGCTAACATGGTGAAACCCTGTCTCTACTAAAAAAATACAAAAAAGTAGCTGGGTATGGTGGCGGGCACCTGTAGTCCCAGCTACTTGGGAAGCTGAGGCAGGAGAATGGCGTGAACCCTGGGAGGCAGAGCTTGTAGTGAGCCGAGACCACACCACTGCACTGCAGCCTGGGTGACAGAGCGAGACTCTGTCTCAAAATAAATAAATAAATAAATAAATAAGGTAATCACATGAGAAAAACGACTGGTTCCCCACCATGAACAAGCTACTGTAATGTGGCAACTTTGGTGAGGTTGCAGGGAGGCATCATTGCTGCGGTTTTCAACATTCGTGCTTTCTGATTTGGTGGGTAAATGCTCCTGATGTCTGACTGCCTTGCATGCTTTGCCTTTTCTTTTCAAAATGCTTTTGCCTTTGAGTCCTCCTTTGATGCTGGACACATTTTTCCAAAGTCCCTGCTGTTGGCAGGATCTACATCTATTTTTTTTCACCATTTAGACTTAATTCTAGGTTAACTGAGAAACAGAATTCTCACGTCTCATCATCCCTGGCTTTAAGGTTTGGAGTGAGCTCTGCAGATTGGAGGGCCATGGATTTCTTTTCTTTTCCATATGCTCCATTTCTAAGAATTCTCTGATAATGTCCTGCTATAGTGTGTATTTGGTGTTCCTCTTAAGTTTGTGGTCTCCCAATGAACTCAATTTATTTCTCTTTTTTCAGAGATGGCACCTTGCCGTGTTTCCCAGTCTGGTCTTTAATTCCTGGGCTCAAGCAATCTTCTTGCCTTGGCCTCCCAAAGAGCTGGAATTATGGGATTACAAGCATGAGCTACCATGCCTGGCTGATCCCAATTTCTTCTGACTGGGTTAGTAACTTTGGGACCCACTTCTTTTTTTTATTTTTCTTCTTTACTTTTCTTTTTCTTTTCTTTCTTTTTTTTTCTTTTTTTTTTTTTTATGGAGATGGAGTCTTGGAGTCTCGCTCTGTTGCCCAGGCTGGAGGGCAGTGGCATGATCTCAGCTCACTGCAACCTCCACCTCCCCGGTTCAAGCAATTCTCCTACCTCAGCTTCCCGAGTAGCTGGGACTACAGGTGCATGCTGCCATGCCTGGCTAATTTTTTGTATGTTAGTAGAGACGGGGTTTCACCATGTTGCCCAGGCTGGTCTTAAACTCCTGAGCTCAGGCAATCCACCCGCCTCGGCCTCCCAAAGTGCTAGGATTACAGGCGTGGGCCACCGCGCCCGGCCAGGACTCACTTCTGTGATGATGAATTCAGGCAGAACCCTTTGAGCGTTTACTTCCCTGTCTCTATATGACTCCTTTCGATAACCGGCTTTATTGAGATATCATTTATATACTGGCAATCTGCCCATGTAAAGTGCACAATTAAATGGCCTTTAGTATATATTCATAGGGTTATCACATAATCCATTTTAGAACGTTTTTATTTTCCCAAGAGGAACTCTGCACCCCTTTGTCATTGTCCCATCAGCCCTTGGCAACCGGTAATCTACTTTCTATCTGTAAAGACCTGCCGGTTCTGGACACATCACAAAAGTAAAATCATAGAACATATGGTCTTTTGGAACGAGTTTCCTTCACTTAGCATGCTGTTTCCAGGGTTCATTCCTGCTGAAGCATGTATCAGTTCATTTATTCTTCTTGACAAATGATATCCAGTAAAATGTATACCACATTTTATTTTATTCATACATCAGTTGGTGGACATTTGGGTTGTTTCCACTTTTTGGATATTATGAATAATGCTGCTTTGAACATTCACGTACAAGCTTTTATGCAGGCATATGTTTTTATTTATATTCAGTATACGCCTACAAATGGAATTACTGGGGTATATGGTAACCATTTGAGGAATGGCCAGTCTGTTCTCCAAAGTGACTGTACCAATTTACATTCTCATCAGTAGTGTATGAGAGTTACAATTCCTTCAAGTCTTTTTCTTTCTTTCTTTTTTTTTTTTTTTTTTGAGACAGAGTCTCGCTCCGTCACCCAGGCTGGAGTGCAGTGGCCCCATCTTGGCTCACTGCAAGCTCCGCCTCCCAGGTTCCCATCATTCTCCTGCCTCAGCCTCCAGAGTAGCTGGGACTCAGGTGCTCACCACCATGCCCGGCTAATTTTTTGTATTTTCAGTAGAGATGGGGTTTCACCGTGTTAGCCAGGATGGTCTCAATCTCCTGACCTCATGATCCACCTGCTTCCGCCTCCCAAAGTGCTGGGATTACAGGCGTGAGCCACTGTGCCCAGCCTCTTCATGTCTTTTTTGATGCTTGTTATCACTTGTATTTTCGAGTCTAGATTTTCTGTTGGATGTGAAGTGCCGTCTCATGTGGTTTAGATTTGCATTTCCCTGGTGGCTAATGATGTTGAACATCTTTTTGTGTGCTTATTGGTCCATTTGTATAGTGGGAGAAATGTCTATCTATTCTAATCCTTTGTCCACTTTTCAGTCGTGTTATTTGTGTTTTTATTGTTGAGTTGATAGGATAATTTGCAAATATTTTCTCCCATTCTGTGCTTGTATTTTAACTACCTTAATGTTGTCCTTTGAAATACAGAAATTTTAGTTTTAGTGAAGTCCAATTTATCTACTTTTGGTTTTGCTTCTTGTGCTTTTGGTGTCATCTCTAAGAAAATGTTGCTTAATCCAAGGTTGTGAAGATTTAAGTCTATGTGTTCTTCTAAGAATTCCGTAGTTTTAGCTCTTACGTTTAGGTCTTTAATTCGTTTTTACTTGCCTTTCAGTTTTGCATGTGGAATGAGGTAGGGGTTCAATTTAATTCTTTTGCATGTAGACATCCAGTTGTCCCAGCACCATTTGTTGAAAAGAATATTATTGGCCAGGCGCGATGGCTCATGCCTGTAATCCCTGCACTTTGGGAGGCCAAGGCGGGTGGATCACAAGGTCAAGAGATCGAGATCATCCTGGCCAGCATGGTGAAATCCCATCTCTACTAAAAATACAAAAAATTAGCCGTGTGTCGTGGCGTGTGCCTACAGTCCCAGCTACTTGGCAGTCTGAGGCAGAAGAATCGCTTGAACCTGGGAGGCAGAGGTTGCAGTGAGCCGAGATCGTGCCACTGCACTTCAGCCTGGGGACAGAGCAAAACACCGTCTCAAAAAAATATATAGTATGTATGTATGTATACATATACACTATATATATAGTATATATATAGTATATAGTATATATATGTGTATATATGTACATATGATATATATGTGTATATATGTATATATGATATATATGTGTATATATGTATATATGTGTATATACAGTATATATATGTGTGTGTGTATATATATATGTATATATATAATTGTTATTCCCCACACCCAGTTGAAAAGATTATTCTCTCCCCCCTATTGAATGGTTTTGGCACCATTAATGAAAATCAGTTGAATATAGAGATGCACAGGTTCATTTCTAGATTCTTAATTCTATTCCACTGATCTATATATCTATCCTTATGCCAATACCACGCTGTCTTGATTATTGTTAACTTTGCATTAAGTTATGAAATTGGGAATTTTAAGTGCTACAGATTTGTTCTTCTTTTCCAAAATGTTTTCTTTTTTACTATTTTGGGTCCATGAGTTCCTATATGAATTTTAGAATCAGCTTGTCAATTTTTGCAAATAAGTCAGCTGGGATTTTGATAGGAATTGCTTTAATTTTGTAGATCAATTTGGGTAATATTGCCATGTTAACATTATTAAGTCTTTGAATACATGAACATGGGATATGTTTTTGCATATATTTAGAGTTTCTTTAATCTCTTTCAACAACATTTTGTGGTATTCAGAGCATAAGTTATGCACTTCTTTTGTCAAATTTACTCCTAGGTATTTTATTCCTTTTAATGATCTCGTAAATGAATTTGTTTTTCTAATTTCTTTCTTTTTTTTTTTTTTTTTGAGACAGAGTCTTACTCTGTTGCCCAGGGTGGAGTGCAGTGGCGCAATCTTGGCTCACTCCAACCTCTGCCTCCCGTGTTCAAGAGATTCTTGTGCCTCAGCCTTCTGAGTAGCTGGGACTACAGGTGCGCACCACCATGCCCGGCTAATTTTTGTGCTTTTTTTAGAGACAGGGTTTCACCATGTTGGCCAGGCTGATGTGGAACTCCTGACCTCAAGTGATCTGCCCACCTTAGCCTTGCAAAGTGCTGGGATTACAGGCGTGAGCCACCGTGCCCAGCCTGTTTTTCTACTTTCATTTTTTGATTGTGCATGCTAATGTATAGAAATACAACTGATTTTTTGATATTGATCTTGTATCCTGAAACTTGGCTGAACTCATTTATTAGTTCTAATATTAATTTTTTTCTTAGACCCCTTAGGATTTTGTAAAGACAGGATTAGATAATCTACAAATAGTGATGGTTTTATTTTTTCCTTTCCAATTTTGATGACTTTTGTTTCATTTTCTTGCCTAATTTCGCTGGCTAGAACTTCCGGTATAATATTGAGTAGAGGTGGCAAGAACAGACATCTTGATCTTAGGGGAAAAGTAGGCAGTCTCTCTACTAAGTATGATATTAGCTGTAAGTTTTTCATAGATGCTTTTTATCAGGCTTAGGAACTTCTATTGCTAGTTTTTAAAAGTGACTTTTTTAAATTATGAAAGAGTATTAAATTTTACCAAGTGCTTTTTTGCATCTATTAAGATTGTTGTGTGTTTTTTCCTTTATTGTAAAGGCATGGTGTATTAAAATAATCTATTGTTAGATATTAAGCCAACTTTCCATTCCTGGGATAAATCCCACTTGATTATGGTGTAAATCCTTTTTACACATTGCTGGATTCAATTTGGTAGTAATTTGTTCAGAATTTTTGCATCTGTACTCATAAGAGATACTGGTCTGTAGTTTTCTCTTCTTGTGATATCTTTGTTTTTGGTATTGGGCTATTATCAGGCTCATAGGAAGAGTTGGAAAGTGTTGGCTTCTGTTGTATTTTTTGGAAGATTTTGTGAAAGATCAGTATAATTCTTTAGTAAATGTTTGGTAGAATTCCTCAGTGCTGTGCTTTTCTTTGTGGGAATCTTTTTTCTTTTCTTTTCTTTTTGGTTTTTTTGTTTTGTTTTGTTTTGTTTTGTTTGAGACAGGCCCTCACTCTGTTGCCCAGACTGGAGTGCAGTCTCACTGCAGCCTTGACCTCCTGGGCTCAAGCAATCTTTCCACCTCCATCTCCCAGAGTAGCTGGGTCTACAGGCACACACCACTGAACCTGGCTAATTTTTATTTTTTGTATTTGTAGAGATGGGGTTTCACCATGTTGCCCAGGCTAGTCTCAAACTTCTGAGCTCAGACCATCCACCCACCTCAGCCTTCCAAAGTGCTGGGATTACAAGCTTATACCACTGTACCTGGCCTAGATTTTTTCTTTTATTACTAATTCAATCTCTTTTCTATGACTATTTATATCTTCTATGTTTCCCTAGAATCAGTTTTGGAGTTTGTGTCTTTCTAGGAATTTGTCCATTTCACCTAAGTCATCTAATTTGTTGGCATACAGATGTCCATAGTATTTCCTCACAATTCTTTTTTATTTCTGTAAGTTGGTGGCAATGGCTTCTCATTCATTTCTGATTTTAGTAATTTGATTTCTCTCTCTTTTCTGTCAGTCAGCCTAGGTAAAGGTTGGCCAACTTTGTTGATCTTTTACAAGAACCAACTTCTGGCTGGGCGTGGTGGCTCACACCTGTAATCACAGCACTTTGGGAGGCCAAGGCGGGCAGACTGCCTGACGTCAGGAGTTCATGACCAGCCTGGCCAACGTGGTGAAACCCCATCTCTACTAAAAATACAAAAATTAGCTGGGCGTGGTGGTGCGCACCTGTAATCCCAGCTACTCAGGAGGCTGAGGCAGGAGAATCGCTTGAACCTGGGAGGTAGAGGTTGCAGTGAGCCGAGATTATGCCATTGCACTCCAGCCTGGGTGACAAGAGTGAGACTTCGTCTCAAAAAAAAAAAAAAAAAGCAAACAAAAACCAACTTTTGATTTTGTTGATTTTCTCTATTGTTTTTCTAATTGTTATTTCATTAAATTCCTCTCTAATTCTTCTTATTTCCTTTCTTATGCTTGCTTTGGGTTTAGCTTGCTGTTCTTTCACAGTGTCTTACTGTGGAAGGTTAAGTTGTTGATTTGAGATCTTTTTTCTTTGTTATTATAAGTATTTACAATTATAAATTTATCTGTAAGAACTGCTCTAGCTGCCTCCCGTAAGTCTATGTCTCACTCTTTACTTTTAGTTTGTACAGCCAGCATTTGACTTATTTTTTATTGTGATAAAATATATGTAACATAAAATTTACCATTTTAATTGTTACGTCTGACTTTTGCATAAATGCTTCAATCACAAACTTTCGGCAGAACTTTTAGGACAAGAAACAGAGAGACAAACCGACAGATAATTATGATAAGTATGGCAAATGACAATTTTGTGTAACAGAGAGACTTTCAGATTGAGTCAAGACTCGGCCAGTTTTTTTCTGGACAGCATTGGTCTCCACGACCCAACATGCATTTGAACAAGAAGTGCAGACTATAAATGGAATAGGCAGAAATTTAGAGAGCCGTGGGACTCTGCAGATGCTCAGTAGCTTATTTACTCCTCCACGACAAAGATTTCTTTCAAAAGAGAGTTAATAGATAAGTTACAAATCAAGGTTGAAAACTCAACAAATCACTTTAGCATCCCAACAAAGTCTCACACTGAGTCATGCATTGGAAACTGCTGACCAGGATTCAGGTTATAACTCCACAAACAAGAAAGGCATTATTGCTGTTGAGTGACTCACCACAAAAAGCAGCAGAGCCCCTGACCGTGGGCTCAGCCCTTTGAGCTGAGGGCTCACACTCCTCAGATTGGGCTGTCCACTGCTCCAGACAAGGAGAATCGACAAGGCAATCTTAGTGGAATCTCCAGAATTGTTAAAGGAAAGGCAATGAATGCCACAGTGATAGAAAAATAGAACACTGGATTTATTTACTTGCTAGGCAACAGCCACGCCCGGCTAATTTTTAAACTTTTGTAGAGATGGGGTCTTGCTATGTTACCTAGGCTAGTCTCAAACTCCTGGCCTGAAGGGATCCTCCTGCTTCAGCCTCCTAAACTGCTGGGATTACAGGTGTGAACCACCACACCCAGCCCTTTGTTTTTTATTAATTGCACAGAAATCCTTTCTATTCTCACTAAAACTTTTTAAAACAATGTTTTTAGTGAGCACAATGTGACTGAATAAGCTTCATTATGTTCTTAAACCTTGATTCAGCACTCTGAGATGCAGAAGGTAAAACAGTGGTTCTCAGCTGGCAGGGTTTTGTCTGCCACCACTCTGGGGACATTTGGCAATGTCTGGAGATGGTTTTGGTTATGACTTGCAGGGACTATGCCCTTGGAATCCTGTGGATAGAGACCAGTGGTGTTCAGGATAAACCCCCACCACCAAGGATCACTGGGCTGGAAACATCAGCAGTGCCGAGGTGGAGAAGCCCTTAGCTGGAAGAGCTGGCCCTGCAGCAGGCACTCTGGGCTGCCTGGCCCATAGCCACTGTTTTTTGCTGGCAGAGCCTCGCCATAGAAACTGACAAGGCCAGATTCCTTTTGATTTCCCTTTCCCCTTCCTTCCTTGCAGAAAGGACTGAGCCAATTCTGATCAGCAGGCAGCAGCCATTACCCTCTGAAGGTCAACGCAGTTAGGTGCAGTGACAGACACACTTGGAGGTGCCACAGCCTCCTGCGTGTCCTTGTACTCCATGTCCATTTGGTCTTCTTCACTGTGGGGCATCCTCCTGGCCAACAATAACTCCGACCATCTTCAGGTGCTTGGCTGAAGAAATAGCTTGCTGTAGATGTCTCCTCTGCTTTCATGGACCAGCGTTGGCAGTGCGACGAGCTTGATTTCTCAGACCAGCTAGTTGGTGACTCCTCCGCTCTGCACACTTCCCTCTCATACCTTCTCTTCTCTAGCTCCTCCTGCAACTGGCAAGGTCTCGTTCCCGTAATAGATCTCTCATCCCATGACCCATTCTGGTTCTGCCCACCTGAGGAACCCTGGAGGATGCCCCTGAATATTACCATCTGCAGTGGGCAGTGTTCTCTCTGTCCCTTGAGGTTATGAAATTTCCATCTTGTTCAACTTCAGAGAAGTAGAGTATGTTCTAGCCCAGGAAGGACACTCACTCTCTCACTCACTCTGATTTTGGCAGGTTCTAAATCTGTCATAACCTCACACATCCAGTTATTCATGGACAAGGGAACATGAGCTCAATCTGACTTCTGCTTTTGGAGAGAAAGTGGGTGACCTGATGTGTTTCTGAGAAATGAGTCTAGGGAGGTGTGTGCCCCACTCTCTGCTCACTGCATATGTCCCCATTGCAAGCACATTTGTACCCCAGTGCTCATCTTTACCTTTATGATGTCCTCCCAGGTGAGAAATCACCCAAGTGGTCATTGCCACCCCCTACTATTTCAGTGTTTGGGGTTTTGGAAATGATTTACTGACATTGTATCAGAGCATAGTAACATTTAATCAGGGGCTGGCTTTCTCAAGGACAAATATTTTCTGACATCAGTTCCTAAGCAGAAGAGGCCAACAGCATCTGAGGATCCCTTTGTTTGGGTTTCTGGCAGTTACCTCCCTTCCCAGGGTGAACAGTGACTCTGCTGTATGAGGATTTACTTATCTTCCTGTCCTGTGTTTTTGACATTCTGAACAAAGTTTCTGGGGAGTAAACTTTATGTTTAAACCATGTTTATGTTAAGCTTTATCTGTTCAAAAATCAAGTATATATAGTTGATCATAAAATAATGACATTATAGAAAATGTGAACAAATATAGAAATGTTTTTGGTGGAACATAAGTCACTCTAAATCTCTCAACCCAGAAATACTGCTGTCACCATCTTGAGCATTTCAGTCTCATCTCTGGAATATATTTAGCTATATTCATGTCTTACAAAATTAGGGTCAAATTACATATACTGAGGAGGCAGCAAACTTTAAAAATAAAATAACCCCTGACTCACAGACTGAGGGAATAATATAATTTGAATTTGTGAGAGAGAAAAAATTATGTTGGTGTCAGGGTTGTTTTTCAGATAATTCTGAGATGGTGGCAGGAGCGTCGTATCAGGGTCTTGCTTCTCTAAAGTCCTGGATGTGGTGATGGACTACTGGCATAATATTGCTGTGTAGCAGACAACTTCACAATTTCAGTGGCTTGTAGCAACCAATGTTCATTCTTCATGCACAGCTGTGCAGGCCACTGGGCTCAGCTGCACTGGGCTCTAAGCTGCAGGGCGGCCTCTGATGTGCCCCACGGGTTCCTCCTCCTTTGATCAGCAGCACCTGGACGTGTTCTCATGGTGAAGGGCCAGAGCCCAGGAGCTGAGCCAACTGTACGCACAAGCACATTCCAGGACTTTGCCCACACCTCAACTGCTAACGTTCCATTGGCCAAAGCAACAGTTGCGACGTGAGGAAACGCCCCTCGTCCACAGCAGGCATGAGGGGAGGAGAAAATCATCCCAATGGCCACACGCGACGAGATTGCTTTTCCATCCCCGTGAAGAGCTACAGCTTTGGTGAGAGTTGCAGGAGCTGGTTTAGGCTTGGAATGAGCTGCAAAGAGGGCCTGCTTTAGCACCAGGCAGAGTTTCTCTTTCTTTCTGTCCTTGAAGACTGAACCAGCTCCTCTTTTTCTGTGTCTGTATCTCTGGCTCCTGCACAGGGGGATTTGGCTCGCCATGAGAAGGAGACATTTGTTGTCAAATAGATTTATGTTCTGGAGGGCTTTTTCTTCCAGAGCAGCCTTACCTCATCAGAATGTGGAAGGGACCTGGCTCAAGAGGTCCCAGTATCGACGACAGCAGCCAATATTTTAGACAAATCTTTTCCTTGCCTCAGCAGTGGAGGCTCCATCCTGATTTTATAAGACAGGAGCAGGTCTGCAATTAAAGCCCATAAATCACAGGTGGCTGGAGCAGACACCTCTGTTTTGATTCCTGGATAAGCTGTGGTCTCACATCATCAACAGCGCATGGCTGGGGCTTGAATGATCAGTCTCAGATGACCTGAACTCACAGGGAGAGGCCTACACGGGGTCTGTTTCCGTGGACCCCCTAGGTGTGCTGTGGCTGCACCCTGGGGAGCCTTCTCTCGCTATTCCTTGGCAGGAGAATGGGTCATCGTGGCCTAGTCCTGCCACACTTCCGAGCTCCTCTGTGTCCTCTGTGTCCCCTGTCCCATGCACGGGGTGCACATCCCGCCCTACAGTGCAGGACTCCTGAGCACACTATGGACGAGGCTGGGTGTCTCAGGCTCATGGGAGACCCAGCATGGCCCCTGTGATATTGTGAACCCCGTTTCCTGGCACATGACTCTTGAAATCCTTAGCAACTACACAGTGATGTCTTTTTGCACATGAATGAACTGACTGCTGGCTGGCAGCACCTAGGAAGGTTGGGGCTGGTTACGAGCAACACCTAGGCAGGATTAGAGGGTTAGGACTTTCAGCCCAACCCCCCAACGTGGAGGTTGAGTTGATCACCAATGGCCAGTGGTTTAATCAGTCATGAAGCTTCCATAAAAACCCTAAGGAGGCCGGGTGCGGTGGCTCATGCCTGTAATACCAGCACTTTGGGAGGCCGAGGCGGGCAGATCATGAGGTCAGGAGATTGAGACCATCCTGGCTAACACGGTGAAACCCCGTCTCTACTAAAAATACAAAGAATAGCCGGGTGTGGTGGCAGGCGCCTGTAGTCCCAGCTACTCGGGAGGCTGGATGGCAGGAGCTTTTGGATGGCTGAACACGGGGAGCTTCTTGGAGGGTGGTCCCTGGGGAGGGCGTAGAAGCTTCGTGCTCCCTCTTCCATGC
This sequence comes from Homo sapiens, assembly GCF_000001405.40. Lineage (NCBI taxonomy): Eukaryota > Metazoa > Chordata > Mammalia > Primates > Hominidae > Homo > Homo sapiens. The sequence continues at coordinate 1,918,987 of NT_187660.1, read as the reverse complement.
CTCACCCTGTGCATCTCTTCATTTGTGTCCTTTGTGATCAGCCACTAAAGGTAAGTTAAGTGTTCCCCTGAGTTATGTGAGCTGCTCCAGCAAATTAATCAAACCAAAAGAGGAGCCATGGGGACCCCAACTTGAAGCCAGTCAGGCAGGAGTTCTGGAGGCCCCGGACTTGTTGCTGGTATCTAGCGGGGCTGGGAAGGGGGGTAGTCTTGGGCACAGAGCCCTCACCCTCTGGGATCTGATACTCTCTCCAGGTAGACAGTATTGGAACTGAATTGGGGGATACCCAGCTGGTGTCCACTGCAGAACCGATTGCTTGTTTATTTTTGGGGAGAAATCCCTGCACATTTGGCCATAGAAGTCTTCTGTGTTGATTTTTGTGGGGTGAGAGTAGAAAAAGCATTTTGGGTTTTATGGGAGTTTTTTTCTACTTTTACAGCCCCAAACAGGAGTGGGGGTTGTAGGGAAGAGGTGGGCGGAGCCTACTGCAAGTTGCAGGGCTATATCCAAGCTCTGCTGGGAGGGGATCGTGTGCACTTGTCCTGGGAGGGGGTCCTGGCACAGGAGCCAGCACCAAAGGGTGACAGTTCTTACCCTTACCCCACAGGGCAAGTGGGGTAAAGACATGCTCTAAGCTTGTCTGGCAAACCGGCTAATCCTCCTGCACACCGAACCTTAGGGTCTCCGCCACCCTCCCCTACAGCAGGCACTTGGCATCTGGTGCACATGAAGGGGCATCTGAAGACCTCGTCTCCAGGGCATCCCCAGCCACCACACCAGAGGTGCCAGGTGTGGCCAGCTTGGTGTGGCTGCCAGTGGAAAGTAACAGCCCCACCACTGGCAGAACCCAGGTAAGACCCCGAGCAGTGAGCCCCTCATGAAACCCCCACCCCGTTTTTTCTTTTTCTTTTTTTTGAGATGAAGTCTCCACCCAGGCTGGAGTGCAGAGGCACGATCTCGACTCACTGCAACCTTCGCCTCCCGGGTTCAAGCGATTCTCTCGCCTCAGCCTCCCGAGTAGCTGGGATTACAGGCACCCGTCACCACGCCCAGTGAATTCTTGTATTTTTAGTAGAGACAGTTTCACCATTTTGGCCAGGCTGGTGTTGAACTCCCGAGCTCAGGTGATCCTCCCACATCGGCCTCCCAAAGTGCTGGGATTACAGGCGTGAGCCACCGTGCCCGGCCCCCTCACCCCATTTCACAAAACTTAAGTGTGTGGACACTAAAATAGTTTCCTTCTGACATTTCTGATTGCAAAATTGTGCATGAACTGATTGAAGCTGATCTTTTCCCTCCCCACCCTTCTATTTTTGTCCCTCCTTTCCTGGTTCAGCTGGGCCCTTTTAAAAACACTGAAGGCTCCACTCCATGTCATACCAAATACATTTCAATGCCCGCCCCCCCCAACATCAAATGCAATTTTATATTCCTACATGTAAATTGAATTACAATGGATTATTTGACATAAAATACATCTTATAGATCTATGGATGTTAATGTTGATTTTCTTTTCTTTCAAAAGTTGGAATCAATATTTCCTCCAACCCCTCCCTCTCCCTGAAGCCTCGGGGACCTTGGAAAGCTGGTACATGTGCTTATTCAGCCTTTTGGGCAATTCAGTGGGACCTGACACATGTTGTCATCCTGCCCTGGAGAAGGCTGACAGTTGGTGGTGCCAGTCTCTGCACTTTCACAGAATCCTGGGGCACACTGAAGGCAGTTTCTGAAGAACTTACTCCCACGGGAGTTTGGAGTGGAAATGTTCCTCCAACTAAAAGTTTACTCATTCAGCAATCACAATTCATTCATGCTGGATGCAATCCTAATGCCAACGTTTGTTTCCTTCCTGACATCGCACCTGAATCAAGGTCAGGCCAGACCTCTGAAGCCTCATCCTCATGCAACTTGTCTCACAGTGGAGAGTGGCTGGTCTCTCTGCATTACCGTCCAAAATCACCTGTACCCCCTGCAAGACTGGGCTTCCAGGAAGAAACCAGGTGGGAAACCTGATGTAAAACCAACAGGTAGAGGCAGCAGAGGGAGGATCCAGCCACGGGCTGAGACTTGCCAGGGACCTTTGCGGCTTGCTCTTGGGACCTGCCCAGGCTGGAGTGCAGTGGTGGGATCTCGGCTCACTGCAACCTCTGCCTCCTGGGTTGAAGCAATTCTCCCTGCTTCAGCCTTGTGAGTAGCTGGGATTACAGGTGCCTACCACCATGCCTAGCTAATTTTTGCATTTTTTTTAGTAGAAACAGAGTTTTGCCATGTTGACCAGGCTGGTCTTGAACTCCTGATGTGAGGTGATCCACCTGCCTCAGCTTCCCAAAGTGTTGGGATTACAGGCATGAGCCACCGTGCCTGGCCTCTGTTAACCTGATTCTTTATCATTTTAGTAAACAGGTTATAAGACATTTCTGTATTTGAAAATAAAAGAAACATTGACTCCAACATTCTGAGGAAAAAAATCCAGGAGTTTCTAGCTACAAAATAAAAGACAGCATAAAAAAGCAGCTGGCTTTCTGGTCCTAGACAAGTAGATTCACTTCCCTCTGCTCCTTTTTGTTAAGTAAAACTAAAAACCCTGGAAATAATTTAATGGATAATCATAAGGACCCTTGGAAAAGTAAAAAGAGGCAGGCAGCCTGGTTCGAGAACTCAAGACTTGAGGACTGAGGTGGTGGCGACACTCTGGGTTTTCTTTTTATCTTTGCTATATTCTGGACTGGGTGCTAGAGAAGCCTGCAATCCAGAACCACCATAAGGCACAGATGGAAAATAAAGCTTGAAGAAAAACCTTATTTATCTAGCAGAGACAGGGAAATGGGCAGCCCACAGGACGGAAGTCCTTTTTGATAATATCCACTTTACCTCCAGCTAAGTGCACACCTTAGCAACTCCAGCACTGCAGTGAAGTCTCAAAGGAGAGTCTAGACTCCTATGCCCCGCCCAGCAGCAGCAGGCAGCCTGGGCTGGTGCCATCAGCAGAGGCCAGGGAGGGGGTGTGGACTCCCACTCCCATCCACCAGGGCCAGGTGGCAGCTGTTGGCAGCAAGTTGTTGGCAGCTGTTGGCAGCAAGTTCCTTCCCTACTGGCATGGTGTCCACAGAGATGGAGTGGGGAGTCTGGACTTCTGTCCCCACCCCCAGCTAGACATGGGGAAGAGGATCTCAGATAGGAAAAAGCTGGAGAAAATGATTCTTTAAGCCCTGCCTAGAAGGTCTGGCGCAGACAGCTGATCAACCCAAAGGTAAAAACTGACCAGTTCAACACATCAAAAGATTAGAACTGGACCAGTGTGAAAGTTTCACACATGCAGATGTACATACGCATTGCAGAGTGCCCCGCAGGTGGCACACTAACAAACTTGACTACAGTAGCACTACAGGGGCTCTGAAAACTCAGTCGTCATTGGACCCGCAGCCTAAGGGACTTGCATCCTAAGTCTAAACGGGGAAACTGCCTGCTAAAATGGAAACTTTAAAGAAGACAGACCCTGAGTCTTCTAACATAGTACCCAAAGTCTCCAAGATACAATCAAAGACCGCTTGTCATGCCAGGAACCCAGAAAATAACTTGAATGGCCACAGACCACAAACAAAAGCACACATGAAGATGATTCAGCAGTTGAAATTTGCTGATGAAGATTTCAAAGCCGCCATCACAAAAAGTTTCAACAAGCAATTACAAATACTCCTGAAACAAGTAAACATAGAAAGTCTCAGCAAAGAAATAGAAGATGTAAAAAAGGAACTAAATGAAAATCATAGAACTAAAAATACAGGAACTGAAAGAAACAGTTTGCTGAATGAGCTCCGTACTAGCTTAGAGATGACGGAGAATAAAATTAGTGAATGTGAGAATAGAGAAATAAAATTTACTCAATCTAAATAATACAGGCTTATGCCTGTAATGCCACCATTTTGAGAGGCCGAGGCGGGGGATCACCTGAAGTGAGGAGTTCGAGATCAGCCTGGCCAACATGGTGAAATCCCGTCTGTACTAAAAATACAAAAATTAGCGTGGTGGTGAGCACCTGTAATCCCAACTACTCGGGAGGCTGAGGCAGGAGAATCACTTGAACCCGGGAGGTGGAGGTAGCAGTGAGCTGAGATCATGCCACTGCACTCCAGCCTGGGTGACAGAGCAAGACTGTGTCTCAAAAACTAAGTAAATAAATAAATAGAGAAAATAGCCTGGGGGAAAAAAATGAACAAAGTCTCATAACCTGCAGGACAATGACAAAAGAACTAGCGTTTATGTCATCAGAGTTCCAGGATAGGAGAAAATTTGTGAAGCTGAAAAGGCGCCAGAAGAAATAATGGCTGAAAATTCCCCAACTTTGGTGCAAGGCATAAACTTAGATTCAAAAAGCTAAGTGAATCTCAAACAGAATAAAACCAAAAGAATCCACATCAAGATACATTATAATAAAACTTCTGAAAACTGAAGACAAAAATCCCCAAAAAACACAATTGAAAGCAGCTAGAAAGAAACGATGAATTAGTTACAGGGGAACAATGATTTGAATGACAGAATGTTCATCATCTGAAACCATGGAGACCAGGAGGAAGTAGCCCAGCATTTTTCAAGGGCTGAAAAATAAAGAATTATAAACCCTATGTCCTAAAACTAGTGAAAGTACCATTTATTTCTGAAGGATAAAGACATTCGCAGACAAAGGAATAGAATTTGTTGCCATCAGATTTACTCTTTTTAAAAATTTTATTTATTTATTTATTTTAATTTTTGAGACAGGGTCTCATTGTGTCACCCGGGCCGGAGTGCGGTGGCATGCTCTCGGCTCACTGCACCCTCCGCCTCCTGGGTTCAAGCGTTCTGCTGCCTCAGCCTCCCGAGTAGCTGGGATTACAGGTGTGCACTACCATGCCCCGCCAATTTTTGTATTTTTAGTAGAGATGGGGTTTCACCATGTTGGCCAGGCTGGTCTCGAATTCCTGGCCCCAAGTGATCCACCTGCTTTGGCCTCCTGAAGTGCTGGGATTACAGGCATGAGCCACCATGCCCAGCCAAATCTACTTTTAAAGAACAGCTAAAGAAACAAAATGCAAGTGATAGCAGATGGAGATGACAGAAAGAGGAAAGGAAATACAGAATGAAAGAAAAAAACAATAGAATAAGTAAAAAGGGCAAACGTAATAGACTATCCTTCTCCTTATGCAATTATATTTGATGGTTAAAACAAACATTATAATGCCATCTGGTATGGTACTCAGTGTATATAGAAGTACTTAAAACGATATTTAAAAATTGGAGAGGGCAAAGGGAAATAAAGGGAAGTAAAGTTTCTACACTTGACTATGGTAAATGTCAATACTAGTAGACTGCGATATGCTTCATATATTTTGGTATACCTAGAGCAAACACTAAGAAAATTATTCAAATGAATAAAAAACATTATGAACAAATCAAAATGAAATTCTAAATAACATTCAGGTAATCCACAAGAAATCAAGAAGAGGTACACAAAGGAACAAGAACTGGAGACAACACACAGGAGATCAATAATAAAATGGTAGACTTGAGCCCTAATCGATTAATAATTATTTTTAATATAAATGATCTCTGTAAAATATAATTAGTGACGAACTGAAAAACAGAGATTGGAAGAATGGATTAAAAAATGACCCATCTATGTGATGCACCTAAGAAACTCACTATAATGACATAAGTAGATTGAATATAAAAGGATGGAAAAGATATGCCATGCCAACTGGAGTGGCTTCATAACAGATATAGTAGACTTCCAAGAGAAAATTACCAGGGACATTACATAATGATAAAAAGATGCAACCTGGCCGGGCATAGTGGATTACACATCTAATCCCAGCACTCTGGGAGGCCGAGGCGGGTAGAGCACTTGAGGTCAGGAGTTCAAGACCAGCCTGGCCAACACGGTGAAATGCTGTCTCTACTAAAATTACAAAAATTAGCCGGGTGTGTTGGCGCCCACTTGTAATCCCAGCTACTTGGGAGGCTGAGGCAGGAGAATCACTCAAACCCAGGAGGTAGAGGTTGCAGTGAGTCAAGATGGTGCCACTGCACTCCAGCCTGGATGACAGAGTGAGGATCTGTCTTAAATAAATAAATAAAGATGCAACCATCCAAAAACACACAGTGATCTTAAATGTGCATGTACCAAACACCAAAGGACAGAACATCAAAATGCATGAAGTAAAAACAGAACTGAAAAAAGAACTAGACGATTCCCCAATTATGGTTGGGTACTTGAATTCCCCTCTGTCAGCAATTGATAGAAATATTAGATAGAAAATCAGCAAAGATACAGATGAACTGAACATCACCATCAATCAACATGATCTAATGGACATCGATAGAATATTCTAAGTGACAACAGCATAGTATACATTCTTTTCAAGCACCGTGGAACATTTAAGATAGATGAAAACCTGGATCATAAAAAACAAACCTTCACAAATGTAAAGAGAGTAAGATCACATAGAATAATTTCCTGAATATATAAAGAACTCCTACAACTCAACAACAATAGTAACAAACCACAAGCAACTCAATTTAAAAATGGGCAAAGGACATGAATAGACATTTCTCCAAAGGAGCTGTACAAATGGCCAATAAACACATCAAAGATGTTAAACATTATTACTAGAGAAATGCAGATCAAAATGTAATATTACTTCATACCCATTAGGATGACTTATTATCCTCCCAAATTGAAAATGACAAGTGTTGGTGAGGATGTGAAGAAATTTAACCCTTGTGCACTGCTGGTAGGAATGTAAAATGATGCAGTCACTGTGGAAAACAGTTTGAGTTGTGCAAAAAGTTAAACATAGAATTACCTTACAATCCAGTCATCTAACTTCTGGGTATATACTTACACGGAATGGAAAGCAGAAATATAGGTAGTTGTTCATTGCTGTTCACAGCAGCATTATTCACAATAGGTGAAAAGAACCCAAGAGCCCACCAATGGATGGATGAATAAATGAAATATGGCACATACATACGATGAACTGAATTATTATCCAGTCTTAAAAAAGAAGGAAATTTTGACATATGCTACCACATGTGATGAACCTTGAAAACATGTGCAAAGTGAAATAAGCCAGACTCAAAAAGGCAAAGTGTATGATTTCACTTGTATGAAGCACCTAGGACTGGCAAATGTATAGACAGACAGTAGAATAGAGGTTACCAGGAACTAGCAAAACGGGGAATAAGGACTTACCATTTAATGGATAGAGTTTCAGTTTGAGATAATGAAAAAAATTCTGGAGATGGATACTGGTAATGGTAACATGACTTTTTTTTTTTTTTTTTTTTAGATGGAGTCTTGCTCTGTCACCAGGCTGGAGTGCAGTGGTGAGATCTTGGCTCACTGCAACCTCCGCCTCTCAGGTTCAAGCAATTCTCCTGCCTCAGCCTCCCGAGTAGCTGGGACTACAGGCATGCACCACCATGGCTGGCTAATTTTTGTATTTTTAGTAGAGACGAAGTTTCACCATGTTGCCCAGGATGGTCTTGATGTCTTGACCTCGTGATCCACCCACCTCGGCCTCCCAAAGTGCTGGGATTACAGGCGTGAGCCACCACGCCTGGCCTAACATGACATTTTGAATGCACTAATACCACTGAATTGTATACTTTAAAATGGCTTAAAAAGTCAGTTAGAAAAATAAAAGTGCCCATAGCTGCATGAAACGAAAACACATCACATCGAAATTTGTGACATGCAGCTAAAGCACTGCACAGAGGGAAATTTACAGCACCAAATGCTTATATTAGGAAAGAAGAAAGATCCTAAGGTCAAAAATTAAGCACCCACCCCAGGAAACCAGGAAAAGAAGGAAAAAATAACAAAGAGAAGAGCAGAAATCAAAGAAAAAGCTGGCTCTTTGAAAATATCAGTAAAAATGACAAAATTATCTCAAGACTGGCAACAATAAAGACAGTTTATTTTTATTTGTTTTTTTATTGTATTTGTTTTATTTGTCTTTATCATTTTATGATAAAAACCCTCAGCAAACTAGGTATGAAGGGGAACCTCCTAAACTTGAGTAAGATCATCTACAGAAAATCCTACAGTTGACATCATCTCAATGGTGAAAGCTCACGTTTTTCTTGTAAGATATGGAACAAGATAAGGATGTGTCCTGTCAAGTTTTCAGTCAGTAAAATAAGGCAAGAAAAGAAAATAAAAAGCATACAGCTCAAAAAGGAAGAAATAAAACTGTCCATATTTTCAGATGACCTGATTAGGTAAAAAATGCTAAGTAAGATACTGTATTAGTCTGTTCTCCTGCTGCTAATAAAGACATACTCAAGATTGGGTAATTTATAATGGAAAGAGGTTTAATGAACTCACAGTTCCACATGGCTGGGAGGCCTCGCAATTGTGGCAGAAGGCAAATGAGCAAAGTCACATCCTACATGGAGGCAGGCAAGAGAGCTTGTGCAGGGGAGCTCCCATTTATAAAACCGTCAAATCTCATGAGACTTATTCACTACCACAAGAACAGTATGGGGGAAACCGCCCCCATGATTCAATTGTCTCCACTTGGCCCTGCCTTTGACATGTCGGGATTATTACAATTCAAGGTGAGATTTGGGTGGGGACACAGCCAAACCCTATCAGAAATCTAGGAAAACTCCTAGAGCTAAGTGAGTATAGCAAAGTTTGAAGATACAAGATCAACACAGAAAAATCAATTGTATTTTTATGTACTAGCAACAACATGAAGAAACCATTCTAAGTTTGGGAGGCCGAGGTGGGTTGATCATATAGGTCACGAGTTCAAGACCAGCCTGGCCAACATGGCGAAACCCTGTCTCTACTAAAATACAAAAAAATTAGCCAAGTGTGGTGGCACATGCCTGTAATTCCAGCTACTTAGGAGGCTGAGGCAGGAGAATCACTTGAACGAGGGAGGCGGAGGTTGCAGTGAGTGGAGATCATGCCACTGCACTCCAGCCTGGGCACAGAGCAAAAAATAAAATAAAAAAGAAAAGAAAAAAATTGTTTTTTAAATAGCTAAAATATAAAAATAGGCATAACATGAAATCTTGGCAAGGATGTTGAGAAACTGGAATTCTCACACATAGCTAGTGGAAGTGTGAAAATGGTATAACCACTCTGGAAAATAAGTTTCTTTAAAAACTAGGCATGTACAACCAGGTGTGGAGGCTCATGCCTGTAATCCCAGCACTTTGGGAGGCTGAGGTGGGTGGATCACTTGAGGTCAGAGTTCAAGACCAGCCTGGCCGACATGGTGAAACCCTGTCTCCACTAAAAATACAAAAATTAGCCAGGTGTGGTGGCAAGTACATGTAGTCTTAGCTACTCGGGAGGCTGAGGCAGGAGAACTACTTGAGCCTGGGAGGCGGAGGTTGCAGTGAGCCGAGATGGTGCCACTGCACTCCAGCCTGAGCGACAGAGCCAGACTTCATCTCAAAAAGAGAACAACAAACTAGGCATGTACTAACAATACAACCCAGTAGTGAAATGGAAAGTTATATTCACACACAAACTTGTACACTCACAGCGATTTTATTCATAATAACCAAACAGTGGAAACAACCCAAATGTCCTTCAAAGGGTGAAGAGTTGAACAAACTGGTTCATCCATAAAAGAAAATATTACTCAGCAATGAAAACTATTGATGCATGCAGTAGCTTGGATGGATATTAAGGGCATTCATTTTACTTAGTAAAAACAGCCAATTTGAAATGGTTTTTTTAAAAAATATTGTACAAGTTCATTTCAAAACATCCTCAAAATGACAAAACTATAGAGATAGAGAACAGGTTAGTGGTTGCTGTTAGGGACGGGTGGGTGGATGGGTGAGCCTGGATAGGATGGGTATGAGATAGTTCCCCAGAGATGATAGAATGGTTCCGTATCCTGATCCTGACATTACATAAATCTACACATAGGGTAAAATTGCATAAAACTATACACACACACACACACACACACACACACACACACACAAATTAATGCAGGGTAAAAATAAGTGAAAACTGAGTAAGGTTGCAGTGTAATGTAGCAGTGTTAATTTCTTGGTCCTTGGCTCTCATGTTGCAATAGAGTTATAAAAGATGTCACCACTGGAGGAAGTAAGGTGAGGGAGGGCTCAACAAACTCTATTTCTTATTTTTACAAGTCCCTGTGGGTCTCCAATTATTTTGAAATAAATAGTTTTGTAAAAGCCAGCACTGATGCTGGTTCTTCTCCTTTAATATAGAATTTCTTAAATTCTGTAGTTAGAGCTCATGCAGTTCTCCAAAATAACATCACTGAACGACAGCTAAATCATGTGCTGTACTGGTTGGAGACAGAGTGGCATTTACATAAATCCAGCATTTGTAGAGAGACATAACCCTGATCAGATGGAGACATATTGCTTTAAACATAGCACAGGATCAAGAAAATGCATCCTTACACTACTCACACATTCGGTTAAGGGCCAGAAAACCGAGCTAGATGAACATTTTCTAGAAACTATATTGTACGTGTGTGTGTGTGTGTGCGCACGTGCATGTGTGCGCGTTATTGGGAGACAGAAGGAAAGAGATAAATCATTTTGATTTTCTGGTATCACAAAGTTAGAAAAGGTTGAAGTTAAATTTGGTCGTAAGAAATGAGAGAATGGATATTGTGTGAATCGTAGAATAACTATCATAGGATATAGACTAAGAAGACACAGAGTGCACGAAAACGTGGATAAACCAAGTCGAAAGTACCAGTGGGCAAAGGGAACTTATATCCTGGATATTTCATGGTTACAATTACCTTTATAACTAGAGGCCAAAAGAAGGGACTGGAAGCCTGGTGCGGTGGCTCACGCCTATAATCCCAGCACTTTGGGAGGCCGAGGCAGGTGGATCACCTGAGGTCAGGAGTTCAAGACCAGCCTGACCAACCAACATGATGAAACCGTCTCTACTAAAAATACAAAACTTAGCTGGGCGTAGTGGTGGGCGCCTGTAATCCCAGCTACTTGGGAGGCTGAGGCAGGAGAATCACTTGAACCCAGGAGGAGGGAGAGGGTGAGTTGAGGGTCTGGTGGAGATACCTTACCCTCCCTCCTTCCTGTCCCTGCAGGCTCATGCATGTGCCCCAACCCAGTAGTGACTTTTTTTCTCCTATTATCTGATTGCCTCCTTTTAGCACCTTCTTGATTTAAAAACAAAACCAGTGTGACACCTTCTGACATTGTGGTGTCCTCAACATCCTATCTGGAACTGGAGCTTTCATGAGTTCTGTATTGTTCTGATGGCGTTGACATCTCTGCCACCAGAGCCCAAGCTGCATGTAGTAAAGTCTTCAGCCTCTAAACCCAGATTGCCTGGGTTCAAACCTCATTTTTCACGTTTACTTGCTGCATGACCTTGAGCAAAACCTAACTCTGTGTCTAAACCCCAGTTCCCCTGCTGGAAAATGGTGCTAACTACAGTGTTAATGTCCTCAGCTTTGTGAGGATGAAGCTGAGTAAATTACAATTAGCTATGGTAACATCTGAAACTTTGGCTGCCTGTAGCTTGGGCACCATGGCCTTGGAAACCTGAACTTGAGCCCACTCAGGACATGGGGGTGCCAAGCTTTTCCTCGCTCAGAGGCTGGCTCTGCAAGACCATGTGTGTGTTTCAGCGTTGAGAAACATTGTCAGGGGAAGACGGCCCCAGGAGCTACCGAAAAACATTGATCCACTCTTTTTATTGTGTTTCAGAAAGGAATTCTTCATTCTTCACCTTCTCCCATAACTCTTTGTCCAAAGATAATTTAACAAAGTATAAAGGAGCATTATAGCTTTTGCTGTAAAATTTAACTGCTACACTAGGAACTCAAACATCATCGTAAAACCACTGATGATGATGTTTGGGGTGGAAGTGTTCGCAGATGGTCACCCAGCTTCCCAAAGGAAGTTCTCAGCTTCAGAGTTCAGGGGCATTGCATATCACTATGACAAGCCTCAGCCTCACACCGCTCTCTGCCATCTGGAAGGACTCGTTCATCTCCACGGCCACCTCGCCAGCCTCTGGTGCTGACTTGGCAGAACTAATGAGAACAGTGAATGCCTGGCTACACAATTAGGACAAAATAAAACACATGCCGGGGTTTAAGTAAACTTCCATTTTCCTTTTCACAGAAGCAAACCTTGAAACAATTGGAGAGGAGAGGCTTGAGGTCAGGGCATCCCCTCTCACCTGCTCCAGTTGACCAAAGAGGACCAACAGGTCTCGGCTGTTGGAGTTTATTCTCAATAACACCTTCTCCTTGGTAGTTTCAACATTTCTCCTTAGGTTTTTTATAAAAGTTATGGTGAAAAACACATATAATAAAATTTACCATTTTGGCTGGGCGTGGTGGCTCACGCCTGTAATCTTAGCACTTTGGGAGGCCGAGGCCAGCAGGTCACTTGAGGTCAGGAGTTCAAAACCAGCCTGGTCAACATGGTGAAACCCTGTCTCTACTAAAAATACAAAAAAATTAGCCGGGCGTGGTCATGGGCACCTGTAATCCCAGCTACTTGGGAGGCTGAAGCAGGAGAATTGCTTGAACCTGGGAGGCAGAGGTTGCAGTAAGCCGAGATCATGCCATTGCCCCCAGCCTGGGCAACAGAGCTAGACTCCATCTCAAAATAAAATAAAATAAAATAAAATAAACTATTTTAACCATTTTAAGTGTACAGTTAGTAGTGTTAAATACATTCACAGTGTTGTGCAGCCATCCCCATCATCTATCTCCAGGACTCTTTTCATCTTGCAAAACTGAAACTGTGTCCCCATCCCCTCCCCACTGCATGGCCCCTGGCAACCACCATGTTACTTTCTGTCTTTGTGAATTTGATGAGTCTAGGCACCTCATATAAGTGGAATAACGCGGTATTTGTTCTTTTGTGATTAGCTCATTTCACTTAGTAGAAATGTTGTCCTCAATACTATTCCATTGTATGAATCCACCACATTTTGTTTATGTACTTGTCTGTGGATGGATGCTTGGCTTGCTTCCACTTTTTGGTTAATGTGAATGATAGTGCTTCGAACGCAGTGTACAAATATCACTTCAAGACCCTGCTTTCTTTGGCATGTATACTCAACAGTGGAATTTTTGGATCATATGGTAATTCTATTTTTAAGTTTTTGAGGAACTGCCATCCTGTTTTACATAGTGCCTGCACTATTTTACATTCCTACCAACAGTGCACAAGGGTTCCGATTTTTCCACATCCTCACCAATACTTATTTTCTGGGTTTTTTTTTTTTTTTTTTTTGATAGTGGCCATCCTAATGGTGCGAGCTGCCCCCTTACTTTTTTTTTTTTTTTTTTTTTTTTTTTTGAGACAGAGTCTCACTCTGTCACCCAGGCTGGAGTGCAGTGGCACGATCTCGGCTCACTGCAAGCTCCGCCTCCTGGGTTCACGCCATTCTCCTGCCTCAGCCTCCCGAGTAGCTGGGACTACAGGCGCCCGCCACCACGCCTGGCTAATATTTTTGTATTTTTAGTAGAGACAGGTTTCACCATGTTAGCCAGGATGGTCTCGATCTCCTGACCTCGTGATCCACCTGTCTCGGCCTCCCATAGTGCTGGGATTACAGGCGTGAGCCACTGTGCCCCGCCTATTTTTTTTATTTTTAGTAGAGACGGGGTTTCACCGTGTTAGCCAGGATGGTCTTGATCTCCTGACCTTGTGATCCGCCTGCCTCGGCCTCCCAAAGTGCTGGGATTACAGGCATGAGCCACTGCGCCTGGCCGCCCCCTTACATTTTAAGCAGGAGCAACTACTGCCAGCGCCATTTCTCAAATGCAGTAATGGTGGTGCCTAAGGCAAGACCTGGGAGAGCAGCACGATGAGACCCTGAGAGTCCACCCGGCTCCTCCCACATGCCTGGGATAATCGATACTGTCTGCTTCCAGAGGTCAGGCTGCATCTTTTGCATGTCTTTATTCTCAGCTTCTAACAAGAAACATCCAATAAATGAACTGATCAAATGAGAGGGATTTGTTCTTCCTTTCTCTCCATTTCCTGCCCTTTTCCCCACCTCTCAGTAAGATGAACCCTCTGTCTGCCCAAGCAAAGCCTCTGGGACAGGGGACAGTGGCTCAGAAACAGCCAGGCAGTTTCCATGAACTCCTTCTTCCCACTTATTTCTTTGGCCTCATCAGTCAGTGTGGAAAAGAGCCTAGCAAAACCATTATTTTTCCTTTTCATTTATTTATTTTAGAGACATGGTCTCACTCTGTCGCCCAGGCTGGAGTGCAGTGGTGTGATCATATTTCATCGGAGCCTGGAACTCCTGAGCTCAAATGATCCTCCTGCCTCAGCCTCCCAAGTAGCTGGGACTATAGGTGTGAGCCACTGCACCTGGCCCAGACCCATTCTTGAGATTTGCAAGGTGGAGGGGAAAACAGCAGCCACCTTGCTCAGAATGTCAGTGCAGGCACCACAAGCTTCACAGCCCAGGTGCACTGTCCCTGACCTGCCGGCCCACCTCCTGGGCATGGGAGAGCAACCCGGCCTGCAGCAACCACTTCCCCCCGGTTTCTCCCAATTCCCTGTCTGCTGGGCCAGGTAGTTCATGCTCAGCTCCATGGCAAAGGCACCAGCTTCTCCTGCAATTCACCTGACAGGTGCTTCCCAGAGGTAGGGAGAAGCCCAGGAGGGCTCCAAACTCATTCTCCAGGGTGAGCTTGTCCTTTTCCTCACTTTGTGTCATCTGTCCTTCCTCACAGCTGACCAGGCACAGAAGCAAAAAACGTACATAAACTCTAACCAGTTCCCACATTTGCATGAGATCAAATTCCTATAATAAACCCCCACATTCTATATCATCCCATTGGTTCTGCTTCTGAGGCTTCACAGACACAGAACCACTCACTGGGACTGAGATGCGGGAAAGCTGGAATGGATCCTCCAGTTAGAGTCTGAGGGTGAGATTCAGGGAGCAAACTGTGAGTCATGGGAGGACAGGGCTCACAGAGGCCATGAGAGATGGCCCAGAAACCAGAAAAGCCACCTGAGGCAGAGACAGGAGAACCTCCAGGCACGTGGCCAGGAGTGGGAGGATGAGCCTGGTGATGAGATCAGGGGATGGCCAGGAGGGTGGGTGTCAGGAAATCCGTAGCCTCTACCCTGCACCTGCATGGGACAAGAGAGTGAAGCTCCAAGAGCACCGACCTCTTCTTTCCTGAGCAGTCAGAGTTCCATTTGTCCACTACTGCAATGAGACAGGTGACACTTTGTCTTTCACAGGCACTTTTCAGTACTGTGTCTGTCCCTCTAGAGGCACTGGATAAGCGTGTAGGCACTGGAGTTGATAGGCCTGGGTTTGTGTGTGTCCCAGCTACACCATGACCAGCCATGGGATATTTAGCGAGTTATTTAACCCTCAGTGTTTCAGTTTCCCCATCTGTAAGTAAGGATGTCTATCTCATGAGGTTGTTGTGACTTATTTATTTATTTATTTTTGAGATGGAGTCTCGCTCTGTCACCCAGGCTGGGAGTGCAGTGACACAACCTAGGCTCACTGCAACCTCCGCCTCCTGGGTTCAAGCAATTTTCCTGCCTCAGCCTCCCAAGTAGCTGGGATTACAGGCGCCAGCGACCACACCTGGCCAATTTTTTGTATTTTTAGTAGAGATGGGGTTTCACCGTGTTAGCCAGGATGGTCTTGATCTCCTGACCTTGTGATCCACCTGTCTTGGCCTTCCAAAGTGCTGGGATTACAGGCGTGAGCCACCGCGCCCAGCCATGCATGCAAAACAGCTAGCACATGCCTGACACACAAAGAGTACTCAGAAAGGGTGATTTCGCTTCAAAACTCAAATGGGCCCCTGCCGGGTGGCTCTGCACTGGGAGTGTGGTCCTCCTCCACTCCAGCCGCAGCCAGGGGAATCTTCCAGCTCTTGTCTGCTTAGGCTCTGTCTCCTGCATGTAACTTTCTTCCTTTGGTTTCTCCAGGGGTTGTCTTAGCGTCTTCTGTGCTTTCTCACCAAGGGTGTTTTGGCCCTTTCTTGAGAGCCAGGCTGAGTCACCCTCCTGTGTGTCTCTCCTAAGTCTGTGGGTGCTGCCACCCTGGGGTGGGAGGGCCATGTGACCAGATCAGTCTCCTTCAGGGCACACTGCTGGCAGCCACCACCCATCAGGGCAGCCTCTGGGGACCTGTTTTCTAGATTGCATTTCAGAGAAGAATGATATTGATCATCATTATCAGAGAACATATGCTTATCTTACCTAGGACATGTCTGTAATTTTTGTAAGAAGAACATAGCAACAAAGGTTTTCGCATTGATTTCTGTGTTTCTCTGTTCTATTAGTGGCTGGCAACCTGCTGAGAACTTCAGATTCACAAGAGGCTCACGGGAGGGAAAGCAGATTTAGGACCCTTCAAAGTGCGTTTCCTGGATCATCTGTGAAAACATTTTTTTTTTTTTTTTTTGAGACAGAGTCTCACACTGTCGCCTGAACTGGAGTGCAATGGCGTGATCTCAGCTCACTGCAACCTCCGCCTCCCGGGTTCAATCGATTCTCCTGTTTTAGCCTCCCAAATAGCTGGGATTACAGGGGTCTGCCACCACGCCCAGCTAATTTTTTGTATTTTTAGTAGAGACGGGGTTTCACTATGTTGGTCAGGCTGGTCTCGAACTCCTGACCTTGTGATCTGCCCGACTCGGCCTCCCAAAGTGCTGGAATTACAGGCGTGAGCTACCACGCCCGGCCTCTGTGAAAACATTTTTAAGCCTATGGACACTATAGACATGGCTACAGACAGATGAACTAGCCATTATTTCTAAGACTCTAAGAAAGAGATAGGCAGCCCACGAAAATTAGGAAACAGAAACAGAGGTGGGAGTGGAGGAAGCCCAACCTTGGTCAGGAACTAACCAGCTAGTTAGAGAGTCCAGAGCAGGACATGAGACCAAGAGGATGAGGAAAAGGGCTGTGGAAATCAAGATGCCAGGCTGCCTGGTCCTAACCTTCTGCCCGAGAGGGCTGAGACACAGGCCCTCTGTCAGGCTGCCCTGGGCCTCAGGCTCAGCGGGCATCCCCGTCACCCACCACCTTGTGCAGCCATCGGGATGAGACCCTGCAGAGCTCTCTGAGAGATGCCACATAAGAGCGCCTCCTGCCCAATGTCCACCCACTGATCTGAAATTCTGCTTTTGGTGACAAGTAGGGCTTGGTGCTTTGAATATCTTCCCCCAAAGCCTCATCTTTTAACCTAAGTTGCACCTGTGTTGATGAATGCTGATGGCGTAGGTTGATGGATTCCATCATGTTTCTTAATATCGCAGCTGAAGACATGAAATAATGAGTTGCAGCAGCTAATGTCACAGGTCAACTTGACTGGATTAAGGGATGCCCAGATGGCCTGTAGAGCAGTCTTTCTGGGTGTGTGTGAGGGTGTTTCTGAAAGGGATTGGCATTTGAATCCATTGACTAAGTAAAGATCACCCTCACCAATGTGGGTGGGCATATCCCATCCACTGAGAAGCCAGACAAAACAAAAAAGGAGGAGGCAAAGGGAATTCTCTCTCTCTCTTTTCTGGATCTGGGACCTGCATTTTCTCCAGCCCTTGGACGTGTGCATTCCTGGTGCTCAGGCCTTTGGACTCCAGGACTTACACCATAAGCTCCCCAGGTTCTCTGGCCTTTGGGCTCAGGCTGCAGTACACCCCTGGCTTTCCCGGGCCTCCAGCCTGCAGACAGCCTGCCGTGGGACTTCCCAGCCTCCATAATCACATGAGCCAGTTCCTATAATAAATCTTATCTTATTTATTTATTTATTTTTATTATAATTTGAGAGGGCGTCTCACTCAGTTGCCCAGACTGGAGTGCAGTGGCATGATCTCGGCTCACTGCAACCTCCGCCTCCCAGGTTCAAGTGATTCTCTTGCCTCAGCCTCCGGAGTAGCTGAGATTACAGGCATGTGCCACCACACCTGGCTAATTTTTGTATTTTTAGTAGAGATGGGCCAGGCTGGTCTGAAACTCCTGACCTCAAGTGATCTGCCTGCCTCAGCCTCCCAAAGTGCTGGGTTTACAGGTGTGAGGCACCATGCCCAGCCCCTAAATTTCCTCTTATTTATCTCTGTATAGCCTATTGAGTGTGTTTCTCTGGAGAATCCTGACTAATATAAAAGTTGAGTCATAGGAAGCAAAATACTTGTCTGTAAAGGGGAAATGAGATCCAATGTATTTTAAAAGTTTCCTTTCCCTTTTTGTTATACTTAAAGCAGTATGAAAAAAGGAAAAGGTAAACAATCAAAAATTCAACCAATCAGATCATCAAGTCATACACCTTAAATATATGCAATGCAGAAAACACAGCCAGGTTAACATTTTGTGAAGCAAATTTAAAAGCTTCCATAAAAGCTTCTAAAGAGACACTCTGTGAGTGTGACTGTCTCACAGAGCAGGGGAATTGGAAAAAAATCCACCTCTGAGTGTGGAGTGGTGAGCCCTCTGACAGCCATCAGCCCTGACCGGGTCTGTCTCAGCCCCTTCAAGTGGTGTCAGAGGACTTGTCTTCTCACACTGCAGGCTAACTCTGCCACATCCTGGTAAAAAGAAGTCTGACCAAGGGGTCATCGTCCCCTTGGTTTGTCCAAAGGTCTGCCTTAAAAGGAGCTTTTTATAAAGGGTAAGGGAAATGCTCTGTTGCACAAAGGATTTATTCCAAATTGAGGGTAATACATCAAGAATGACTTTTGTCTGCTCTGATGTTTGCAAAACTGCTGTATATTTGCATTGTTCAGGGTACATTGTCTAGCAACAACATATGTGTGATCCTCCAACAGACACTGTTACCTGCATGCTCCAGGTTAGCCTGGGCGATGGCAGCTGCTCTGTGAACCGGGGTGGGGGCTGCTGTCCCACCAGGTCCTCTGGTGCCATGGCATGTGCATGAGGGCCCTCTCTCAGGAGTGCCCACACTTTGAGCTTCTAGGCTCTTAACAAAGGTGGTATTGGACGCTGCTTCCCTGTATCATCCCTGCCGGGTAGGGAAGAAAGACAATCTGCACAGTGGATTTTTTTCCAATTCCCATTTAATTTTGGCTCTTGGGACAATGTCATCTTTTCATTATGAGGAAAAAGCAGCAAGTTCAACCCAAAATAGAAATCTGAAGTGTAGGGTAGGACAAAACCAAGAGCAGGGGAAAAAAGGGAATAGCAAAAGGAAGAGATGAGATGTTGCCCCATCCCCTCTCATCTTGGGAATGACTCAAACATTTAGGTGGGGGAACACACCTTCCCACATATGTCAGGGATGTTACACCTTTTAAGGGGTAAGACAAATTGGGAATGGAGAGGGCATTTCTAGAGGCTAAGGGACCCAGGCAGATCTCTCCCTCTTAATCTCCTTTTCTGATTAGGGAAAAGGAAGGGATCCAAAATGTAAGAGGGGGCCAGGCGTTGTGGCTCACGTCTAATCCCAGCACTTTGGGAGGCAGAGGTGGGCGGATCACCTGAGGTCAGGAGTTCGAGACCAGACTGGCCAACATGGTGAAAACCCAGCTCCATTAAAAATACAAGAATTAGCCCAGCATGGTGGTGTGTGCCTGTGATCCCAGCTACTCAGGAAGCTGAGGCAGCAGAATCGCTTGAACCCGGAAGGCAGAGGTTGCAGTGAGCTGAGATCGCACCATTACACTCCAGCCTGGGCAATGGAGGGAGACTCCGTCTCAAAAAAAAAAAAAAGAAAAAAAAATTTGTGAGAGAAGAGGAGTGGTGGGAGAAGGAAAGACCTCTCTTGGTGAAGCGGGGCGACTCCTCCAAAGGAAACTGAAAATGGGATAATGCTGTTACCACCTCCCCTGAACCTGAGAATTGGAGCACAGAAATACCTGGGAATTATGGCTTTATGAGCCTGGATTTCCCTCTCCAAAACCGTTCTAGAATGGAAAATCCCATCCTCTTCCTTGCAGTAACTTCTTTCTTTTTTTTTATTGTTACTTAAAAAAAAAATAGAGACGTGGTCTTGCTATGTTGCCCAGGCTGGTTTCAAACATCTAAGCTCAAGCAATCTTCCAGCCTCAGCCTCTCAAAGTGCTGGGATGACTGGCGTGAGCCACCATGCCCAGCCCCTTGCAGTAACTTCTTCCTGCCACCTTCTACCTTCCCAGTGCTGGCTACTACGTGGACATAGGATGGTGCACATTATCTGGGTTTTCAGCACCCGGTTGGTTCTAAATGGGATCTGAATGGGACCCAGCTTCCTGGAGAATTATTTTGAAAACAGAGGGACATATTAATTGGGCAGATGGGAGGAGGGTACCAGAAGGAAATACACGGTTACCCAGATCGGCAGAAATCTAGGTTTCCTGGAGTGGAAAGAGAGAGGAGACATTCAGCAGACAAATATTTATTGAGCACTTACTATGTACCAGGCACTGCTCTAGACCCTCCCTCTCCCCAGATAAACAAGGTAAAGGCAGCAAACACGACTACTGAGGGAGAAGAAAGGGGCAGCCAAGGAAGAAGGCTGAAGGAATTGAGATGCCTGAGGTGATGGGAGCTCTGCCTTAGGCCTCCCACTGGGCTTCCTCACTGAGTCCTCTCCCTCTTCTGCGGCGGCGTCCTAGACTGTCGATGTTCAGAGATGAAGTCATTCATGTTGTTCTCGGCCTCAGCGAACTCCATCTCGTTCATGCCCTCCCCTGCATACCAGTGGAGGACAGCCTTCCCGCACAATACAGCAGGGAACTGCCCTGAGAGGCCATGGAGAGCTTCTGGGTGGCCGCGCTGTTGCCGACGAACGTGACCGCCATCTTGTGGCCATGAGGAAGGATGTCCCACATGGCTGTCTTGACCGTTGTTAGCATCCATTCCATGAAATAGCTGCTGGCGACTCTTGTTCTGCACACTGAGCATCTGCTCATTGACTTCCTTCATGAATGGATGGATATTCATGGAAGAAGGCAGTCCTGGTGGGGCAGCCATCATGTTCTTGGCATCAAAGACCTGCTGGGTGAGTTTGGGCATGGTGAGAGCCCTATACAGCTGGCTTCCACAACTGGTGAGAGGGGCAAAGGTAGCCATGAAGAACTGGAGGCGTGGGAAGGACACTGTATTGACTGCTAGCTTGCAGAGGTCCGAATTGAGCTGGTGAGGGAAGCAGAGGAAGGTGGTGACCCCACGCATGTTAGCTGAGACAGGTGGGTCAGGTCCTCATAGTTTTGTGTGGTCAGCTCGAGGGTGCGGAAGCGAATATTATAAGGAGCCTCAATGTCTGTGCCGCAGGTCTCATCAGTGTTCTCTACCAGTGGATGGATGGGGAGGGGGCACTGCAGGGCTCAGCCACAGTGCCAAACACTTTGAGTGAGGGCATTACACTGGAGGTGTTCATGATGTGGTCAGGATCCTCTTCTCGGATCTTGCTGTGGAGGAGGGTGCCCATTCCAGAGCCTGTGCCCTCACCCAGTGAGTGGGTCAGCTGGAAGCCCTGAAGGCAGTCACAGCTCTCAGCTTCCTTCTGCACATATCCAGGAATGAATCAACCAGCTCAGCTCCACTGTGTACTGCTGCCTGCCCCAAACTGACCGAAAACAAAGTGGTCTGGTCTGCAGATCTAAGCAAAAGTGCTCACTACCCGATGCGCTAGAAGCCAACGCTATGACACTGGGTTTTTCAGAAAAGAAACGCTTTTTATTGCAGGTCTATCAACAAGGAGATAGCATTCTAGCTCAAATCGGTCTCCCTGTGCTGGGCATAAGGCTGTACTTTTGTTAGAAAAGGTTCAGGGAGTGAAAAGGGTGGTCTGCAAAGTCCTTGGGCATGGACAATTATCTCTTCCTGCCTTTTTATGGGGCCCACGTGCAAATTCTGGGGGAGTTAGGATGAAACATGCAGAGGAAATTCAGGTCGTAGCATCACCAGTCTCGTTCTGCGTATACTCCAGTGGGCCGTATTGGTTTCAACTGATTTCAGCCTGTTTTGTTACCTTATAGTTGGAGGGAATTTCAGCAAGCTGTTTCTTTTCTTATCTGCCATCCTGCAGGCTTAAGAATTTCTGTGAGTCACTGGTTTCTTTAACTCTTTGGGGCATGGTTTCAAAAGGATCTGAGCAGAGTCCATGATCCCAGGTTCTGGATCCACCAGGATAGTGGGAGGAACATATTTGTCCCCAGTGCCTTCACTGTGGCACACCAAGATGTGGTCCAGCTACAGATCGTGGTCCCTGGGCAGGTACTGGTAGGTCCATGCTATGACCATCACTGATAACTTCCCAGAATTTGGCACTGATCTGACTGCCACAGTGTCCTGTCTGGATGTGCACAATTTCCTCCATGGTTAACATTTAATTTTTTTGCCCACCTCAAGGATATATGGAGCAAGAACATATGTCTTTTTTTTTTTTTTCTCTGCTGGTAGCAGGCTGAAGGTGTGCCAGAGGCTGGAGGAATAAGATTTGAATGTGGTGGTGGGAAGGTTCTAAGAGGGGCCACGCTGGGATGTTGCAACAAGAAATTCCAGCCCAGAACCAAACTCACGCCGTCATCTCCTCTCTAGCTGAGCGTCACAGACCAGTGAGAGTAGCTTCTCCCTGGGGGCCAGCTTCAAGGAAATGCCTGGAATTTCATTAGAGCTGAGGAACCCACAAAACATCCTTATAGCAGAGCTTCTTGTAATGAAAGAGGGAAGGACAAAGCCCAGTATTCTGACTGTGGAATGCACGTGAGGAAGACAGCAAAAAATGTCAGAAGGCAAGGACAATGGTCAACAATGCAAAGCAAAAGGCCCTATCTACTGACTCCGAAGGAGGAAAAACATCACAGAGATGCAGAAAAGCTGGTATCTGATTAAAAATTCCACAGAGTTGCCACGTTTGTAAAATAGGAATGCAATCTTCTCTTTTACACATATTTTGGGAATTTGATTGCCCAGATAAAATTAGAGAACAGAAGTCATCAATCCAAGCTTGAAGGAGTGGAGGTGCAGCGAAGGCAGACAGAACGCACAGGCAGAAATGGCAGCCTTGGTTTAAAGGCAACGAAATAAGCTAAGAAAATGCCTGTTAGTTGCTCAAAGAAGCTTCCTGAATGATGCGATTCCTGTACCAGAGAAGGGCATGAAGTGAGGGCTTCATTCATTCACCGAACAAACTCTTATGAAGAGTCAGAAGGCTTGGGAGGTTTGGGAGGAGCAGAAAACATCAAACCCCGAGATAAAGCCACTTGAGATGACACTGGAAGGAAAATCGGGAATTGGATGGGGAAGAAGAGAGGAGCCAGCATGCTGGGATATTGGTGGTGTGGTCAGGGACAGCAGATAAAGTGGCTGGGAAGGGCAGAGGGGTAAGGCTGGGAAGCAGTAGAGAAGCTTGAGACATAAGTTAAGGGTGCACGTGGAGGGTCTTGACTCCCAGGCCAGGAGCGTGGACTCTATCCATTAGACGCTAGGGGATGATGGGAAAATCTGTGTCAAGGAGCAGAAAAAATTACATTTACAAAGTGTTTTTCTTTTTTAAGAGTTTTTTTTTTAATGAGTTTTAATATGCCTCTGTCTGTCCGACTAAAAGAGTTTCCCCACCAGGTTTCTTTCCCCAAGCTCTCTAAGAAAGGCTGGGTCATTTCCCTGCTGACTCTTTGGGCTTTTGTGATGCAAAGACCAGGGAAGGGGGAAGGGTGGAGTGAGAAGTGTCTCAGAGTCCGGGGCTAGGGACTGGGGGAGTTTAGACAAGAAAGCACAGAAGAAGCCCCAGGAAGTGATGGGAGTAGGAGACAGACAAAGAGGGTGTTTGAGAAATGTTTCTATAGGCAAAGTATCTCCTGCATGGGACTAAAGAGACATAAAGGACGGGAGCAATTTTTGAAAATACAAGTGGATGCTAGACTGCGTTTCTTTGAACATCACATCAGCCTGAGACCAGCCCACATGAATCATGGCTTCAAAGGGGTGACAGGTTAATCTGGCAGCAGAACTTATGGAGGATGATCAGAAAGAGTAGAAGAAATATAGAGGTGAAGGGATCATTGGAATAGACTTGGACTTGGGGACTGAATCACTGCAGAGGGATAAAGAAGGAGGAAGAGTCCCAGGTTTCAGTGCAGAATAGTCACATAGGGGATGGGAGATGAGACTCAGCTTGGATGCCTTCACCTCTTTGTAGAGGTTGTCCAGAGCACCGTGTTGAAAAACATTACGAGGTCAATCTGGGAAAATGTTATGGCCAAATGGAGATCTTTGCCATGAGCTGCGGAGCTAGCTCTGCCTTTATTGACCCTGAACTTAGGGAATAACAGCATTGTTGACGGCATTGATGGCTTAAGGACATCAGCATGGAAGCTGGGTTTCTGGAAGAGAGAATGAACTTGGCTGAAACTGAAGCAATGCACACCGCTTTTGCTATTTGTTTTTGTTTTGTTTTTTTCTTTTTTTCCACCATCGATGCATTTTAAAGTTCCCAGATTTGTACTCCAGTACCAACAGGAATGAAGCATCGCAGTGTACCCCTGAAGCAGCCTCATCTGTTTACAGAAAACCTTGGGTGCCTTCTGAAGAGGAGGTTGTAGACTGACTCTCAGAAATGGCATATGACCAAATGGACAGCTGACATCTAAGTATTTATCCTGGACAGCTGTTCTCCCTGTGCTCTGCACTGAAATTTACCCTGAAGTTTTTCTAGGTGTAGACAAAGATTGGATGGTACGTTTTACGAAGTGTTACTCAATTGTGAGTATGAAGAGCAATCATTTAATTCTCAAAGTTGCTCAAACAACAAAGGCATCTCCACTCTGAACTGTGAGCTCCAACAGGGCTAGGACCTCTGCTATATCCCCAGGCCCCAGTAGAGTCTGTAGTACACTAGGCAACACCTGATTGCTAACTGCAGGAATGAATCAGTGTCTTTTTTTGTTTCCTCTTTCTTCTGCTCAAGGAGCCCCAAAGTTGTGCTTAACAGTATTTAAGTACATTGTTCTCAATAGAAGTCTACCTGGGCTGTGGGCCAGAACAAATTTTATTACTATTGTGGCAAATACATTTTCTAACTCAAATTAGCAAATATTTTTGAGCACCTACTGTGTTCATATCCTTATTGAACTATTCCACCTCTAGAAATGTATCCTACAGATGTACCTGCTCATATGCACTTGTGTAAAGGGTATGACTTGGTCCATTTTGTGCTGCAATGACTGAATATCACAGATTGGGTAATATATAATAAACAGATTATTATTATTATAGATTGAGTATTAATTAGTAATAATTGGGTAACAATAATAATTAATATTATAGATTGGGCAATCTATAATAAACAGATGACTGGTGCACAGTTCTGGGAACTGTGTATGGGGTGAGGGCCTTCTTGATCAGTCATAACATGGCAGAAGGGCAAAGAGAGGTGAGAGAGAGATGAACGGGGGTGAATCCACTCCCACAATAACAGTATTAATCCATTCATGAGGGCAGAGCCCTCATGGCCTAATCACCTCTTAGAGGTCCCACCTCTTAATACTGTTACAATGGTAATTAAATTTCAACATGAGTTTGGGAGGGGGCAAACATTCAAACAATAATAGGGCACATTGATTGTGATAGCAAAATTCAGAAACAACCCACATATCCATCAATAGGGGACTGGTTAGATAAATACAGTGCCCCTGTTATAAAGAATAAACCAGATTCTAGGCAAAGGGGTCCAAGTTTTCAGTTTTTCCAAGTCCCCATGCAGACACACAGAAACTAGGCAGCAAAACCCACAACCCAAGGAAAATATTTATGACAAAACTAGGTGACAAATTATTCCCACTAACCTAGCATATATAAATGGCCAACAGCCTCAAGAGTTGCATGGTATCTGGGTTTGAGGGGCTGAAAGAAGTTAGAAAGCAAGGGGGTGAGGCATGATAGACCTGAGAACAGAAGAACCCCAGATATACCAGTATTCACTAGAAAGTATTGTGGGCCAATTCGAGACGAGCAGGTGGAGCTGAAGAGTTGCCTCTCTAGTGCGAGGTAGTTCAGGTGCCCACAGTAAGAAGGCAGGAGGAGGCCAGGCACGGTGGCTCAAGCCTGTAATCCCAGCACTTTAGGAGGCCGAGGCGGGCGCATCACGAGGTCAGGAGATCGAGACCATCCTGGCTAACAGGGTGAAACCCTGTCTCTACTAAAAATACAAAAAAATTAGCCAGGTGTGGTGGCAGGTGCCTGTAGTCCCAGCTACTCGGGAGGCTGAGTCAGGAGAATGGGCGAACCTGGGAGGCGAACCTGGGAGGCGGAGCTTGCAGTGAGCCGAGATGGCGCCACTGCACTCCAGCCTGGGTAACAGAGCGAGACTCTGTCTCAAAAAATAATAATAATAAATAAATAATAATAATAATAATAATAATAATAATAATAAAGAAGGCAGGAGGAGGCAGGAGGAGGCAGGAGCAGTCGAGCCCCTAGGAATTCCCAAGACTGATCAGGAAGGGCTCCACACTCAGGAGAAAGCGCTGGGAGAGGAATCAAAATTGAGCAAGACAAGGATGAAAGAAAGGAAGGAGCAGTTTCCATCTGCATTGGGGGAAAGAAACAGCCAGCAAATCCCTGAAAGCAGGTGGCTCTATTTTTGAACACAGAAGTAGGAGCCCTGTGAAGTTTGAAAAGCATTCCTTAACATGGCCTTTGTGATGATTAGTACTGAGTGTCAACTTGATTGGATTGAAGGATGCAAAGTATTGATCCTGGGTGTGTCTGTGAGGTGTTGCCAAAGGAGATTAACATTTGAGTCAGTGGGCTTGGAGAGGTAGACCCACCCTTAATCTGGTGGGCACAATCTAATCAGCTGCCAGCAAATATAAAGCAGGCAGAAAAACGTGAAAAGGCAAGACTGGCCTAGTCTCCCAGCCTACATCTTTCTTCCATGCTGGATGCTTCCTGCCCTCAAACATCAGACTCCAAGTTCTTCAGTTTTGGGACTCGGACCGGCTCTCCTTGTTCCTCAGGCTTGCAGACGGCCTATTGTGGGACCTTGTGACCATATAATTTAATACTTAATAAACTCCCCTTTCTCTGTCTATCTATCTATATCTATCTATCTATCTGTCTGTCTGTCTGTCTATCTATCTATCTATCTATCTATCCCTCTATTCTATTAGTTCTGTCCCCCTAGGGAACCCTGACTTGTTCTAAAAGTTTAGGAAAACTTGATTTCACATGAAAAAACGAGCACTAGAAGAGTATCAAGTTCAATCCTATGCAAAGTAATTTTAAAAACTAGAGAGAATAAAGAATAGGGTAACACTGTAACTGACAAGTCATGGCAGAGAGACATAGTCATAAAACAGCAAGCTTCTGTTTGATCTATTTCAGAAAAAGACATTAAGTACATGATAGACATGGCAGAACAGCATCAATCAGAATTAGAGAAACTTGGAAATGAAGTGACAACTCAGGAAAAAAGTAGAACTAAAAATAATTATTCTGTAAGGTAGACTAATTATTATGAATCCATGGATTTAAATACATTTGATGGATGTCAATACCTGTGTTCCTGGAAGGAACACAAAAGTAAACAAATACAAGGGTAATGCCTCGAGAGACATAAAAGGTGAAATAAGACAAAAAAAAAAAAAAAGAAATGAAGAGAGAAGGATTTAAGAGAAAGTAGTGAACATTGAAGGCTATTGTACATATGAATAATAGGTTTTCCTCATGAAGAAAACCAAAGCAAGAGAACAGAGGAAGTACTAAGAGCTATAATCCAAGAAAACTTCCTTGAAATAAAAGATTTGATAATGTATATTGAAATGTGAATGCGGTGGCTCATGCCTGTAATCTCAGCACTTTGGGAGGCTGAGGTGAGCAGATCACTTGAGGCCAGGAATTCGAGAACAGCCTGGCCAACATGGTGAAATCTCATTTCTATAATAATACAAAAATTAGCTGGGTGTGGTGGCTTGCACCTGTAATCCCAGCTACTCAGGAAGCTGGGGCACTAGAATTGCTTGAACCCGGGAGGCAGAGGTTGCAGTTAGCTGAGGTTGTACCACTGTACTCACTCCAGCCTGGGTGACAGAGCAAGAACCTGTCTCAAAAAAGAAAGAAAGAAAGAAAGAAAAGGTTCAATGCACACTTGAGAATATCGGCCCAGGATGACTGCTGTCAAGATATATCCTACTGAAATTATTAGTACTTAAGAAAAAAAAAATCATTTGAACCTCTAGAGAAATTCTTTGGACATCTTGAAAAAGTCTTATGTGACTTATAAGGAAAAGAAAAATAGACTATTACCAGGATTTTTTGAGAAAAATGCTTTATACCAAAGGAGAATGGATTAGCATATTTAACATACTCAAGGAAAGACAGTATAAGCCAAAAATGTTATACCCAGAAAAACTGACCCTTAAGTGTAAAGGGCATAGCAAATTGCTACCAACATGCAATTTGGGAGGCTGAGGCGGGTGGATCACAAGGTCAGGAGATCAAGACCATCCTGGCTAACATGGTGAAACCCCGTCTCTACTAAAAATACAGAAAATTAGCCAGGTGTGGTGGCGCGCGCTTGTAGTCCCACCTACTCTGGAGGCTGAGGCAGGATAATCACTTGAACCCAGGAGGTGGAGGTTGCAGTGAGCCGAGATTGAGCCACTGCACTCCAGTCTGGGTGACAGAGTGAGACCCCATCTAAAAAAAAAAAAAAAGAAGGAAAAGAAAAGAAAAAGACAGACATGGGAAATTCGACTAGCCCAGATTTGTCAACGATAAGTTGTAAAGAAATGAAATGGATGGAGGAGGAACCATATAGATTAAAAGAGACTTAAAAGACCTAGCACACATTTTTTAGAATAGGTAGGACTAAAGTATAAGGTCTAGGGGAGCAAATTTGGGTGATAAAGCTATAAAAATAAAAATGAAAACAAGTCAGATTAATGTCACTTATGGTGGGAGGGAGAAGACAGGGATTAGGTAGGGAATATGGAGGTGCTTCTGGGGTGGCTGGCAAAGTTCTATTTCTTATCCTAGGTAGTATTTACCTTCAAATAATTCATTAAGCCATATATTTTATTTTGCAGTTTTCTGAATCCATATTTTATTTTTTTCTTTTGATATGGTGTCTCACTCTGTCACCCAAGCTGGAGTGCAATGGTGCTCTCGGCTCACTGCAACCTCTGCCTCCCAGGTTCAAGCAATTCTCCTACCTCAGCCTCCCGAGTAGCTGGGATTATAGGCACCCCCCCATCATGCCCAGCTAGTTTTTGTATTTTTGTAGAGACAGGGTTTCACCATGTTGGCCAGGCTGGTCTTGAACTCCTGACCTCAGGTGATCTGCCTGCCTTGGTCTCCCAAAGTGCTGGGATTACAGGCATGTGCTACCATGCCCTGCCCTGAATCCACATTTTATTTAAAATAAAATGACTTTTAAAAAATGAGTCAGATTTAGAGATACAGATGTGGATCAATTTCCAAAGTATATGGTTAAGTGAAATAAGACAAACTCAGAAGAGTGTGAATAGCATGCCACTGACATTTACACATAGAGGAGGTATTTGTGTATGCATAGACTGTCCTGGGAGGACACACAAGGAATTCAAAGCAAGTTCAGAGGGTGGGAGGCCAATTGACTTTCGATATATACCTTTGAACTTCCACTGGGCCTATGATTATCTCTCAAAAGAATAATCAATCAACTATATTTTAGAAAAAGTAATATTCTCAAAGAGCCTGACAATCTCTTTGCTCCAGTTTTACATTTGCCATTTGCCATACCACATTTTGGTCCATCATTTGTTCATTGGGGAGGATACACAGGCTGGTGGATGGGTGGGCCAGGAAACAGAGCAGCTTCAGCAGCATTTGAGCTTCACATAAACTGCAAAGCTTTGTCTCAGTTTAAACGTTATCTATCTGTACATTTCTAAGCTGAGAGTGTTTGAGGTTAGCCTGCCTTTGAATACTCCTATAAATACCACGGTTTGTGTCACCTGTGCATGTCACTGTGTGTAGACCCCAGAGCACCACCTGCAGGTGCCCACCTTTCTCACCTGCCCTTACTCGTGATGCCGGTAAGGGCTCTTCCACCCTTTGGGGTCCAAGTCACATCATCTTCACGGGACAGCACTACTGAGCTTGAGGCACTCAGTTCTCCTTCCTAATCAGCTTCCTTAGAGTGGACTTGATTTCATAGGGAATAAAAGATTTTCTTTTTTTCCTAGGGAAATAGCTCTCTGTTGAGATACTTTGCCAAGAGAAATAAAACAATATTTTGGTTAAGTTCCACGTTGAATTTCAAAATAAAATATTCAAAATCTGCTGAGCAGGTTACTCCTTTTCAATGTATTTTTGTTATTGCTAGATATTATAATTCCTTGGGTGAGATGTATAATGACTTCAGGGATTTATAATTACCTTGAAAGTAAATTGAGAATTACTTGGTATAATATGTTATGAATAAGATGGTATCTACGTAGAAATTAAACTGTCTTAACAGTTTATTTTATCACTTTCAAAAATTATTGTCATACAAATTCTTTTTTTCTGCTCATTTTCAGAGAATGAGCATTTTTAAGTTTTAAAAGACTCCATCAAATTACCATCACCGAAGATTGTACCAATTTCTATTCTCGACCACAATGTGGAATATGATCCACTGGATGTTATTTGGTCTAAAAAATTCTTGTGGCCATCTGATAGGCAGAAATGTCATTGCCACTTTAATTTGCATTGCCTTGGTTACTAAGTAGACTGATGATCTTTTTATTCATTATCGGTATTTCTTCGTTTTGTGAAATTCCCACTCACTTTCTTTATCCAGTTTTCTATCGAGTTTCCTCATGGACTCCTTTGCATATTAGGGATAGTGACCGTTTCCCTCGTCATAAATGTTGCAACTGTCTCCTTTCCCTCTTTTTTTCATCTAAATTCTTGGTGAGAAATCTACCATATAGATATATTTAATTCATATGTTGTCAAATGTGTCCTTCAAATTAAAATTGGAGTTTCAGGCCAGGCATGTTGGCTCATGCCTATAATCGGAGTACTTTGGGAGGCCAAGGCAGGCGGATCACCTGAGGTCACGAGTTCAAGACCAGCCTGGCCAACATAGTGAAACCCCATCTCTCCTAAAAATACGAAAGTTAGCCAGGCGTGGTGGTGCTTGCCTATAATCCCAGCTACTCGGGAGGCTGAGGCAGGAGAATCGCTTGAACCCGGGCGGCGGAGGTTGCAGTGAGCCAAGATCATGCCATTGCACTCTGGCCTGGATGACAGAGCGAGGCTCTGTCTCAAATAAATAAATAAATTAATTAATTAAATAAAATGAAATTGGAGTTTCACACCATTTTTTGGAGGGGCTTTGCTGTCTGCTTCTCAGTGCTTCCCAGGGTTCTCTCTTGCCCCCGAAGAGCACTCACTGACACCCAGGCCCTGTGGGAGAGCCCCCTTGCTCAGGAGTCATCTTTGCAGGTTCTTTTCTGTTTCTATCACCTCGTCTGGTGGACCTCACACTTGAGCAAGAGGCAGACTCCTCCAGAGGGCTTGAGAAAACCCCAACTGTTCAGAAATCTCAGAGCTTCTGATTCAGGAAGTCTACAGTGGGCCTGAGAATTCGTGTTCTAACAAGTTCCCTGCAGATGCTGCTGATGCTGCTGTTCTGGGACCACACATGGACCACCTGCCTCAAACACTGGTTTGACATCTTGACCTCTCTGGAAGCTATGCCTTTGTTCCCATCTCCCTTGCTTCCACCCAGGGCCAGGTCACATCACATCTCTTCTGGCATCCTTTCACAGCTTCTTCCCCCACATCCTTTGTGACTCTTCTGCCATCCACTCACCACACTGCAGCCAGAGGGATTTCAACAGGGGCTCATGGCACTCCCTTCCAGCTCTTCCCCTTTCGTCATTGGGCCATCTCGTGATTCTCTTCACATCTTTCTGCCCTCTGTGCTCTCCTGCATATGGGCTTTTGGTAGCTACGAAATGCCAGGTTCTTTCTTGCCCCAGGGTCTTTGCACATGCACGTTCTCTTGGCCTGGAAAACCTTCCTTTGCAGTGATATTGGTCATTTTAGTGAGATCACTTTGGCTGTTAGGCTGGTGTGTGGATCAGATCACTTAGCTCTGAATGAATGCAGCTGACAGCCAGCATTCTCTGTCAGAATGGCTTTGTGTTTTGGCTCATTAAGGAGCTCCCAGGAACACTGAAAGAGGGAATATATCTCTAATAAAAATACAAAAATTAGCCGGGCATGTTGGTGCATGCCTGTAATCCCAGCTACTCAGGAGGCTGAGGCATGAGAATTGCATGAATCCAGGAGGTGGAGGTTGCAATGAGCTGAGATCGCGCCACTGCACTCCAGACTGGGCAACAAAGCAAGACTCCATCTCAAAAAATAATAAAATAATATAAATAATAAAATAATAAACTAAAACAGTTTTTTCATCTTGAATATGACTAAGACACAATAGTTGTTAGAATTCTGATTATATCCTTACCATAGGTAGAGATTTTGCTTAAAATACATTTTTTTAAAAGAGAGAGTGTCTGAAAAATCATACTCAATTAGTTCCAGACCCAGACCAAGAATTGAAGTCTCTTGACTTTCAATACTGTGTTACATCTACACAGTTCTTTCTCTGGTGAAGAAAATAAAATTCAGTAAATATTTATCGAGTATTTTTTCATACACAAGGTACTGTAGTAGGTGCTTGGGGTGAGCATGGGGAATATGTGCAGATGACTTCTTGAGTCATGGGTCCTGCCCTCATGGGGCTTACACTGGACTTGTGAAGACAGAATACAAATACAGGCAGGCTTTGCTTCTCGTGGTTCTGATTAAGCATGAAACGAACTCATTTACCATGGTTTCATTAAATAACTCAGTCTTCCAACAACACGGTTCAAATTACAGTTACCATGGCATATTAACTGTGAGTCATTGCATGGAGCACAAATGGGGCTGCTAGCTCTTCAGTCCACAAATCACTATGTAAGTAACAGATGCGCACCACAGTCAGTTACCAATCATGACCTTTATTCCAACACCTGCAGTGCTTGGTGACCAATCGCAGCAAGTTCTTTCAAAATCTGCAGTGATTGGTCATTGTGCATATGTCATTCAATTGCACTGCCAGCAAAGTGTGTAGTTGTGCTGCCTCGGTGATTCTCAGTGATAAACCCAGGTGGCATTTTATAAAAACAGATAATTAGAAGGTCAAATTGGCCAACAAAGATGAAAGTACACAAAAGAAACAAAAAGTGTTAAAGATGGAAGTGAAATTTGAATGGGATGTAAATGGAGTTATAGAAGAAATAGCTGACCATGTGGAGTTATGGAAGACATAGCTGATCATGTGAATGTTGACCCTGCCACCTTCGGAGAAACTCTAGATATACAGCCAGAAGGACTTATTGACAATAAACTTACAGACATAAATGAGGGAAAAGGTCATGACAAAAAGAATGAAGAAGATACCCCAGAGGAAGTAACTCTAGAAAAAAAAAAAAAAGGTGGTGGTGGGGAAACACTTTAAGTTAATGGAACTCTCAGATATATTTTATGACATTGAAAGCACAAAGGGGAAAATGTTGGAAGTGATGCAAACTTAGAAAGGAGTATGCCAATTCACCAAGGCATAATCAAATATCAGTTTTACTGTTCCTTTTCATTTTCCTATTGTTTATAACTGCCAGTAAGAGAGATTTTAATGTTTTTACAAGCATTAGAACGTATCATTGAAAAATCAGGCCGGGCGCGGTGGCTCACGCCTGTAATCCCAGCACTTTGGGAGGCCGAGGCAGGCGGATCACGAGGTCAGGAGATCGAGACCATCCTGGCTAACACGGTGAAACCCCGTCTCTACTGAAAATACAAAAAATTAGCCGGGCGTGGTGGCGGGCACCTGTAATCCCAGCTACTTGGGAGGCTGAGGCAGGAGAATGGCGTGAACCCGGGAGGCGGAGCTTGCAGTGAGCAGAGATCGCGCCACTGCACTCCAGCCTGGGCAAAAGAGCGAGACTCTGTCTCAAAAAAAAAAAAAGAAAGAAAAATCATATTTTCCCCATTGATTATTAATATTTCTTTGCGTGGTTTCAGATTGCATGGTGATTTTTACAGTTCCACAGTACCATGCAAAGTGAATACTACCTGTATATGAATAATTAAGTCATAAGCTGGGTGTGGTGGCTCATGCCTGTAGTCTCAGCTACTTGAAAGGCTGAGGTGGGAGGATCACTTGAGGCCAGGAGTTTGAGACTGGCCCCGGCAATATAGCAAGACCCTGTCCCTACAAAAGAATCAAATAAATTATAGGTCATACAATAAGACATCATGATATGATAGAACAGGTTTCAAAGCAACATGTGACTCATTGCCAGTTAATTTTTATAGATAGTAATTTCCCTAAGAGGTCAAGGGAGAGAGAGATCATCATCATCACATCTATGATGATGAGATGACGATGATGATGATTGATGATGATGATGATGATGATGATGATGATGGTGGGAGAGAACTGGGATGGGCTTTGGAGTTTCCAATTTGGATAGACCCAGTGAAAGAAAAGTGGCATTCTAGGAAAGTGGGCAGATGCCCCTAGCAGCCCATATAATATTGAGCAGATGCTCATAGCAGCCCATATAATATTATTGCCATGAATGATGTCAGTAAGGCAGACTACTTGACTCTGGAATTTCCAGCATCTTCTTTTTTTGACAAATTGTTTTATATCAAAGTGTGTGCCTAAAAAGTGTTTCTCAAGCCATGCATGCTCAGATTACAAAGACTGTGGAATGAAGCACAGAAAATTTGGCTCAACAAACTGAATTGTGCCATGGGCACCTTCTGTCACCAGCCGTATAGAGGCCACCCTCACCTTTACTCTGAGTGAAACATCGCCTCTCAGGTGTTAAGAAGCCTTCCATAAGTTATCTCCAGCAATAATATTAATCACTTATTTTATGGCTTTACAGTTTATTTGTGGTTTTAATAAAAAAACATAGAGACAGCTAGGAAGGTAGGGAGCTGAGGCACCTGGAGAGCTGGTGCTTTGCCTAAAGGGCAGGGCTGCTGCTCGGCTCTTGGAAATGTAGGGACTGTATTGTGAGATCCATTAAAGTTTTTAAAGGAAGCCATAAATCTTGGCTTAATATGAAGTTTTTGAACTTGAAAAAGTTGACTCAAACTTTTAAAACATACATCATCTTGCAGGGTAAATGGCCTGCCCCTGTGCCTGATCTGGCTGCCAGTTTGTAACTGCTTTGTAAGACAATGGTGCTGTCTTACACACAGTGTTCATCTAATTTGGACAAAGTAGGGATTATAATGCGATTGTTATGACCAGTTTCCACATGAGGAAATAGGCTTATGGAGCTTAAGTAACTTGTCCAAGGAAGCACTGGTGTTAGGTAGTGGACCCAGGAACCTGATGCCTAACTTGATCCTTTTTCTCCTCTATATCAGCTTCTTAAAGTTTGCTCTATCAACTGTGAGAATCAAATGAAAACCTCAACCACCAGCCCTCAGAAGGTCCTGGACCAAGGGAGTTCTAGGGAACTGGGAAGCAGAACCTCATGGTCTGTCTCTTTAGAGCATCACCATTGTGATCAATTTGAATCCATCTCCATCCTTATTAGTCTAAATGAATAGATGGTCAATACAGCCTTCAAGTAATCCTGCATCATTATTATTTCTCTTACTTAAGCTTTCTGTGCATGCTCAGCAGCAATACATTTGAACCTATCTTCCCTGACATGTCCTGTGATGCACGTTGCCTATTAAGTTCATAGTCACATGATTTAACATCCAGTAGAGCTGAGAATATGGTTTAAAAATCCTCTTAAAAATGATGGACTTGCTATCAACATGTTCTAAAAGGATGAACATTCCCTGCATGGAGATGGGATGAGGAAGTACCCTTGGACTGGGTCAAGATTTTAGGTCACTTTGGCCGGGCGCCGTGGCTCATGCCTGTAATCCCAGCACTTTGGGAGGCCGAGGCGGGCGGATCACGAGGTCAGGAGACCGAGACCATCCTGGCTAACACGGTGAAACCCCGTCTCTACTAAAAATACAAAAAATTAGCCGGGCGCGGTGGCGGGCGCCTGTAGTCCCAGCTACTCCGGAGGCTGAGGCAGGAGAACAGCGTGAACCCGAGAGGTGAAGCTTGCAGTGAGCCAAGATCACGCCACTGCACTCCAGCCTGGGCGACAAAGCGAGACTCTGTCTCAAAAAAAGAAAGAAAGAAAAAAAAGATTTTAGGTCACTTCAACAATGGATGAATGGAAGCCTCAAAATTTGTTACCATACATTTAGTAGTTTTAGTTTGAAAATTTTAAAACAGATATAATCTTAGTGATAAAATATCTCATCAGTGCAATGATAAAATATCTCATCAGTGCAATGATGAAATAGCTTTAAACCATGTCATGACCTGATGAACACCTCAAGCAAAACTAGCTGCAAAATGTTCTCTTAAATAACTGACTAAATAAAATTTCTGAATCAATATTATTATTACTGTTAAGCCAGTTAAATAATGGGCATTGGCCCAAAATGATGATTTTAGAATACTTAATCTGTAGTTAAACATAATTTGTTACTAGAGAATTGCAAATCACCACAATAATGACATACCCCCACACATCTACTAGAATGGCGGACATCCAAAAACCAACAATACCAACTGCTGGAGGGGATGTGGAGCAACAGGAATGTTCATTTATTGGTGGGAATGCAAAAATGGTACAGCCACTTTGGAAGAGAATTTGCGCTTTCTTACAAAACTAAACCTAGTCTTTTTCTTTTTTTTTGAGACAGGGGTCTCACTCTGTTGCCCCGGCTAGAGTGCGTGGTGTGATCTTACCTCACTGCAACCTCTGCCTCCCAGGCTCAAGAGATCCTCCATCCTCAGCCTCCTTAGTATCTGGGACTACACGGTGCATGCCATGAGGCCTGGCTAATCTTTGTATATTTTGGAAACACAGGGTTTCATCATGTTGCCCAGGCTGGTCTTGAACTCCTGGGCTCAAGCAATCCACACTCCTCGGCCTCCCAAAATGCTGGGATTACAGACATGAGCCACTGTGCCCAGCCTAAACATAGTCTTACTACCAGAGTCAACAATCACACTCAGGTGATTTGAAACTGAACTGATTTGGAAGCGTATGTCCCTACATAAACCAGCATGCCAATGTTTATAGCAGCTCTATTCATAATGGTCCAAAATTAGAAGCAACCAATATATCCTTCAATAGGTGAATGGATGAACAAACTATGGTACATTCACACAATAGAATATTATTCAGCAACTAGAACTGAGCTATCAAGCCCGACAAAGTTATGGATGAATCTTTTTTTTTTTTTTTGAGACAGAGTTTCGCTCTTGTTGCCCAGGCTAGAGTGCAATGGCGCAATCTCGGCTCACTGCAACCTCCGCCTCCCGGGTTCAAGCGATTCTCCTGCCTCAGCCTCCTGAGTAGCTGGGATTACAGGCATTCACTACCAGGCCTGGCTAATTTTGTATTTTTAGTAGAGATGGGGTTTCTCCATGTTGGCCAGGCTGGTCTCGAACTCCTGACCTCAGCTGATCCACCTGCCTCAGCCTCCCAAAGTGCTGGGATTACAGGCATGAGCCACCGCGCCTGACTCTAGTTATGGATGAATCTTAAATGCATATTGCTAAATGAAATAAACTAGTCTGAAAAAGCAATATACTGTATGAGTCCAACTATATGACATTCTGGAAAAAGCAAGCGACAGAGACAATAAACAGATCAGTGTTTGCCAAGAGGTTAGAAGTTGGGGGGATGATTGAATAGGTGAAGCACAGGGATTTTTTTTTTTGTATGAGTGATACTATAATGGCATATACAAGGATTTGGCAAAACCCTATGGGGGATTTCTATCAACTTTACAGTGCAGAGAGCAAACCCTAATCAGGTAAATTTAAAAAAAATTAGGAGCCGAGTGCGGTGGCTCACATCTGTAATCCCAGCACTTTGGGAGGCTGAGATGAGAGGATCATTTGAGTTCAGGAGTTCAAGACCAGCCTAGTTAGCATGGCGAAAGCCTGTCTCTACTAAAAAATACAAAAATTAGCTGGGCATGGCGGCGGGCGCCTGTAATCCCAGCTACTCGGGAAGCTGAGGCAGGGAGAATGGCTTGAACCCAGGAAACAGAGGTTGCAGTGAGCCGAGATCATACCACTGCACTCCAGCCTGAATAACAGAGCAAGAATCTGTCTAAAAAAAAATAAAAAAATAAAAATAATTAGGATGTTGGGGAACCCAGAATGAGAGGCAGAATGCGACAAAAGGATCTAAATGTACCACAAATGTATGGAACAATGTTGTTGAAGGAGATGAGGAATAAAGTGCTGGCTTAGGTATCTTTGGAAATGAATGACTAAAGGCACAGGAACTCTACATACACACTCTATTCTAGCTGATAAAGTTGCGCCCCCTAGGGATATGAGCTAACAATTCTGAAACCACCGTACACGTATAACTGGGATTAAAGAATTAACTAAAGTAAGCAAATAATGGAAGCTAGGCTCCTCACTGCAGGCGTGGGAGATTCCAGATAAAGAGAGGAGTCTGGAAGGATCTATGTGGTAATGGATTAGAGGTGAAGCATTCAGTAGGAACTCATGCTTCTCAATATAGATGCAGATGGTTACACACAGCATTATATATATGCAGAGGTATATCTATAAATGGTTACATATAGAATTATAGATGCAGACAGTTACATTAAAAGTAACAGCAAAACCGCAATTACTTTTGCACAAACCTAATATATTTTGCTCTTCTGCCAACTGAGCAGGCCTACAAGCAATGAAGCAATGACTCCCCAGTAGCAACGAGCATACCTACTGCTCAGAGCTTGGTTTCTAATACCATTTTCAGTGGAAGGAACCAGGGCTTTTTTGAGAAAGGCTGAACCTAGGACTCAGGTTGGAAATATACAGGATAAGCCGGGAGCATCTTTTAGTGCCAGAAAATAACGAAGTGCTCACAAAATAAATTCCCATAAAGATAGGGTTATGTTAAAGGGACACATAGGCCAACTGAAAGAGCCCCCAAAGTCCAAAGCTAGAACAATTTGAACACCAAAAAAAGGAGGCTATAACCCAAAACATAAATATCCATGAGACCATATTTATATAAATAAATATATGTCCAAAATGTCCTTCAGTAGGTGAATGAAGGATAGATTAATTTATATAAATAAACAGTCCAGTAAATAAGTAAAGACACAGTGAAGAAGAGACAAACCCGAGCAGAAGAACTTCAATCTGTGTAGCTGCTCTTAAGAAGGTGAAGCATAGATAAGACTTTAGATAAGGAATGCCTGAGAAGCTGACACACCACGAGGAGCTGTAGGAGACGCGACAACTAATTATACTGTGGACGTGTGTTCTGGATGGGATCCCAAAAAGAACATTAGGGAGAAAAACAGGAATTCTGGACAAAGTATGGACTCCAGTGAATAATAATGTGTCAGTATTGTTTCATTGATTGTGACAAATCTACCAGATTAAGGTAAGATGTTAATAATAATAGGGGAAAATGGGTATGGAACATTTGGGAGCTCTATGCTACTTCAGTAATTATTCTGTAATTCTATAGCTACCCTAAAACACAAAAGCTTATTTTATTTTATTTTATTTTATTTTTGAGACGGAGTTTCACTCTGCCGCCCAGGCTGGAGCGCAGTGGCGCGAACTCAGCTCACTGCAACCTCCGCCTCCCAGGTTCAAGAGATTCTCCTGCCTCAGTTCCCTCCCCGCTGGGTTTACAGGTGTGTGCCATCACACCTGGCTAATTTTAAATTTTTTTTTTTTTTTTTTTTGAGACAGAGTCTGACTCTGTCGCCCAGTCTGGAGTGCAGTGGCGTGATCTCGGCTCACTCCAAGCTCCGCCTCCTGGGTTCACGCCATTCTCCTGCCTCAGCCTCCCCAGTAGCTGGGGCTACACGTGCCTGCCACCACGCCCGGCTAATGATTTTTGTATTTTTAGTAGAGACGGGGTTTAACCGTGTTAGCCAGGATGATCTCGATCTCCTGACCTCGTGATCCGCCCGCCTCGGCCTCCCAAAGTGACTAATTTTTAAATTTTTAGTAGAGAGGGGGCTTCACCTCATTGGTCATGCTTGTCTCGAATTCCTGACCTCAAGTGATTTGCCCACCTTGGCCTCCCAAAGTGCTGGGATTACAGGCGTGAGCTACTGTGCCCAGCCCCCACAAAAGTTTATTTTTTAAAAAGCAAATCAGATTGCATTATCCTCTGCTTAAAGCCCTTTCAGTCATTCACTCATTCAAAAAATTCATGAGTGACTCCTATGTTCTGGCCACCGTGTACATTGCTGAGGATTTAATCATGAGCAACGAAAACATCGATTCTTATAGTTTAATAGGGGAGATTAGATCTATTGCACCTCTGGAGAAGAGGTTCAAGGAGCTGGCAGAGCCTGTACAGGGACCTGACCAGGTTAGGAGCACAGGGGAGGCTGCTCCCAGGTGAGAGTTGGGAGGCATGTCGGGGAGGAAGCTCCTACACGCTAGGAAACTTGTAAAAGCCAAGGTGGTTACTGAAGAACAGTGGGAGGTGAGGCTGCCAGGATTGGCAGGGCCCATTAGGGGAACTAATAGACCTTATTCAGGATCCTGGCTTGTCCCAAGAGTGATGAGAACCACAACTTATCCTCCCTATCTGTTTCAGTCATATGAGTCTAGAGATACAGCCTGTTGCGCTCATAGCTGCATCCTCACCACCTAGCAGAAGGTCAGGAAGAAATTTTTATTTCCTTTTTTTTTAAACCTTTTTGGAAAACGATTATAGATTCACTAGAAGTTGCAAAAAAAATGTGCAGGAAGGTCCTCTGTACCCTTCATCCAGTTTCCCCCACCATAACATCTTGTATAACTATAGTACAATATCAAAACTGAGACATTAACATTGATACAATCCATAGAGCTTATTGAGATTTCAGCAGTTTCATAGTACTTACTTGTGTGTATATAGTTCTATGCAATTCTGCCACATTTGCAGATTTATGTAACCACCACAATCAAGATACTGTTACATCACTGCAAGCCACACTCACCACACCCTTCCATAACAGCCATTATTATGATTCCCTGGCAACCATCAGTCTGTGCCCCTTCTATATACATTATATTGATAATTGACATGCACAGAGTGACCTGACGCAATGTGAAAAGCATTCTCTGTTTTTGATGCATAAAGTAGATTGGAGGAGGCAAGGACAAATATAAGAATATCAGCTAAGGGAAGAAATGATAGTCAAAGGGTGAACATTGCTGAGTGAGCAAGCTGGAAGCCATGGACAGGGCATGGGCTGTTTGTGGATTTGCTATTTTGGAGGAGAACAGCTTCTGGTGAAGACAAAATCCTAGGTATGCCTATGGGAGGGGGCAGCTGAGATGGAGTGGACTGGGACATACAGAGGAGGAGTCAAGAGGCTGTCACTGGTGGGGGAGTTGTCACGGGGATGTTGAAGTTACTCAGGGTGATGCAGGCTTGAGTGGAGAAGCTATCAGGAATGAATGAGGGCATACCAGCCACAAAGAGCAGAGAATAGAAGAGTGGATTTTGCCCTGACATTAGCTTGTTAACTGGCACAGGAGGTGAGCCAAGTGACACAGTGGGAGAGTACGTTATAGCTAAATGGCAGGCTGTAACTATACATATAGTTATATGACATAGTTGTAGAAACATAGACACAAGGAACAAACGGAAGGAAAGTTCTAGAGCAGTGCTAGTAAGTAACAGATCTGGACTGCAGAGAGATTTGCTATGGTTCGAATGTGTCCCTCTGTCTTAGTCTATTTGTGTTGCTGTAATGAATATCTGAGGCTGGGGAATTTCTAAAGAAAAGAGGTTTATTATTCGGCTCATGGTTCTGCAGGCTGTTACAAGAAGCATGGTGCCAGCATCTGCTTCTGGTAAGGGCCTCAGGGAGCTTCCACTCATGGTGTAAGGTGAAGGGGAGCTGCTGTGTGCAGAGATTGCAGAGATCACATAACAAGAGAGGAAGCAAGAGAGAAGGGAGATGCCCATTCTTTTGAACATCCAGCTTTTGCAGCAACAAAGTAGAGTGAGAATTCACTCACTTCTTCCCCACCCCCACCAGGGACAGCATTAATCTATTCATGAGGGATCCATCCTCACAACCCAAACACCTCCCGTGAGACCCCAGCTTCAACACTGAGGATCAAATTTCAATGTGAGGTTTGAAGAGGTGAAACATCCAAACTATAGCACCCCCAAGAAGCATGTGTTGTAAACGGAATCCCCAGTGCAACAGTGTTAACAGGTGGGAACTTTAAGAGGGAATTAGGCCCTGAGGGCTCCGCCCCCCGCAAATGGATTAACTTTATCATGGG
Organism: Homo sapiens; assembly: GCF_000001405.40. Classification (NCBI taxonomy): domain Eukaryota; kingdom Metazoa; phylum Chordata; class Mammalia; order Primates; family Hominidae; genus Homo; species Homo sapiens. Next base: position 1,876,647 of record NT_187660.1, on the reverse strand, counting down.
AGTGAGCTTGAATTTGGCCTTCTTGCTTTCTCTCACTCTCTCATCATCCACCATAGGATGACATGGTAAGAAGGCCCTCATCAGATGTCAGCCCCTCAGTCTTGGACTTCCCAGCTTCCAGAGCCATAAGCCAATACGTTTCTTTATAAGTTATTCAGTTTCAGGTATTCTGTTATAGCAACACAAAACAAAGACAGGCCCCTTGTCTCCTTCCCTGAACCTAGACCTATAGGAATTTCATGAGCATGACTTGCCTGATTTTGGCACAGATGAGAGATGGGTTGGAAAGATCAGACCTGGCTTGAGGAAGCCCTTGCCATGCCTGGGTGCCAGCAGAACCAGGGGGCAGAGAGAGCAAGGATGGTGTATCCATCTGTGAAGGCAGCCGTAACAAAGTACCCCAAACTGGGTGGTTTAACAACAGAAATTTGTCACTTCACAGTTGTGGAAGCTAGAAGTCCAAGATCAAGGTGTCAGGAGGGCCACGCTTTCTCTGAAATTTGTTGGGGAGAATCCTTCCTTCCTCTTCTAGTTTCTGTGTTTGCCAGCCATCCTTGGCATTGCTTGGCTTGAAGATACACACTTGGTTTGTAGAAACATCTGTGTTTTCTCTCTTCTTCTTCTTCTTCTTCTTCTTCTTCTTCTTCTTCTTCTCTTTTGAGATGGGGTCTCACTCTGTCACCTAGGCTGGAGTGCAATGGTGTGATCGATGCTTGAATTCCTGGGTTTCAAATGATCCTCCCACCTCAGCCTCCTGAGTAGCTGGGACTACAGGTGTGCACCACCATGCCTGGCTGTATTTTTTTATTTTTTGCAGAGATGGGGTCTCCCTCTCAAAGTGCTGGGATTGCAGGTGTGAACCACCGCACCCAGCCTTCTCTTTTTATGAGGATACCAGTCATTTTGGATTAGGGCTCACTGTAGTGACCTCATTTTAACCTGATTCTATCTGCAAAGATCCTATTTCAAAATAAAGACACATTCACAGTTACTGGAGATTTGGATTTCAACGTACCTTTTAGGAGACATAATTCAACCCATAACAGGTAGCAGGTAGGATGGGGGTCACTGCCCTACATATGGGGTCTGCTCATCCATGAAATAAGTCACTCCTTTTGGGGAAGAAGCAAGTGAGGAGTCGAGAAGCCCGAGCTGTGTGTTCTGATACTGCCCCTTCCAGGGCATGAAGACGGGAAATAAGTTTTCCCTTAACAATAATCTTCTAAAATTGAGTGAGTTCTTTAAAAGAAAATGCAAAACTAATTAGGCATTGATCTCAAGAAAATTAATTATTTAGAAGGAATTGATTTGCCACAGCATCTCCCAGAAGAGACAAGTTTTCTCAAATCTTTTGGTACATTACAGTGTTTTTTTAAATATTTCAGGAAAAAAAGGATGTTTTTAGATAGAAAGAAATGAGAAATTGTATTTAATAATGTTTGACAGAAGATTGGCAAAAGAACAACTGACAGCAATGTTTGAAGGTTTAATTAATGTGTAAGATGAATGCAGAAAGTATTAATAGCTACTAGTTTACACAGCAGTTTGTTAAACTTCTGAAGAGAATCACATTATAGATCCCCTGGGGCATTATTTGCATATTAACAGGAAGTTATGTTAGAACATTTATAAAGCACAGGCTTCTTATCAGTGTGTTTATGAATATTTGGCTCCCTTAAAAACCTTTTGTGTTGTGTCTTTAAACATACCATTATATCAATCATGTAAAATTTCCCTTCCTTCCCTCCTTCTCCCCTTCAAGTGTATTTTTTTTTCTTTTTCTTTTTTTTTTTTTTTTTTTTTTGAGACGGAGTCTTGCTCTGTCGCCCAGGCTGGAGTACAGTGGCGCCATCTCTGCTCACTGCAACCTCTGCTTCCTGGGTTCAAGCAATTCTCCTGCCTCAGCCTCCTGAGTAGCTGGGACTACAGGTGCCTGCCACCACGCCTGGCTAATTTTTTGTATTTTTAGTAGAGACGGGGTTTCTCCATGTTGGTCAGGCTGGTCTCGAACTCCTGACCTCAGGTGATCTGCCCACCTCGGCCTCGCAAAGTGCTAGGATTACAGGCGTGAGCCACCGCGCCTGGCCTTGAACTCATACTTGTTGCTGCTGTTGTTTTCAGAACCTGTGACGTGAACTCTTACTTACAAATGCGCCAGGATGTGGATTGGATAAGGCAGAGCTCCTCTGAAGAGGCAGGCATGAGGGTCAGAGTGGCCGATATCTACTTCCTGACCCTAAGGTGGTCGCTGAACCTGGCCATGGAACCCCAGGCACCTCAGAAGGGACACAAGAGAACACTCAGGGAACCAGATGGCTCTGAGACCCCCTGAGGCCTTCTTCCCATTCCAACACCATATCTCTTCAAACCTCAGTGGCCCAGCTGCAAGGGCATTCAAAGGACAATAAGATCTTCTGATCATTTTTTGTGTTGGATAGGGCAGCATGATAATGTGACCCATTACTGTGGGTAATGACATAGAGAAAGAAATTCACTGGGAGTGAGCTGTGTGAGGATGCTGAAGACCTCTGAATGGTGAGAGTGCATTTCAAAGTTCACAAGTTGCTTTTACACGCATCACCTCCCTCACAACAATCCCGTGTATAATCCCCACCTTCCGGATGAGGAAACGGATGCAGGAATATTGAGCAGCCTGTCCCAGGTTACAGAGCTGGAAGGAGTTGCCAGTGGAGGCCAGGTGTCTTGATTCCAAGCCTACTGTTTTTCCTACTGTCTGTATCACAGCTGCCTGCCTTGACTAATCTGACGCAGACAAAGTCTGGAAGGAATAGAGTTGACATCCGAATAGCTGTAAATCCGCAGCGGGGCAGGCAGTCTATGTTAGCATCTAAAAGGCTGCAGAGGTAGCGGAGGGAAAGCTGAATGCGGTGTTCATGGCCACAGTTTCCTTTCATTCTATAAAGAGTGTGCTTGTCAAGCACCATCTGGAAGATGATATGCAGCCCCTTCTCCGTGACGAATGAAGACACGCAGAGGCAGATTCCAGAACAGCATCTACATCTTTGTTCATTGATGTCAGACACAAAATTGAGTTGTTTAAAAACTTGCTCTCAAATACAGAACAAAAGTCATGGTGCAGGAAGGTCATATGGAACTTGGACGAGCCAAGAAGGCGAGGTTTTAATCTGAAATTGTAAACAAACATGCTCTGGTAGAGATTTTAAAAACCTTTTTATGGAAAGACAAAACAGACACAGAAATCCACCCAAATCAAGTGTGGAGCTGGATAAGTTATTGTGAGGTGAGTGGGCTTGTAATCACCCTCTCTGGTCAAGAAATTAAACTTTGCCAGCTGCCCCAGAATCTCCTCCACGTGCCTGGCCCCAATGACAATCCTCTTCCTTCTCTTTCAAAGTAGTCACTCTCTGATTTATAGTAATCACTTCCTTTCATTTCTGTATGGTTTTATCACTCAAGTAGCTATCCCTAGACACTGTAGTTTAGCCTTTTTTTTCTTTTTTCTTTTTTTTTTTTTCTGAGACAAGGTCTCGCTCTGTCACCCAGGCTGGAGTGCAGCGGCACAATCATGGGTCATGGCAGCCGCAACTTCCCAGGGCTCAAGTGATCCTCTCACTTCATCCTCCTGAGTAGCTGGGACTACAGGTGCGTCCCACCATGCCAGGCTAATTTTTTTGTATTTTTTGTAGAGACAGGGTTTCATTATGTTGCCCAGAACTCTAAGCTCAAGTGATCTGCCTGCCTCAGCCTCCCAAAGTGCTAGGATTACAGACATGAGTCACAGCCCCGGCCTATAGTTTAGTCTTGTCCATTAAAAATTTGTACTATGTCATCAAGTCTCTTTTAATGTACAGGTTTCCTCTTTCTCCTTCCTTCCTTCCTTCTGTCTTTCTGTCTTTTCTTTCCTTCCTTCCTTCCTCCCTCCCTCCCTCCCTTCTCCTTCTCTCTCTCTCTCTCTCTCTCTCTTTCTCTTCCTTCCTTCCTTCCTCCCTCCCTCCCTCTCTCTCTCTCTCTCTTGATCTCTCTTTCTTTTCTTTTTGATACAGAGTCTTGCTCTGCTGCCCAGGCTGGAATACAGTGGCACAATATCTGCTCACTACAACCCCGGCCTCCCAGGTTCAAGCGATTCTCCTGCCTCAGCCTCCTGGGTAGCTGGGATTACAGGCGCCCGCCACCCTCTATCCCTTTCTTTTCCCTGCAATTTACAGGCTGAAGTGCCTAGGACATTTGGAGTCTGGAGTTTGCCAAGTGTACCCTCTTGGTGCAGTTCAACATGATTACTCTGTCTTCTGAGTTTCCTGAAAATTGGTACCTGGAACTGGACTGAATTGGAGTCTGGCTTGATCCCCATTGCAGGATATAAATGGCTTGTTCTTTCATCAGGAGGCCTTCATGTCTTGTTTCAATTCATGTCTTTTTTCAATGTTAGCCGCTGTCGATGCTCAGTGCCTGTATCTTTTAACTAATTGTGATTTGCAAAATGATGACATTTTAATTCAATATCTTTTTCAATTATTGTTTGCAGTATTATTACAAAAAGACACTTCCAGCCGGGCGTGGTGGCTCACACCTGTAATTCCAGCACTTTAGGAAGCTGAGGCAGGCAGATCACTTGAGATTAAGAATTTGAGACCAGCCTGGCCAACATGGTGAAACCCCGTTTCTACTAAAAATACAAAAATTAACCAGGCATGGTGGTGCATGCCTGTAGTCCCAGCTACTCGGGAGACTGAGGCCAGCAGATTGCTTGAACCAGGCGGCAGAGGTTGCAGTGAGCTGAGATCATACCACTGCTCTCCAGCCTGGGTGACAGAGCGAGACTGTCTCTCAAAAAATAAAAAAAGACACTTCCTCTCATCTACTAACTGGTTTCCCAATGATACACTTCATATAGGAAGGCAAGATAATTGTTTTCTAATTTGCCAGGTTTTAAGATAATGAGTTGTTTTCCTATCATCCTCTGAGGGCAACCAGTGAGTTTTAAAACATATGATTATAAACTTCTGAATTTAAACATATTTGGTAGGTTTGAATGCCTTACAATGAGTATTCTTATTGGCACTCAGAAAAAAATTGTTTTAATCTTTAGCAAATAAGAACATCTAAAGTGGGCTCCTGAACCGTTTTGTCATCGCTCTAGTATAACAGTCTTTCACAGCTCTTTTGCAGTCCTGTATGATCCCAAACTTCAGCTCAGCCATTTCTCTTCTTGAGAAATGGTGTAATATTTCAGGACCATAGTTGGGGCCCTTGGGATGTTCATTGCTACTGGGTTGGTCATTGTTTCTAGATTTTTTCAGTGGACAGAGCTACGAAACACACACACACACACACATACACACACACACACACACACACACACACACACACACGGTTAGCTACACAGATAGACAGCCTATCTCATGAACTCATATTCCCATTTCTAGTTCAAATTCAGGACTACAGAGTTCTGTATGTAACCTAGCCTGGGTATGTCTCCAACTCCTTTCCTCTACCTCGAGAATTTGGTTTTCAAGAACACAAGGGATGATAGAATATCCCATAATACCTCATTTGCTTAATCTTGTATTATGCTAAGTATCTCCCCATGCTAATACTAATACTACCAGAATCAATTGATTACTGCAAGTAGTTCCCAGTTTTACATATGTTTTCCCCATTCAACTCGTTTTTAAAAATAGCCAAATTACATCTATATTGTCAGAGCATATAATCAGAGCATACTATACTTTCTTTCTTTTTTCTTTTCTTCTTTTTTTTTTTTTTGAGACAGTATCTTGCTCTGTTGCCCAGGCTGGAGTGCAGTGGTGCAATCTTGGCTCATTGCAACCTCCCCGTCCCGGGTTCAAGTGATTCTCGTGTCTCAGCCTCCTGAGTAGCTGGGTGTGCACCACCACGCCCAGCTAATTCTCCTGACCTAAAGGGATCCGCCCACCTTGGCCTCCCAAAGTGCTGGGATTACAGGTGTCAGCCTCTGTGGCCAGCCTATACTTTCTTTTTAACCCTCCATTGGTCTTTTAGAAAAATAACACCTTTACGAAATATAATTCACATACCATAAAATTCACTCTTTTAAAGTGTACGCAATTCATTGTTTTTTAGTATAGTCACAGAGTTCTGCAACCATCACCACTATCCAATTTTAGAACTTTTTTGTCACCTGAAAAAGAAACCTCTACCCATTAGTAGAGATTCCCATTCCTCCTCCTTCCAGCCCTGACAGCCATTAATCTATTTTCCTTCTCTCTGTGGATTTGCCTCTTCTGGGCATTTCATACCAATAGAATCGTGGCCTTTTGTGACTGGCTTTTTTCACTTAGCATAATATTTTCAAAATTCATCTGTGTTATAGCATGTATCAATAGTTAATTACTTTCTGTGGCTGAAAATACTGTCTAGTTGGGATATACCACATTTTGTCTGTTCATTCATCTGTTGAGGGATATATAGGTTGTTACCATTTTTGGCTATTATGAATCATAGTGCTGTCAATATTTGTATATTAGTTTTTGTGCGAAAATACATTTTCAGTTCTCTTGGGTATATACCTATGACTGGAATTGCTGAGTCATATGGTAAATCAAAGTTTAACATGTTGAGAAATTGCCAGACTGTTTTCCAAAGTGGTTGTGCCATTTTTTTTTTTTTTTTTGAGACAGAGTCTCACTCTGTTGCCCAGGCTGGAGTGCAATGGCGGGATCTTGGCTCACTGCAAGTTCCGCCTTCTGGGTTCACGCCATTCTCCTGCCTCAGCCTCCCAAGTAGCTGGGATTACAGGCGCCCGCCACCGCGCCCGGCTAATTTTTTGTATTTTTAGTAGAGACGGGGTTTCCCCGTGTTAGCCAGGATGGTCTCGATCTCCTGACCTCGTGATCTGCCGGCCTCGGCCTCCCAAAGTTCTGGAATTACAGGCGTGAGCCACCGCGCCCGGCCTGTGGTTGTGCCGTTTTATGTTCCACTGGCTGTATAAAGGCTCCACTTTCTCCATATCCTCACCCACACTTTCTCTCGTCCATAGTTTTGATTATGATCATCTTTTCATGTGTGTGTGAAGAGGTGTCTCACCATGGTTTTGATTTGCATTTCCCTAATGACTGATGATGTTGGGCATCTCTGCATGTGCTTATTGGCTATTTCTTTTTTTCGAGGGTTTCACGCAATTCAATATGATTTGAAAATGATCAGAGATAAATTTCAGTGAATCAATAATTTTGAAAATGGATGTGCTTCTCTGAAAAATTAGGAATGATGTTGAAACTCCTGTTTAAGTGTATATAGGGGTATAAAAGTATATAAGGATTTCCCAGTTAGCTTCAATCCTTGTTGTCTTATAAAGCACTCATTTTCATGTATTTTTCTGAGGTACATATTAGCTCTCTGATGTAATTAGGTGTATATAAGAGGAATGCAACATAATTTGTATTCATCTTTAACTTTACAATGAATGGAGAAACAACTAAATCATTCTATCCATCATCTATCTATCTATCTATCTATCTATCCATCGATCTTTGAGTTTACTGTTTATATTTTTCCAGCTTTATTGAAGTATAATTGACAAAATTGTATATATTTAAGATATGAAATGTGATGACTTGATATACATATACATTATGAAATTGTTTCCATGATTAAGTAAATTAATACATCCATCATCTCACATAATTACCATTCTTTGTGTATGTGAACACTGAAGATCTGTCTTAGCAAATTTCAAATACAAAATACAGTGTTATTAACAATAATCAGCATGCTGTACATTAGATTCTCAGAGCTTACTCATCTTATAAGTGAAAGTTTTTGCCCTTTGACCAACATCTCCCCATTTCCCCCACCCCAAAGTCCCTGGCAGCCACTATTCTACTCTGTTTCTGTGAGTTTAACTTTTTTAGATTCCACATGTAAGTGAGATCATACACTGTTTGTCCTTCTCTGCCTGGTTTATTTCATTTAGCATAATGTCTTCTGTGTTCATATATGTTGTTGCAAATGACAGGACTTCCTTCTTTTTTATGGCTGAATAATATTCCATTTCATACACACACACACACACACACATGCACACACACATACATTTAAAAAATTCCTTCATCCATCAATGGATGGTTAGGTTGATTCCATAACTTGACTATTGTGAATAATGCTGCAATGAAGATGAAGTGCAGATATCTCTTCAAGATATAGATTTTGTTTTCTTCAGCGGCCATTTCTTTCCTTTGTTGGAGAAACATCACTTCAGATCTTTTGCCCACTTTTTAATTGGGTTGTTTATTTCCTTACTGTTGAGCTGCAACAGTTTACAAATACGTTTACTGTATTTGTAGGATAAATATATACATTTATTTTCTGATATTAGACCCTTAAGCGATACATGATTTGCAAACATTTTTTCCCTATCTGTGCATTGTCTTTTCATTTTCTTGATAGTGTCTTTTGAAAAAAGTTTTAATTTTGATGAAGTCCAATTTATCTATTTTTTTCTTTGGTTGCTTGTGATTTAGGTTTCATAGCTAAGAAACCACTTCCAATCCAGGGTCAAGTACATGTACACCTATATTTTCTTCAAAGAGTTTCACAGTTTTAGTTCTTACATTAGGCCTTTCATGGATTTTGAGTTAATTGTTGTATATGGTGTGAGGAAAGGGCCCTCATTTACTTTCAGTTCTAAAAGGAGCAATATATCAGTGCTCACCATCTATACTTATGTCAATGTCTGTCTAGTTATTTTGGTTGTTTGAAGCACATTAACACAATTCTTCAGAAAGGGATTATGGGGAACAAGATTCCTTGAATTTTTGCACATTGATGATAGTTTATCTGCATCCTTACTTTTTAAAAAAATTATTATTATTAGTTTTTAAGTTCCAGGGTACATGTGTAGGATGTGCAGGTTTGTTACATAGGTAAATGTGTGCCATGGTGGTTTGCTGCACCTATCAACCCATCACCTAGGTATTAAGCCCAGCATGTATTAGCTCTTTTCTCTAATGCTCTCCCCCTCATTGCTCTCCCCTGACATGCCCCAGTAAGTGTTGTTCCCTCCCTGTGTCCATGTGTTCTCATTGTTCAGCTCCCACTCGTAAGTAAGAACATGCATGTTTGGTTTTCTGTTCTTGCATTAGTTTGCTGAGGATAATGGCTTCCAGCTTCATCCATGTCGCTGCAAAGAACATGATCTTGTTCCTTTTTATGGCTGCATAGTATTCCCTGGTGTATATGTACCACATTTTCTTTATTCAGTCTATCTGTGTCCTTTCTACTTGAAATTTAGTTTTACTGGATATAAAATCTTTGAGTAATATTTTCTTTACTTGATTTTCCTTAAAATGCTTTCATGTCATTTTTCTGGCATAATGAATTATTGTCCAATATTTTATTTCCCTTTTAAGTCACCTGGTCTTTTTGCCGTGATCCCCCAAAATATCTTCTTTTTCTTTAGAGCTCAGAAATTTTATTCCAATATATTTTGGTCATGATCATTCTGGTTTGATATTGTCTGGTACAGAGTATCCTCCTTTAATGTGCAATTTCAAATCTTTTTAAAAATTCAGGGCTGGGCACGGTGGCTCATGCCTGTAATCCCAGCACTTTGGGAGGCCAATGGGGCGTGTCATGAGGTCAGGAGTTCGAGACCAGCCTGACCAACATGGAGAAACCCCATCTCTACTAAAAATACAAAAATCAGCCAGGCGTGGTGGCGCCTGCCTGTAATCCCAGCTACTCAGGAGGCTGAGGCAGGAGAATCGCTTGAACCTGGGAGGCAGAGGTTGCAGTGAGCCAAGATTGTGCCACTGCACTCCAGGCTGAGCAACACAGTGAGACTTCATCTCAAAAAAAAATAATAAAATAAAATAAAATAAAATAAATTCAGGATTATTTTCTTGAGAGACAGTTCTTAATATTTGTTTTGTTCCCTTGCTTTGGTTTCCCTTTTCAGAAACTCCTTTCAGCCATATGTTGGATCTTCTTTAACACTCTTCAAATATGCCACTATCTAAAATCTTTTCTATCTTTTTAATTTCTTTATGATCTTAAAAATTTTCCTCCTTTTTGCTTTTTATTGCTCCTCAGGTTTTTATTTATTGTGTTTATTCACTCTTGTACTGCTTTTTGTTTAGTCTTTATTTCTGAAATTCTTTTTTCCTTTCATTTCTGTTTTACATGTAAGTCCGTCCATGATTCATTTTGAATACATTGTTGTATAAAGTGTGAGGTTTAAATAGAAGTTGTTATTTATTTGTTTTTGCTTACAGATGTCCATTTGCTCCAATACCATTTGTTGAAACAGTTATTTTCTTCCTGTATTGAATTGCTTTTGCACCTTTGTCAGAAATCAATTAGCCAGCCTGGCCAAGATGGTGAAACCCATCTCTACTAAAAATACAAAAAAATTAGCCGGGCATGGTGGTGCACGCCTATAATCCCAGCTACTTGGGAGGCTGAAGCATGAGAATCTCTTGAACCTGGGAGGCAGAGGTTGCAGTGAGCTGAGACCATGCCACTGCACTCCAGCTTGGGCAACAGAGCAAGCCTCTATCTAAAAAAAAAAAAAAAAACCAGCATATTTTGGGGATCTATTTCTGGGTTCTCTATTCAGTTACATTGAACTGTGTGTCTATCCTTCTGCCAACACCACAATATATTGATTACTCTATCTCTGTAGTAAGCCTTAATATCAAGTAATTACTCCCACTTAATTCTTTTCCCGGATTATTTTAGCTATTCTAGAGCCTGTGCCTTTTTGCATACATTTAAAAATAAATGTACATATGTCTTTTAAAAAAAAAACCAACTTGCTGGGATTTTGATAGGAATTGCAGTAAACCTATCAGGAAATTTGGGGAGAATTTACATCTTTACTATGTTGACTCTTGCAATTCATGAATACACTATGCCTCTCCATTTGTTTAGGAGTTTTTAAAAAATTTCATCATTGTGGTGATTAATTTTGTGTCAACTTTGCTGGGCCACAGTACCCAGATATTTGGCCAAATATTATTTTGGGTATTTCTGTGAAGGTGTTTATGGATGAGATGGAAATTTAACCCAGTGGAATTTAAGTGAAGTAGATTCCCCTCCATAATGTGGGTGGCCCTCACTCATCTAATCAGTTGATCTATTTTGTGGTTATATCTTTCTGGTATGCTCTCACTGTCTATAGGGATGTTATTGTATTTCTTATTGCCTTTTTTCAATATCCTTCTTAAGAATCAATGATACTTAATCCCTACAAGAAAAGAGTAGAAAAAGGATTTCTACATCCTTTCCATGTTAGGAGATGATTATAATCAAATCTGAAACCTCCTAGAAAGTTGTTTTTGTTTAGATCCCACACTTACATCACTAAATCATTTCTGAAATTTCATTACTTGGTCTGTTTATTCTAAAGATATTGAAATAATGATATAATTAGAAGACTAAAACTAATAGTCATTACAATAATGACTATTGAATTATAGGTAGTAATTAGCCCATAAGAAATATGAGGTCTGGTGCGAGGTCTTACTGATCTTTACATGGCTTAGGGTAATGTCTTGTATATTATTTCACTCAATAGATATTTATAGAATAGATGGCTTAAAAGGGGGAGCATTTTAAATACTTTCTTAATTTTAAGACATCAATATACAAATATTTACTATAGCTTTTATTCTAATAAGGTGTTATTCTGTACACTGTGGGAAATTCAAATAAATACCCATTGTGAAGTCTCTTCTCAGTTATTATACCATATTTGAGGAAACAGCCTAACCTCTTTGCCTTATGCTGACTTAGAAGATGGGTGCCAGGTACCAAGCCACCTTTGCTGAATATCTGTATTCTGCTCTTAGTCTACCAATGGTGTTAGATCTCACCTTTCCTCCTATTTTGGTTCAGTCTTGCATTTGAGGTTCTAATATAACTTCATCTTCTGGATGCAGACCCTGTAGGCCTAACTTTCCCTTTGGTCTTTTCCAGCATAATCTGTTCTGCCGCTATAGGCCAGGGAAAGCTAGACCTAACGGGAATATGTTCAAATAGAAGTACTGACACAATAATAGAAAAATAACTGGCACTTAGTGTTTGCTATATGCCAGGTACTGCTCTAAGAACTCTAGATAAATGAAATCATTTAATCCTCACAAGAAATTTATAAGATAGGTATTATTATTACCTTCATTAGGAAGTGGAGTTGGGGTTTTTACTAAGGCAGTGTGACACTAACATGGGTGCCCTAACCATTCTGCTGCCCTGACTTTTAGATGTGAGAGAAGACCTAAGAGAGGGATAGAATTTGCAAAGGTGATGAAGAAAGTCATTCTCAGCAGGAGTGACCCATTACTGTCCAGAAGCTTAGAAACCAAAGGCCAGGCTAGGCGTGGTGACTCATGCCTTTAATCCCCGCACTTTGGGAGGCTGAGATGGGCCGACTGCCTGAGCTCAGGAGTTTAGAGACCAGCCTTGGCAACATGGAAAAACCCTGTCTCTCCTAAAAATAGAAAAAATTGGCTGGGCGCGGTGGCTCACACCTGTAATCCCAGCACTTTGGGAGGCCGAGACAGGTGGATCTTGAGGTCAGGAGATTGAGACCATCCTGGCTAACACGGTGAAACTCTGTCTGTACTAAAAATACAAAAAATTAGCCAGGTGTGGTGGCGGACATCTGTAGGCCCAGCTACTCGGGAGGCTGAGGCAGGAGAATGGCGTGAACCCGGAACGTGGACCTTGCAGTGAGCCGAGATCGCGCCACTGCACTCCAGCCTGGGCGACAGAGTGAGACTCCGTCTCAAAAAAAAAAAAAAAAAAAAATTAGCTGGGTGTGGTGGCAGGTGCGTGTAGTCCCAGCTACTCTGGAGGCTGAGGCAGGAGAATCACTTGAATCCAGGAGGTGGAGATGGCAGTGAGCTGAGATCGCGCCACTGCACTCCAGCCTGAGGGACAGAGCGAGACTCCATCTCAAAAAAAAAAAAAAAAGAAAGAAACCAAAGGCCAGTATTTTGCTGGAGCAGAGGATTAGAGAAACATGTTGGAGAGAGTGAAGAGAGAAATGGATTTTGCTGAATGGTCCAGGTTACCACTGAACATATAGCTTGCTTGCATGAAAAAAGCCAACATATGCCATAAGAATTACGTCTCAGCAATTTGCTGCTGCTGCTCTTGCTGTTGCTATAAAAATGTGGGCCAATCACATAATCGACACCAAAAATGAGTGCATCCTAATGCTTATTTCTCTAAGCAACTTTCCATTTATCCACAAGCAAAGTGTTTTACTTTTGCTTCTTAATAAAATAAAAGTGAAGGAGTTCTGATTGAAGGTGACCCATACTTTAGAGCCAAATGATAAATTTTACTCCATTATTTTCTGTTCAGTTGATGGATGAGAATTATCAAATCTCATGAGGCTTGACTCATAATTTTCATAGTTTTTCCCTAAAGGCAAAACACCTCTTTCATGTATAAGTTTGTTTGAGTCTGAGCATATGAATAACTGCTTATTCTAATGAAACCATTAGAATGCATAGGTTTCTAATAACCTGATTTAATAGTGCTAGTTGAGTTAACTGGAACTCACTTCTTAGCCTTATTACCCTCCTTCAATAATTAAGTCATTTACTTCTCAGGGGTTTTTCACAAAATTCTAGTCAATACTATCCCAGAAGTGTTAAAAACTTCAATTTTAACATAGTTTAAGATACAGAATTAGCTTGAATAAATAGTAATTGAATACCACTATCTGCTAGGACTGTGCTAAGTGCATTAGGATACTGCAAACGTGAATGATTCCTGTCCGTAAGGAACTTACTGCTAACGGAATAAGGCCAGCATTCATAAAGTGCGTAATGTTTGAAAAAATACTTTTCTGTATTCATGATCTAACTTAAATCTCATCACAAAACCTATGAAGTAATAAGTATTTCAAGGCCTGTCAAATTAGATTTCTTCTCTCCCTGCACTTAGTTGACCTTTAATTATTTTGGTAGCAATGAGACAGACATTTTAAACCTAACGAACAAAGACAAGTCAAAATTCTATATGTGCCTGATTCTCCATCAGTGTCCAGGGAGTCCAGCTTGCTTCCAGCCCTCCAATGATAATCACCTGAACAAACATGCTCCAGGACACTGGTGCACACATATCTTTTCCAGTCACTGCTTTCACTTCCTTTGGGTATATACCTAGGAGTGGAACTACTGGGTCATGTGGAAATACTACGTTTATTTTTGAGGAACAGCCAGACTGTTTTCCACGTTGGCTGCAGCATTTTACGTTCATTCCAGCAACCTACAAGTGTTTCAATTTCTCCACATCCTCTCCAACACTTGTTATTTTCATTTTTTTTATTATAGCCATCCTCGTGGATTTGAGAATTTCATTGTTTTTTTCTTATTGTGGTAAAATATACATAATATAAAATTTACCATTTTAACAAATTTAAGTGTGCAATTCTGTGGCATTAAGCACATTCCCATAGTTGTGCAAGTAGCACCACCAACCATCTCCAGGAACTCTTCATCTTCTGCAATTGAAACTGTACCCACCAAACACTAACTCCCCATTCCCACCACCCCTCTGCCCCTAGCAACTACCACCCTGCTTTCTGTCATTATGAATTTGACTACTCTAGGTACTTCATAAGGTGGATCTGAACAATATTTATCCTTTTGTGACTGCCTTATTTCACTTAGCCTAATGTTCATGGTTTGTTCATGTTGTAGCATGTGTCAGAATTTCCTTCCTTATAAAGGCTGAATAAGATTCCAATGTATGTACAGACCACATTTTGTTTATCCATTCATCCAAGGATGGACACTTGGTTTGCTTCCACCTTTGGAATAATGATGCTATGAACATGGGTATTATGCCTGTAATCCCAGCACTTCAGGAGGCCAAGACAGGTGGATTGCTTGAGCTCAGGAGTTTGAGACCAACTGGGGCAACACGGCAAAACCCCATCTCTACAAAAAATACAAAAATTAGTCAGGCACGGTGGTGCGCACCTGTAGTCCAAGCTACCTGAGAGGCTGAGGTGAGAGGATTGCCTGAGTCTGGGAGGTCCAGGCTGCAATGAGCCGTCTTTGTGCCACTGCACTCCAGCCTGGGTGACAGAGTAACACCCTATCACACGTGTTCCCTTTCTCTCTCTCACACACACACACACACACACACACACACACACACACACACACACACCTCTTTGAGTCCCTGCTTTCAATTCATTTGGGTATTTATCCAGAAGTAGAATTTGTTTGATTTTTTTGAGGGGTCACCATGCCATTTTCCACAGTGGCTGCACCATTTTACATTCCCACCAGAAATGCACAAGGGTTCTAATTTCTCCATATCTTGACCAACACTTGCTCCTTTCTTTCTTTCTTTTTTTTTTTAAATAATATAGCTGGCCAGGTCTGGTGGCTCACACCTGTAATCCCAGCACTTTGGGAGGCTGAGGTGGGCAGATCATGAGGTCAGGAGATCGAGACCATCCTGGCTAACACGGTGAAACCCCATCTCCATTAAAAATACAAAAAAATTAGCGGGTGCGGTGGCGGGCGCCTGTAGTCCCAGCTACTCGGGAGGCTGAGGCAGGAGAATGGTGTGAACCTGGGAGGCGGAGCTTGCAGTGAGCCGAGATCACGCCACTGCACTCCAGCCTGGGTGACAGAGCGAGACTCCGTCTCAAAAACAAAAACAAAAACAAGTTAATAATATAGCTATCCTGATGGGTGTGAAGTGGCATCACATTATGGTTTTAATTTGCATTTCCCCAATGATGAGTGATGAGCATCTTTTCAGGTGTTCACAGGACACTCGTTTATCTTCTTAGGAGAAATGTCTATTCAAGTCATTTTCCCACTTTTAAATTGGGTTGTCATTTTGTTTTGAGTAGTTCTATCCATAATCTGAATACATGGCATATATCTCTGGTCAAGATAAATGCTTTGCATATATTTCTTTCCATGTTATAGTTTGTCTTTTCACTTTCTTGACAATGTGCTTTGATGTACAAAAGTGTTTAACTTTGATGAAGTATAATTTGTTTATTTTTTCTTTCATTGCTCATACTTCTCTTGTCATATCTAAGAATCTACAGCCAGAGCCAAGGTCACGGTTTATGCCTATGTTTTCTTCTAAGACTTCCATAGTTTTTGCTCTTTTATTTAGGTCCATTTTGAGTTAACTTTTGATTATGATATGAGCTTGGAGTCCAACTTCTTTCTTTTGTAAGTACAAGTCCAGTTGTCCCAGCACCATCTGTTGAAGAGACTATTCTTTCTCCCATTGAATGAACTTGGCACCCTTGTTAAAGATCAGTTGTCCTTAGATGTATGGATTTATTTATGGACCCTCAATTATATTCCAATGGTCTAGATGTCTACTCTTATGCCAGTACCATGCTGTTTAGATTACTATACCTTTGTGGTAAGTTTTGAAATCTAGAAGTATGAGTCTTTCAACTTTGTTCTTTTTCAAGACCCTTTGGCTATCTGGGGACCCTTGGAATTCCATATGATTTTGAAGATTGGCTTTTCCATTTCTGCAAAAAGGGCTGTTGGAGTTTTGATAGGGATTGCTTTGAATCTGTAGAGAATTTGGGGTGTTGTCATCTTAATATTGTCTTTCTATGCATGAACATAGCAAGTCTTTTCATTTATTTAGGTATTTAATTTATTTGAGCAATGTTTTCAGTGTACAAGCCTTCACTTCCTTGGTTAAATTTATTCCCAGGTATTTCATTCTTTTAGATATTATTATAATTGTCTTATTGTTTTCCTTTTCAGATTATTCATTATTGGTGTATAGAAACACAACTAACTTCTATGTGTTGATCTTGTACCTGGTAACTTTGCTGAATTTGTTTATTAGTTCTAGTAGCTTTCTTGTGAATTCTTTGAGATTTTCTATATATCAAATCATGTCACCTGCAAATAGAGATAGTTTTGCTTCTTCCTTTACAATTTGGATGTCCTTTATTTCCTTTTCTTGTCTAATTGTTCTGGCTGAACTTCCAATAAAATATTGAACAGTGGTGGTGAATGTGGACATTCACCACATGTCAAATTCCTGATCTTGGGAAGAAGCTTTCAGTCTCTCACCATTGATTATGATGTTAGTGGTGGGTCTTTCATAAATGTCCTTTATCGTGTTGAGGAAGTTAAGGGAAAGTGAGTTTTAAAAATGCTATTCATAGAAATAATTGGAGGCCTAGAATGATAATATCTTTCTTTAGAGAGAATTTTCTATTGTTTTGCCAGCTCCTAGGGGCTTGTGCAATGCAGAATTGGGGTTTCTGGGCACCTGCAAAAAGAGGGAAGTTTGACTTATTTCCTGCTCCAGGGATGCAGCCATTTGGGGTTCTGTCACAAGGCAGGGGACTGGTTTACTGGGTCCCCACCTTTGGAGACTCCTGAACTCAAATTCATCTTTCTGATTCTGTGTGCAGCTGCCAGAGCTAGAAAGGCAGCCCACGTGCTGCACACACCTCTCCGCATTCCTTCTCCTATTGCATCTAGGCCTGGTGTTCCCTCATTATCTCCATAATCTTTGATACTTTTAAGGAGATACTTAAAAAAAGTCCCCCTGGTTTCTAAGTTGTCTTTAGTAGGAGAAGTAGCTGGTCTGACATTCCTAGAAGTAGAGTTTCTCCCCTATTACTCTTCCAGAGGCAGAAATTGTGAGATCCAAGCACAACTCTCTACTGCGTAAGAGAGGCTACCAAGGGTCTAGATTCTTTCTCATCCATTATGTATGGACAGGTACAGGTCAAAAAGAGCAGGAATCTGAAACAAGCATGTGGTGACTGAGGCATTTGTAAGTGTTCCTTGTCTCCCCATGGTGCAAGCAGCCCTGAAACCTGTCTTTCAGCAAGAAGCTCAGCCACCTTGTCATGCTTTGCTTAAGAACAATGGTCTTGGCCGGGTGTGGTGGCTCACATCTGTAATTCCCAGTACTTCGGGAGGCCAAGGTGGGTGGATCACAAAGTCAAGCGATCTAGACCATCCTGGCCAACATGGTGAAACCTTGTCTCTACTAAAAATACAAAAATGAGCTGGGCATGGGGGCGTGCGCCTGTAGTCCCAGCTACTCAGGAGGCTGAGGCACGAGAATCGCTTGAACTCAGGAGGTGGAGGTTGCAGTGAGCTGAGATCATGCCACTGCACTCCAGCCTGATGACAGACTGAGACTCTGTCTTTAAAAAAACAAAAACAAAGAAACAAAACCCAAAAGAACAATGGTTTTGTCTATTAGTCCCATCTGATCCAGGGAGAATAAAAGCCATAACTTGGTTCCAGGGGTCTCCAAGAATCTTCTGTAACACTAGGACATGTATGATTATAATGCTTTTACAAGAGACAAACACTGAAGATCAAAGAGAGTCAATGAGTTGTCGTGATCAGTGCCAGGGAGGCTAAGCTCAGGCCAGCACCCTCTCTCCCTACCTTTCTCCTTCCCTTCTTTCTGTTCTTTTCCTCCCTTCCCTTTCATTCTTCTTTCCTTTCTTTCTTTATGATTCACTCCCATGAAATCAACTCACTTTAACTACTTTTATCTCCCTATTTATATCTCCAAATTGCAAGTGTTCATCAAGGTAACTTTGGCTGTTGCATTTAATACAACAGGATTAAAAAATTCTGTAAAACATAGTATGAAATAGAAATTTTTGGAGGCCATTGATTTGGACAGAGCTCCCACCAACAGACCAAATTAAAATGGAGTCAGTCATGCTAAAGTCCTAATCCACCAAGCTGAAACTCGGTTGTTTAGCTGACTTTATGAGAAATCAGGAGAAGGAGAGGAAGAGGGGTGGGGGAAAGACAGACACAGAGAGAAAGAGAGAGAGAGAGAGGGAGAGAGAGAGAGGGGGAGAGAGAGAGAAGAGAGAGAGAGAAAGAAGAGAGAGAATAGACAAATATCCAGAAAGGCCAGTTTGAGCAGACATGATAAGGAAGTTCCGTTTTAACCATTATGGGGAAAGTAACTTTGAAACAACTAATCTGCTTTTTGTTCCTCATTTCTACTTTCTTCAATCTTTTTCTGTCTATACATACTCACTGCCCACATGGCAGAGTGGAGTTCTCTGAACCTCTTATGATTCTGAGGGCTGCCTTATTCATGAATTGTTCATTGTTTAAGTAAACTCTGTTAAATTTATTTGTCTAAAGTTTTCATTTTATCAACAAAACTGCTTTTTCATTGATAGAAATGTGAAGTAAGTTTAATTTCTAGATCAGTCTCTCCCTTTGGATGCAAACGAAATTTTACAGCGAAAGTAGATCCCTCTCCTAACCCACCTTCACCAAAATCTCCTGCTGTATTGCTTGGAGCTCTCTTTCCGTACCTTTCTTAAATAAATAAATAAAACAAATCAATTCACATATATTTTGGAAGCATCTCTCATTCATAAATGGGAGATCACTGGAGGTCACCAACTGGCTCCCCCTTCTGTTTAATTCGTCACTGACACCTCCGAAACATCTCCCAAACACACCCAATTCTCGACATCTCCACTAACCCCACTTTAATCCAAAACACTATCACCTCTTGCCAGCTGACAGTAACAGCCTCTGAACACTCTTTCACTTGGGCACCCCTCAACCCATTTTTGGTATTGTGGTCAGAAAACTCTTTTCAAATCTCCTTATCATCTGATTCCTTTTTTTTGGTGGGGGTGGGGTTGGGGGGGCACTGTGTAGTCTCCATAACACTGAACCCAGTGTGCCGCCAGTCTTCCCACTAGACCGAAAGTTCTCTGAGTACAGGGGGCTTGCAACTCATTCTTCGATCTTCAGTGCCTGGCACATAGTGGGTGTATACTATTTTTTGAATAGTATACAATGTCAATAAACTGTAATTCACTAATTTGTTAGGCTATTGTGTGTTTCTCTCTGAATCCCTTAAAGGCAGGGATTTTTGTCTGTTTTGTTCACTGATGTACCCTAAGAACGTAAAAAAAAAAAAAGCCTTATGATTAGAGAGCTCTTTATGAACTTTTGTTGGAGGAATGAATGAACGGATGAATGAATGAATGAATGAATGGGGGAGATGATCAAATGCGAACATAACTTCCTGCCAGTCCAGGGTCATGCCTTGTATTGTTTCAAGCTCTTAAAAAGTGCTGCACTGCGAACTTCTAGGCAGAAAATGTCTCCAGGAAATTGGAATTTGTACTGGAGTGCTTTAAACAATGCCGGCCAGAGGCTTAGTCCTGTTAAAGATAAGAACTGGGGGAGAAGGCAGCGTTTGGCCACGGGCCAGCATTTTGAGATCAGTCACTCTATCTGTGGAATTCCCTACCCCCTGTTCATCCCTTGGCCATCTCGTTAAATTGGAAAATAAATCCCATCCCTGCTAAAGTGTTGGCTGATAAAGGCTTGAGCTATAGCCCCTTCAAGGGGAATTTGCATTTTAATAGAGGATCGTCAAGCCCCAAAGGAATCAATATCTCTAACGGTGAAATTTCAAGCACCAGCAACCGAGATATTTTGGGACTACACTCTCTAGCGTTTCTCATCCAACAGTAAGGTCTGCTAGAAAGACACGGAAGAATGGTCTCAGGAAATGACCGGCCGTTTCCCTTTATTACTCTGAACTTTGCCTTTTCACGTCTGGTCCCTTCAGACTCCCTAACGCTGGTGATCTCTTAATCTGTCAATGCAGCCCTTTTCAACACAAGCAGAGTCTTAAAGTTGGCTCATCAACAGGGCCACAAAGGAATTATGGCAATCAAAACTTGCAGGATTTCCCGGTATTCCAAGGGAGCCAGTACTTAGATATTTTAAACTCTATGTTGGCAAGAGGGAGTGGAGATGGTTTAATCGGTTATTAATGATATTGCGCATTTAAATTCGTTTTGTGCAATTTTTTTTTAAAGCCCAAACTTTTAACTTGTATCAAAAGCATGCAAACCAAAGGTGGGTAAGGGACATCGTGTGTGTCCTGGCAATGTTCTCGGAATGTCCTCCAGAGCTGAGTTCTCTCAGCGGATGGCTTGGGAGATTCTCGAACTGCAGAAAAGCAGCATCTTGGATCTTGGATTTTTGCATTCAAGAGGCTCCTGTTCGCCACACCTGCGGCCCAGCGCTCGGAATTTCCCTCCTGTCTGCTCCCAGCCCGTCTCCCCGTCCTCAGCGCCCCGCGCGCCCATCCCGAGCCGTCCCCAGGCTCTGAAGGCTCGGCTGGCCCGCTGCCGCTATCGGGCCCCTCCGCGCAGCCGACCCAGGGCTCCGCCGCGGAGGCTGATGCCGTTGCCCTTGATGCGCTGCCGCCCCCGCTCTCCTTCCGCAGACCTGCAGCCGCCAGGGCGCGAGGCGTGAGCGCGGAGGCTGGGACGCCAGGACCGCACCTGCGCCTTCCCCGCCCCTCTCCCGGCTCCCGGGTCCCGGCTCCCGCTCCCGCCCCAGCTGGGGCCCAGCGCACGGCGGCGGGGCTCGCGCCCGGGGACGGCAGCGGCTCGCGCCCGGTACGGCAGCAGCGGCGGCGGCTCGCGCCCGCGCTCGGGCCGGGGAGCGCGCGGGGCGGGCGGGGGAGGGCGCAGCGCGGCGCGGCCGGCGGGCGGGCGGCGCGGCGGCGGCGGCATGGGCGCGGGCACCGGCGGGGGCTGCGGGCGCCCGGCTCCCCGCCCGGCCCGGCCCGCTCCCGGCGCGCGGCCGCCGCAGCCCTGGCAGCCGGCTGGGAGGCCGTCCCTGCACCCGGCGCAACTTGCCTCGGACCCTCTGTGAGGAGAGGCGGCGGCGGCGCGCGCCGGGCCGGGCGGGAGCGGGCGAGGCGTGCGGGCGCCCGGCGCGATGCCTCCGGCCGGCGGCCCCCGAGCGCCGCGTCCCGCCGCGCTGCCCCGCAGCCTGTCCCGCCTGCGCGAGTGCCCGGGCCGCTCCCGCATCGTGCTGGCGCTCGGGGCCACGCAGATGGCGCTCGGATGCCTCATCGTGGCAGTCAGCTTCGCCGCGCTGGCGCTCACCACCTCGGCCCGCGTCCGCCACTCCTGCCCCTTCTGGGCAGGCTTCTCGGTGAGTGTCCGCGACCAGGCGGGGACGGGCTCCGGGGACTGCGCGGGCCGGGGGCGCTAGGCGCTGCGGCCGCCGGGACGCCACCGCGGGCGGCAAGTTCCGGCGGCCAACGCCGGGGCCGAGTAGCTGCAGCGCGGGGCGCAGTTCGAAACTCCGAGCAGAATAACTCCAGGGCCCGGCTCGCCGCTCTCGGAGCATCGCGTTCCCGCTCCTATTGCGCTGATTCCCGGAGTTACTTTTCTTGGAGGAAACAGCAGCCAGGCGCCCGCCGTCCTCCGAGCCCGCAGCGGCCGGAGGGAGCGCCGGGGACCGCGCGCGCCGGGGACACGACCTCGCCATCCGAGCGGCCGCGGCCGAGGCGAGGAGGTGGGAGCCGAACCCGGAGCGGAGCAGCATGTGGGCGCGCCTCTCACCCTCGCGGCGGCCCTGACCGGGGGCGGTGGGGGTGGGGGGTGGGGTGGGGGGGCGGGGGAGGGGCGCCTCCCGTCGGGTTTTGGGTCAGCCCGGATATCGGGGATCGGCCGGGCGGCCCCTGTGGTCGCTCGCTGACTTGGCTTCGGGGACTTCTGGTTTCCCGCGTCCGCCCAGAACGGCGTGGTTTGTGGGCGACGGGACTGGGCAGGCGACCCGCATCCGGCGTCCTGGGGCAGGGGGCAGGCAAGGGGGGGCGGCGTGCTTTCTGAGCTCCAGACCTTAAGGATGACCGATTTTCAGACTCTTAACCACCAAATCAGAGAAGCCAGTGGTGAACAAATCTCCATAGAAGAAAGACGTCTCGATTAAAGTGACTGTCCCCAAGAGTTAATTTTTGGCGTTTTGTAGCATTTTGATGAAAGTCGGTTTTTTTCCTATATTAACAAAGAATGGACGTTATGGGAATGGGAGAGATATATATGCAGAGCAGATATTTATGAAGAGAGGCACTTGTTCTGAGAACTCTTGACATCTGTAACTGCATTTGGTGGATCGTGCTGAAATACATCGCATAGGCTTGTAAACTCAGTATGTTTTACTTCCATCTACAGAAATCCAAACCAATCCTTTAATGTTTGCTATTTGTTCTTGAGTTTTAAAATTTGAAAAATTCGTCCAGCTTTGCTTATTTGTTTATTTCATAATGGTCTTTGTTTTTTAAGTTCATTGCATGGCTTTTACCATAAGATCTGAGCAAAATTGCCTCTGGAACACCTCGATCGATACAGGTGTGGTTGTTCATCCTAATGGGAGTATTAATTTTCAAAGCGTATTTTAGATCAAGGGTGAGCCTTGGAGAGCTGAATAGGAACAACAGACTGTGTGGTCATAGCTGGGAGTATTCAAAGAAAAGAGAGGAGGTTGGAGGCAAGCACACGGGAGCCATGATTTAAATGCCCCTCTCTATATAGTTTTCACACATCTATTGCTCAGTTTTTACCATTATTTAATATGCATTGTTTTCATGTCTGTCTAGCGGGCACTGAGGTTTAAGTCTGCTGGAACCAGC
Organism: Homo sapiens; assembly: GCF_000001405.40. Classification (NCBI taxonomy): domain Eukaryota; kingdom Metazoa; phylum Chordata; class Mammalia; order Primates; family Hominidae; genus Homo; species Homo sapiens. The sequence continues at coordinate 1,853,202 of NT_187660.1, read as the reverse complement.
CTACAGGTGGCAGACTGGTGAATTAGCTCCACTTCCTGGCTCCTCCCTGAGCCCGCCCTTCCTGGTTTAGCCTTGGGTTCCCAAGGGTGTGGAGAGAGAACTGCCTTTTAATAATAAACCTAAAGGGGAAAACATTAATTGGACACAGTAGAAAAGCTTATTTATGTGAAAAATGCACATCATCCCCTACATTTTAGTTTAAAGAGTTAAATAAATGTGTAAAAACAGTTAATTCAGTTTGCTTTTGCAGTGTTATTCTCTTCAACAGCTCTAACCTATTCTTTTTTTTTTTGCCTTAAGAGGCAGGATCTCGCTCTTTTGCCCAGGCTGGAGTGCAGTGACACTATCATAGCTCACGGCAGCCTGGAACTGCTGGGCTGAAGCGATCCTCCTGCCTCTGCCTTGCAAGTAGCTAGGACTACAGGTGTGTACCACCATGCCTGGCTAATACTAAAAACATTTTTTTTTTAAAAGATGGGGTCTCGTTATGTTGCCCAGGCTGGATTCAAACTCAAACTCCTTATCTCAAGGGATGCTCCTGCCTCAGCCTCCCAAAGCACTGAGATTACAAGCTTGAGCCACTGTGCCCGACCTATAACCTGTTAGTTCTAGCTTCCTATGATTCTGAGCAATTCCACACAGTTCTCCTATGTATGGACATTACTCTAGGGTCTGGGGATCAACAATGAACACAGCACACTCTGCTTACATTTTGGAGATTATAAGATGACTTCTGTCCTGAGTCCTCCATCTCCCACCCTCCTGTCTGTTTTTTCATGGGCTTATTTTCTGTCTTCAAACTTACTTTGCTGCAAGCACCTTGAAAGTTCTTTCAGTACGGTACAGTGTATACCATTTTTCATCTGTTGTCTACAACACTTTGCAGAAATGATGATTGGTTCCTGCTGTGTTGAGACAGGTTTGCATGTTAACATGGTTGTGAGTGGGGAACACTGACCCATTGCCATATATATGCCTGCCCTCTGAGATTGGTGCAACTGCCTTGCCAAGGTTGTTCGTCATTTAAGAATGGCAGCTGGGATGGCTGGGCTGGCTTCATAAAGAAATCCATACTGTGGGGCTTAGGGCTGCCCTCTGGTTTCTCTAAATCTTCTAAAATGAGACCTATGTGCTCTTTAGCAACATATGGCTTTCTAGGCCCTCTCTGTGGTTTGCACATGGTGAAAACCCATTGTAGAAACAACTCTCCTGGATTTAAGAAACAAAATTATTAGCTAAGACAGACAGCCCATGCTTAGTGAGCACTTACTTATTGTGTGTGTAATAGCCTGTTACTCTGGTGGCCTCTGCCTGCTGGTGCTCAGGGTTTTGTGTGGTTCCCTCTCCCTGAGTTTGGACTGGGCCTCTGATTTGCCTTAGCCATTGGAACACAGCAGAACTGAGCCTGACTCTGTTCCAAGCCAAAGCCTCAAGAAATCTTGGTGCTTCTGCTGAGTAAACTAAGGGGAAGAGGGATGAGTGACTTACTCAAGGTCACTCAGCTATGAAGTAGCTTTGAACTTAGTTGCTCTGACTTTTTAGAGGCCAAACTCCTGCTAACGATTAGGCAGAAGGGGATGAAATAAAGCATGCTGGTAAAGGGGTCCACTTTAGCAAGGAGGCTCTCTCTTTCTTAGGAAAAGCATAAAACATGCCTGGAAAGGTGAAGATACAAGAGAAATTTAAGGAGCCATTCCACTGGACCAAGTTGAAGAAGTTTAAGGTTGAAAGGGGAGGACTCGGCAAGGTTGGAGACAGGGGTGGGTGTCAGGCCTGGCCGGAGGTCTGTGATGAATACAGAGCTGTGCAGTTTCCATTGTTTGAGGACCCCCTGCAGGTGGTTTTCCTGTGCCGGGCTGTGCCAGCCAGTGAGTCAGCAGGTGGATCAGTTCCCTTGTGGATAGATGTCCTGCCCATTTTGAGAGGTAATGAGCTGTGTTCATAGTTTAGAAGACTAAGAGAGCTGGATGGAGGTCTTGAATAGTTATCCTTTAATAGAGTAGTTTGTTATTTTTCTTGGAGATTTTATTAATGCCCAGAACTCAGGGACAAACAGCTACATTGTGAGTTATCCACATTACCAGTTACATATGTTGGTAAAGACGTAGCCATTGGAAGCTGACTCTGTGTGTGTGTGTGTGTGTGTGTGTGTGTGTGTATTTTTCCTTTAAAAAGCAACTCCACTGGATTTTTTTCATACTCTGAAATTAATATATAAAAAGTAAAAATAACTGAAAATAAAAAAGTGACTGGGCATGGTGGCTCATGCCTGTAATCCCAACACTTTGGGAGACTGAGGCGGGCGGACCACTGGAAGTCAGGAGTTGGAGACCAGCCTGGCCCACATGGCGAAACCCTGTCTCTACTAAAAATACAAAAAATAGTCAGGTGTGATGGTGGGCGCCTGTAATCCCAGGTACTTGGGAGGCTGAGGCAGGAGAATTGCTTGAGCCCAGGAGGCGGAGGTTGCAGTGAGCCAAGATCACTCCACTGCACTCCAGCCTGGGGGACAAGAGTGAAACTCCATCTCAAAAAAAATAGGTTGGGTGCGGTGGGTCACGCCTGTAATCCCATCACTTTGGGAGGCCGAGGCAGGTGGATCACGAGGTCAGGAGATCGAGACCATCCTGGCCAACATGGTGAAATCCTGTCTCTACTAAAAAAAACAATACAAAAAACTAGCTGGGCGTGGTGGCAGGTGCCTGTAGTTCCAGCTGCTCTGGAGGCTGAGGCAGGAGAATGGCGTGAACCCAGGAGGCGGAGCTTGCAGTGAGTGAGATCGCGCCACTGCACTCCAGCCTGGGCGATGGAGTAACACTCTGTCTCAGAAAACAAACAAACAAACAAACAAAAAATATATATACACACACATACACACAAACAATGTATAGCTTTCGCCTACCCCAATTCTCTACCCATAGACCACCAACATTACCAGTGTTGTTTAATGCAATCCTTCCATGCTTCCCTTTACAATCATAAAATGTATTAGAATTTGTATATATATGTATGGAAAATGTTTCTTTTCTTTCTTTTTTTTTTTGAGACAGAGCCTTGCTCTATCGCCCAGGCTGGAGTGCAGTGGCGTGATCTCGGCTCACTGCAAACTCCGCCTCCCGGGTTCATGCCATTCTCCTGCCTCAGCCTCCCGAGTAGCTGGGACTACAGGCGCCCGCCACCACACCCTGCTAATTTTGTATTTTTAGTAGAGATGGGGTTTCCCCGTGTTAGCCAGGATGGTCTCTATCTCCTGACCTCGTGATCCGCCTGCCTCAGCCTCCCAAAGTGCTGAGATTACAGGCGTGAGCCACCGCACCCGGCCGGAAAATGTTTCTTTTCTTTTTAAAAACAATTTACAAAAATGACATTATACCACCCATATTACTCTGTAACTTCTTTTAAAAATTTAATGTATAACGAATATTCCCAGCCATAACTCATTATTATTATTTTTTAACACATTATCTTTAATGGCTGTGGAGTAGTCCAAAGTATGAATTATTACAAGTTATTCAGTTATTCTCCTGCTGGGAATAATCTCTACCAGTTCTATGTGTCTACAAACAGTGCTGCTTATCCAGCCTGAGATGCCACTGCTTTTTTTTTTTTTGAGGATAGATTCCCCAAAGTGGAATTGCTAGCTGATGAGTATTCAAATTGGGAGTTTTGTTAGCTATTTCTGGATTAATTTTCACAAAAGAATGTAGGCACATCCACCCACAGAAGCCTACAGTGTGTGCCCCTTTTTCTGTCCTCTTGCAGCGTGGGATATTAGCAAGGCTGAGCATTTTTATTAATTTCATAGAAGCAGAAAGATATTTCATTGGATCTGAATTTCCATGGATACTTTATTATGTGTTGCAAATATTTTCTCATTTTGCTTAATTTTTGATGTCTTGCCAGATAGAAAACTTTAAAACTTTTAATATAGTGCATCAATTTTGGGAGTACTGACAGTTTTATCATATTAAATCTTCCAATTCAGAAACAGAGTATGTCTCTTCATTTCTTTGTTCCTTGTTTTATGCCCTTCAGAACATGTTTTATGGGGATGTATTCATGGTGGCAAAGTAGTTTTTCAGTCTCCCCTGAACTCTTCCTGGAAGCTAAACCAATCAGCAAGACAGCCATAGATAAAGCTCAAAGAGGATATGTCAACAAAAGTGTTGGGGACTCTCTCCCCACTCCTTTATTCCCAGGACTGGGTGGGTTTGGCCAAACCACCAGCATCAGAAGGACCTGGAGAAGAGCCGCAGTGGCCTCAGGGGAGTGATGGGAAATGAAAGAAACTATTGACAGGTGGTGGAACCCAAAAACTACCATGAGCTGCTCACCCTTTAAAGTAGGATGGAAGTCTGGTGGGCAGACCTGAGAGCAACTGGCAAAACTGGAAAGGGGCTCCCAGGCTTCTGGCAACAGGTGAGAGCAACTAACTGTGTGTGGACCTGGGAGAATCAGCGTCGATGTGGTGGCAGAGGCCTTGGAGAATCTTAGAAACGTACAGTAAGTCCTCCCTTCTAAGCACCTCACCTTGAGCAGAAATTACTGGAAACATACACCAAGTTAAGCAGAAGACAGATGGCGAGAGAAAATAGGTTCAGATGTTGGAGATATGGAAGGGGACCCCCAAGGAAAAAGATCTCAAAAACTGCTTTAACAGTGAAAGATAACATCAAAAGCTGAGAGCATATAGCCTTGGAAAAGAAGGACTTCAAAGTTCTAGAGCTGGAGCAAAGGACTAGAGGCAAGAGATCTTTCTGAGCTTTACAAAGGTTCTGGACTTGATGCTGGGAAACAATTGGGTACCTGGAGAATTCCTATTTTGAGTCTTTCACAGATCAGTAGAGCCAAATGGGAAAGGTATCCTAGTCCATCCCTTTATTAGGAACTTTCCTGATCTATTGGGAACTTCCTCCTAATAGATCAGGAAAATCCACCTCATTTAATCATGGACAACAAAAAAGGAATATGATCCAGCCTCATGCAACATTTATTCAGTGAAAACATGATGAAAATGAACATAATGGTACTACTGAAAATGAGAGCACACCAGAAAAATTATAAATTAATATTTCAATATAAGCTAAAAGAAAATAAAGTTTCCTAAGAGTAGTATGAATCAGAAACTTTATTTTACTTATTTATTTATTTATTTATTTATTTATTTATATTTTTGAGGCAGAGTCTCGCTGTGTTGCTCAGGCTGGAGTGCAATGAAGCAATCTTGGCTCACTACATCCTCAGCCTCCCGGGTTCAAGCGATTCTCCTGCCTCAGCCTCAGCCTCCTGAGTAGCTGGGATTACAGGTGCTTTCCACCACACCCAGCTAATTTTTGTATTTTTAGTAGAGACGTGGTTTTGCCATGTTAGCAGGCCGATCTTCAACTGCTGACCTCAGGTGGTCCACCAGCCTCGGCCTCCCAAAGTGCTGGGATTATAGGCACGAGCCACTGCTCCCATCCTGAATCAGAAATTGTAAAAACTACAAAAGATATGGCTAGATGACAGGAAATTATGAAAGGAGAACAGAGAGATGTCAGAAAAGAATTTGGAAAAATGAGTTTCAAAAATGAAGACTTAATTAGAAGGAACATGGGAGCAAATAGATATTCTTAGGAAGCACAGAAATAAAAATAGAGGGTGAAAAGGAGAAAAATAATAAAAAAAAGAAGGTGATATAGTGAATTAAAGGAATGTAGGACACAGGCAAAGGAGGTTCAATATATGTATAATTAGTGTCCAGGGACAGAAAAACAAAGCAATAGAATAGCATAAATATTTAGAACTATAATGCAAGAAAACCTGCCTAAAATAAGATTTGAAAGGTTACATTGTGTAACTGGGAAAAATCAATGTAGAATAGTCAGCATTGACATGTTTCCCTGTAAAATAATGGATTTTAAAGATAAGGAGAGAAACTTGACAGGGCGTGGTGGCTCACACCTGTAATCTCAGCACTTTGGGAGGCTGACGCAGGTGGATCACATGAGCCAGGAGTTGAAGACCAGCCTGGACAACGTGGCAAAACCCCGTTTCTACTGAAAATACAAAAAATTAGCTGGGCATGGTGGCACACAGCTGTAGTTCCACCTACTTGGGAGGCTGAGGTGGGAGGATCACCTGAGTCTGGGAGGTTGAGGCCACAGTGAGCTTCGATTGCACCACTGCACTCCAGTCTGGGTGACAGCGAGAAATCCTATCTCAAAAACAAAAACAAATACAAAACAAAAACACCAAAAAAAACCAACAACAACACACACACATAGACAGAACCCTCCCTTGGGCATCGGGTAAAAAGTCCTAGTCATTTGAAGATATAGTACACTGGAATGCTCATAGCCAAATTCTATGCTAATAAACAATGAAACTCTGTCTTAATATTGTTTTCTGGAAATTTTTTGAAATAATTTCTAACTTATAGAAAAGTTACAGAACAGAACCAAGAATTCCTGTGTCTCTTCTCTTAAATTCCCGAATTGTAAACATGTTATTGCATTTACCCCATGGCTTGAGCTTGTGCACATTGTCTTTCTCAAGGTAAAAAAATTCTCAATTATCATTAGTCTTTTTCTCAGTGTTTTGGGAGAAAGCTGTGGACGTGATGTTGCTTCACCCCTAAAAAACTCAGTGTATATTCTCACCACTCATGGATGCTCTTTATGTACTCATCATAAACCTCTCCAAATTAGGAAAACAACATTGGAAGAACATTGTTATCCAATCTGTAGACCCCATTCCAATTTCATCACCTGACCAAGTAGTGTTTCTTTTTCCTCTCTGGCCCAGGGTCCTACCCAGGAACATGAGCATTCCTTGTGTGTCTTCACTCTCCTCAGCCTTCCTCTCTGTTTCACGTTTTCCACAGTTTTGAAGGGCACAGGCCTTGCATTCTGTAGGATGACCCTGAACCTGGATCCATCTGATTATCCTCATGGGCAGACTTGGCTCATGCATTCTTGGCAGGACAATCCCAAAGTTGATGCCATGCTTTTCTCAGTGCATCGCATCAGGAGGCGTTGATGTCAGCCCTTCTCACCATTGGCGATATTCACCTTGATCACCTAACATTATTGCTGTCCTCCAGGTGTTATCATTTTAAATTCACCATTTCCCCTTTAATTATAATTTGTGTAAGGAAGTCTCAGATTATGCCAATATCCTGTTTCTGGTCAAACCTCTCTCTTTCAACTTCACATCCGTTGATGATTGCCACCCGAACCAGCCTCCTCTACGATGATTGCCAAGTCATAATTTTATATTTCCGTTCCTTGTACATTTATTTATTTATTTATTTTATTATTATTATTATTATTATAATTTTGAGATGGAGTCTCGCTCTGTTGCCCAGGCTGGAGCGCAGTGGCGTAATCTCGGCTCACTGCAAGCTCTGCCTGCTGGGTTCACGCCATTCTCCTGCCTCAGCCTCCCGAGTAGCTGGGACTATAGGCACCCGCCACCATGCCTGGCTAATTCTTTTGTATTTTTAGTAGAGATGGGGTTTCACCGTGTTAGCCAAGATGGTCTCGATCTCCTGACCTCGTGATCGGCCTGCCTCAGCCTCCCAAAGTGCGGGGATTACAGGCGTGAGCCACCACACCCGGCCCATTCCTTCTACATTTATTAATTGTTATTCTACTGTAGGAAGAGCTTTTCCATTCTCTCCTATGTATGTATGTATATATGTATGGATTTATGAATTCATTTTAGAACATGGGGGTGCAGATATTTCTTCATTCATACTGGTTTCATTTCCTTTGGATATATACCCAAAGGTGGAATTGCTACATGGGATAGTTCTATTTTTAAGTTTTAAAGGAGCTTTCATACTGTTTTCCGTAATGGCTGTACTAACTTACCTTCCCACCAGCAGAGAAATTGTTCCCCTTTCTCCGTATCTTTGCCAACACTTGCTGTCTTTTGTCATTGTGAGAATAGCCATTGTAACAGGTGTGAGATGATATCTCATTGTGGTTTAGACTTGCATTTCCCTGATGATTAGTGATGTTGAGCATTTTTTCATACACCTGTTTGCCATTCGTGTGTCTTCTTTTAAAAAATGTGTATTCATGAACTCCAACCACTCTCTCCTGTGTGTCTCCGTTCTTCTAGTGGTTACGCTTTCCTCTTTAACAATCTATTTAAATCTGTGTTTTCTGTTAGTATACCAGACTAAATGACAGCTGTGATCACAATCCCCCTTGCTCAAGCCAAATGGTTTCTTTATGCTTTCACCCTCCCCCCCCTTGTCATCTTCTACTCTGTAACCCCACAGGAAGAATCCCTGGCCTGGTTCATTTAAAAATAATTCTTCAAAAGAAAACGGACCTTGAACATTATACCGGGGTCTACATAATTTGAGTGTGTGAAAGAGATTTTTTTTTCCTTTGTATTTCACCTTTTTATTTGGGGGAATTTCAAACTGGAATTTTGAAAAGGTCAAAAGTACTGTATCCGATAGTTTTATTGAAGAGTAAAGAAATTATAAAACCTAGGATGGTTTCTTCAAACTCTGTTGTTTCCACGTTTGATAGTGAGTTTAAACCACGTGTTTTTTTTTTTTTTTTTGTCATCACAGAGCTCTTCTCAGGATGACAGTCATGGAAGGAAGGATGTTGACAGACAGCAAAGGCTAGAACATGGCTTCCTCTGAGTCCCTAGGACCTCACCCTCCTTGGTTCCCCATAGGCAGGTGCTGCTGGGGAATCGCCTGATGAGGGGACAGGGTCCTCTCAGGGCCTTTGAGAAGCCTACTCTGCCTTTGTGGCAGAGGTGGGATATGCAGTGGCTTCTCTGAGCTTTTCTGGAGCTCTGGCTAGATGCCTGCCTGTGTGTTGGCCAGGTGCAGGGCAGGTGCGGTTCCCAGGCCCACTGTCCCCCGGCGTCCCCGAGCTTCAGGCCTACCTGAATTCTATTCCTGCATTTAGGCATTTTAAATTTTTTTCCCCAGTTTTTTTTTTTTTTTTGAGACAGAGTTTCACTCTGTCACCCCAGCTGGAGTGCAGTGATGTGGTCTCTGCTCACTGCAACCTCCGCCTCCCGGGTTCAAGCGATTCTCCTGTCTCAGCCTCCCAAGTAGCTAGGTGCCGTTATGCTCGGTTAATTTTTGTATCTTTGTAGAGATGGGGTTTCACCATGTTGGCCAGGCTAGTCTCAAACTCCTGACCTTGTGATCCGCCCACCTCGGCCTCCCAAAGCACTGGGATTACAGGTGTGAGCCACTGTGCCCGGCCTTTCCTCAGTTTTATTGAGGTATGATGATTGACAAATAAAAAATTTGTCATCCTTAAGGTATACAGTATGGTGTTTTGATGTAAGTATACCTGTGTAATGATTCCCACAATCAAGCTAATTAACGTGTCCATCACCTGACGTAGTTACCTCTATGTGTGTGTGTGAACATTTACAATCTACTCCCTTAACAGACTTCAAGTATACAAGACAATACTATTAACTGTACTTGACAGGCTGTACTTTAGAAACCCAGTACGGATTCATCTTTTAACTGAAAATGTGCACACTTTGACCAATGTGTCCCCATTTTTGATACCATGTTTTGGAATTATAGTTTCAATTTATAAGCTTGGACTGCTCTTATCTCCACTTCCAACTGCTGATAAAAGTGTCATGATTTACCTGAAGGACATGGTACAGTGAGATGGAGGGTGATGTAGGCAGCCCACAGGAATGGAGGATGTTAAAACACTGGCATTTGTGGGGGAGGAAGGGGTGTTGGTGAGTCTAGTATTTAGGGCATAATAAATGTAAACAAACTACTTCTTTTGCATCCCAGCTACTAAAGCCTATGACATAATTATTACATAAACATTCAAGTTATTTGTTCTAAAATAAATCCTTAAAGTTTAAGCTCACTCTTTTGCAGAGAAAACAGAGAACATGTGGGACTTCATGAAAAAGCAAATTTTTATTTGAAAAGTAAACCTCGAAGTTAACTAATTATAAGAGATGTGCTGGCTTCTCATCTGTAATGAGAAATTATAGATAATGGCTTTGATAGTGAATAGGGATAGTGATTTTGAAAGACATTTTTGGAACCCTCAGCAGAATTTGAAAGGATTATGATAATGATACCTACTTAACATGTTAATAAGCAACTTAGCCACAATGAGCATATCCTCATCAGTCTCTTGATTTTTTTTAAAAAAACACATTTTTTTTCAATTATACCCGAGTTCTTTTCTACCATTTGCAAAGGGATACTATGTTTTTTGAAACTGATTTCTGACCCAGTGTCAGAAAAAAGCAGAGGAACATAGCATCTGCTTTGCACCTGCCAATTCATTAAATCCAGCATTGGTGACACCCAGGTCCCCTCTCTGGGCCTGCCCCTGTCTTTGGTGCCTTGAGAGGGTATGAGACACCCCAGAGCGGACTCTTCCAGAAGAGGAAGTAACACCTAAGAAATGTGAGCAGGTTAACAGGGCTGTGAGTCTGTCATAACATGGTCAATAGCTGCTCCTTAAGATTGGCTTTCTCTTTGGAAAAAAGAGAATGTGTTTAAAAAGTATACATATAATTGTATATACATTTCATGATACTTTATTGCTTTATTGCCATATCATCAATAACAACAACAATAAAAAAGAAAGCAAAAACCTTTGGAACCCCCTGAGCAAGGCACCTGCCCAGTGACTTCAAAAGTTCTACCTATGGTTGCTCCCAGTGGCCCAGATGCATGCCTCTTGGTGAGTGGGGTGACATCTGAGAGAGTTTAAGGAGGTAGAGAAGCACTGTGTCTGTGTGGAGAAAGAGCCCTGCTGTGACATGCTCCCCTGGTACTGAAAGCACATTATATATATATTATATATAATATATAGTATAATATATAATTTATATAAAAATATATATAATATATATTATATATAATATATGTGATGATGTGTGGATGTGGGCAGAGCATGTCAGCTGGCGGCCTCTCCTTTGGATGCTTGGGCTGGGCATAGGTGAGCTGCCTCCCCTGCCATATCTTGGGCTAATATGAAGAGTGTCTGCTCTGGGGCATGACTTCTCAGTTTGAAAGCAGAAGAGGCCGATGGCTCATTTCTTTGGGGAGTGCAGCATTCTTTTTCTTCTGCCTGAGAATGCATACTAGTGCTGTATGTGTGTGTCTGTGTGTGTGTGTGTGTGTGTATATATATATATATATAGTAATGTATATTATATATAATGTACGTTATATATTATATAATGTAGTTTTCATATATTCTGTTATCTTTTTCATATATAACTAATTTTTCTTTTCATATATTACTGATTGTTTTCACATATTACTGTTAGCATCATCATCACCATCATAAAACATACATATACATATTAAAATATGTATGTATGTATCTGTGCATAAAACCATGTATATGTGTGTGCTTTATGATGGTGATGATGATGATGATGATGATGATGACAGCAATATATGTTCATGGAAATAAACATTCAGACAGTATGGAAAGGTACAGAATGAAAGGCAAAACCTACTCCTCAGCTCCTGCCCTCCCTATTCCTCAGAGTTAAATATTTCAACCCTCTGTTGTTACTTCTTTGGTGGCAAGCACACCATTGTCTTCATAACCGACATCACTGAAGAAGCATCTAATGCTAATCTGGTTCATCTTCTTTTGCTGGTAACCTAACCTGCTTTTCTGGAAGCTGCTAGGGTCTACTCTTTGTTCTTGGTTTTCTGATATTTTGCAGAACTTAGTGATGGGTCTTAGCTACTCAATGTGTCCTTTCTTTAATGCTGAAAATTTTGTACCTTGAGTATTTCCTCAATTGTTGTTTCTCTTTTATGGAACTCCTGTTAGTTAGGTGTCTGACTTTTTTGTTGTTGTTGCTGTTTTTTGAGACAGAGTCTCACTCTGTCACCAGGCTGGAGTGCGGTGGCACAATCTCTCTCGGCTCACTGAAACCTCTGCCTCCTGGGTTCAAGCGATTCCCCTGCCTCAGCCTCCTGAGTAGCTGGGACTACAGGTGCCCACCACCATGCCTGGCTAATTTTTTGTATTTTAGTAGAGATGGAGTTTCACCATGTTGGCCAGGATGGTCTTGATCTCCTGACCTCAGGCCTCCCAAAGTGCTGGGATTACAGGTGTGAGCCACTGTGCCTGGCCAGGTGTCTGACTTTCTGTGTTCATCTTCCAGGTGTCTTAACTTCTCTGTCACAGTTTCCACTGCTGTGCTTTTTGCTTTATAATCCAGGAGATTTCTTTAATTCCATCTTCTGGACCACCTATTGAATTTTAATTTTTATTTATTTACTTTCAGTTGTATAGATTTATGGGGTAGAAGTATAATTTTGTTGCATGCACAGATCGTATAGTGGTGAAGTCAGGGCTTTTAGGGTATCTGTCACCCAACTACTGAACATTGTACCCATTAAGTACATCAGTGACACAGGGTTGGACAATTGGAAGGACTCTGAGACTCCCCAGGGTATACTTGGGTAAGGCTTTCTTTTTTTTAAGAGTTGGGGTCTCGCTGTGTCACCCAGGCTGGAGTGCAGTGGTATGATCACATTTCACTATAGCTTCAGACTCCTAGGCTCAAGCGATCTTCCCGAGTAGCTGGGACTACAGGCACTCAGGAGCATGCCCAGCTAATTTTTAATTTTTTTGTAGAGATGGGTTTTTTTCTGTGTTGACCAGGCTGGTCTCAAACTCCTGGCCTCAAGCAACCCTCCCACCTCAGCCTCCCAAAGTGTTGGGATTACAGGCGTGAGCCACTTTGCCTGACCCTAAGGCTTTCAGAAAGGGAAATGGTGCAGGGCAGGAGTAGGAAGGTCACACAGGGCAGTACTAGAGAGGTCCAGCCCACCCATGTGCTGCTCCCAGAGGCCTTTCTCTGTCACACAGGATGCACTTTGTCTTCAGATTGTGAATCATTAAGATACTGGAGAGACGCTTGGCCTTGGGAGCAACAGGCTTATCGGAGGAGGAGTCTTTCCTACCCTTTTGGTCAGGTATCTAGAACCAGGATGCATGACGAGTTCAGTAACAAAATCAGAGAACCAGGTGCAGACCATTATGCTGAACATTTTGTATAAACAATCTGACCGTGCAGTTTGCTCCCTGGTCAGTCTTGGACCCAAGCATGGGTTGACATTAGTTGCTAGTTGTTACATTTCATCCTGGTTTGGCTGAAGATCTGAGTGGCAGTTCTAAGCCTTCTGGAAACCTAGCACAGGGTTGCAACAGAACAGGTGAGATTAACTTGTTATTTTATACATTTTTTATTCTCATTTATATTTCCTGCTACTTTTTCTTAGTATTTGTCTTATCTTTTGGTTGCATATTTTTTTCATTTCTACCTGAGGGTACTAATTGGAATTAAGTAAGATAAGTTTTCTAGTTTGCTCCAGAGTCAGTTTTTCTGTGTATTGCTCTAAATCTTTGTCTTTGCTAGTTTTGGTTTTCCTTAACAGTCTGGTGGCCCTTGGTTGTCCTTTGATGTTTATAGGGTTGATTAAAGGTGCTTGGCATGTTTTCTTCTATGTCCCTGACCTCCCCATCAAATGAGGGTGTGGCCTAGCTCTGTCTGGATGTGGGCAGAGCATGTCAGCTGGCGGCCTCACCTTTGGATGCTTGGGCTGGGCATAGATGAGCTGCCCCTCCTGCCATTTCTTAGCTAATATGAAGAGTGTCTGCTCTGGGGGGCATGACTTCCCAGTTTGAAAGCAGAAGAGGCCGATGGCTCATTTCTTTGGGGAGTGCAGCGTTCTTTTTTCCTCTGCCTGAGAATGATACTAGTGCTGTAAGTGCTGGCGTGAGACATAGGGGTCTGGAGGCCCAGGGTTCATCTGTATTTCTGCAGGTAGCCTTTTGTCACCTGGTTTTTTATCCCATTTTTTGCTTTAGCTGTTGGAACTTGTAGACTCTGGGAGTTCCTAGGTGCAGCTCATCTTATCACTCTAAAGCCTCTCTCCTTCATGTGCTGAGTTGAGACTCTTCTCTCTGTTTCCTCTGCCAGTAACTGATCTTAACTTTTATTCATAACTCTCAATGGCCGTCTTTCTCTCCTCTTCCACCCAAATGAACTCCATCAGCAGGAGAACTCCAAGGGAGCAGCTCACAGTCTCAGAGACTGATTAGCAGGGCTCATCTCCAGCTAGCTCTTTCTTGAGTTCTGACCCAGTTTTCCAAGTTTCATGCTGTATCTCTCTTTCCATAGACTGGTGGAAACTTTTTGGACCTCACTCTAGTTCTTGCAAGAATAATAGCTCTGAAAATTTAAATTGACCCATTTTTTTTTCTTTCTTGTAAATCATATTACCCTGCAGCTCTCCCACCCATTAAATCAAGGGTGTTCTTTTCTTTGGGGGAAGAGCAAGTACTATGTAGAACAAAAAGCTCATTACTCAGCTTTGAGTCCTGGCACTGACTTTCTTCAGTCTCAAGAGGGACTACAGTCATGAAAACTAGGCTTTGTGGCAAGAGAAAAAGAATCATATTCCAGAAGCTTTCTTTTATATACTGAGAGCAAAGCTGGGAGGCCTGAAAATGGTTTTATTGGTGGTAGGATGGAGGAGATGATGGGAGAGAAGTTCCCCTCCACCGGGGAGTGGAAAGGAAGGGGAAGGAGAAAGCCATGTGAGTCTGGGAGGAAGGACTCTGAGCAGGTGGAGAGATTTAGAAGTGAAGAAGCTTCTTGGGTCCCTAAGAAGGGACATAGCACCGTAGCACCCTGTACTACTCCACATGATTGAATGAATGAGGACTGGACATTGGCCATCTGTCCCTTGCCTTCCATGTCTTCCACCATGATGGAGGAGCCATAAGATAGCACTGGGGGAGGAAAATGTGTAGACCAGAGATGGACCAACGTTTCTATACAGAAGAGTCAGTGTTTAGGCTTTGTGGTCACATGGTCTTCTGTGGCAACTACTCAACCCTGCCATCATTGTGTGGAGGCAACCATAGACCATTTATAAATGAATGGGTATAACTGTGTTCCAGTATAACTTTGTTTGCAAAAGCAGCAGGCCAGATTTGGCCTAGGGATCATAGTTTGTTGACCTCTGGTCTACAAGATTGGGTCTGAAATTTCCCATGGACAGTGTGTGGAATAAAGACATTTGCTAATTTCCATGTTGCTGTGGGACATGTTGAACATAGCAGAGAGGGAAGAGCCAGGTGCTGCCACAGGGCCCTCAATGGTGGGCAAACAGACCTCCCTAGATGAGGCTGTGGGGCAGACATCCATAGCTGGAACCTGTGGAGACTGTAGCCCAGTCTCAGAGCATCCTCAGGGCCGCCCAAAACAGAGGTGTGGCGGAGCAGCAAGGTGAAGTGGCCATGCTCCCTGGGAATGATGACTGTGCAGTGAGTGCCCCTGCAAGGGACACCCTGGCAGTGGACACAGCAAGGGCAGGGCTGACACTGAGAGATGGGGCCAGCGGAGCTTCACTGCAGCTGGTCAGCAGGAGGACATTCCTGGGCCCAGGCTCCTCTCTCTCTGCCCCACTGGACACTTCTGTCACTCACACAGGTCTCTGCATTTGAAGCTGTTACCTCTCTCCTCTTGACATACCCTATTGCTGACTTTACATCTGCACTTGGACAAGTCATAGACACTTAAAATTCAGGATATCCCCAACCAAGTTGCTCATTTCCCCTCCAAATAAGTGTCTTCTGCTCTGTTTTCAAGGAGTGGAACCACCATTCACCCAGTTCCTCCAACCAGACACCAGTGGTCCTTCCTAACGTAGCCTCTTGTCATCCTACTGATTCTTCTTCAAAAATACAGACTTCTGCCTGCTGTGTCTCTCTTACCCAGATTATTCTGGTAGCCCCGTAAGTGGCTTCTCCACTTCTGCTCTTGTCCTCTCAATTTCCCCTTCACACAGCATCCGGAGAATCTTTATGATGCAAATGTGAAATGTCATATTCAGTTCCAGTTTTGTGGACCAGGTATTGGGACTAACCCAACGTCTAAGAGCTAGCAAAGCTGGGTAGGTTGAATATGGGTTAGGTCAATGTGGTAGATGGAATTGTGGTCCCCCAGAGAAGTCCACATCCTAATCCCTAGAAGCTGTGAATCTGTGTCTCACATGGCAAAAAGGGACTTTGCGGATGTGATTCGGTTAAGGATCTTGAGAGAGGGAGACTATCCTGGATTATGTAGGCAGGCCCTGTGTAATCACAGGGGTCCTCCTGAGAGGGAGACAGAAGATCTGAGTCAGTAGTAGGAGGTGGGATGATGAACGCAGTGACTGGAATGATGTGAGGAAGAGAGTTATGAGCCAATGAAGGCAGGTGGCCTCTGGAAGCCCGGAAAGGCAGGGAAGCAGATTCTCTCCTGGAGCCCCCAGGAGGATCGAGGCTTGTGACCCCTTGAATTTAGCCCAGTGAGACTGATTTGCACCTCTGACCTCCAGAATGTAGGATGATAGCTGTGTGTTGCTATAAGTCACCAGGTTTGTGGCAATTTGTTACAGCAGCAATAGGAAACTAATGCTGCTGAGGCATTCTGGGGACACAGGAGGGGAGAGTTGTTTACCTGCTGGTGGTCCAAAGATGATTAGTCAGAAATCCAGGGGGGCTCAGTCACCTTGCACACAGGCCTGTGTGAGGTGAGGGGAACAGGCGTGGCTTCCACACTGTTTAGATCCAAGGGCCCCCTCTGGTGAGTGCTGGTGGGTGGGTACAGTCATCTGTATGTGAAACTGTAACTGGATCGATCACAAGAACTAATGAGTGCTTACTTTTTTTGCCAGACGCGATTCTAACAGTGTTTCATATCAACTTATTTAAGCCTAGCAGTAAACCCTGGGGAATGGGTACTACGTCTTGTCCTCATTTTGTACAGCTGACCCTTGAACAGTACACGGTTAGGGGCACTGACTCCCTCTGCAGTTGAAAATCCACGTGTAACTTTTGACTCCTCCAAAACGTAACTACTAATAGCCTCATATTGACTGGAAATGTAAATAGATGATTAATACATCTTTTGTATATGCGTTATATGCTGTATTCTTACCATAAAGTAAGCTGGAGGAAAGAAAATATCATTAAGAAAATCATAGGGAAGAGAAAATGTATTTACTATTCATTAAGTGGAGGTGGATCATCATAAAGATCTTCATCTTTGTCGTCTTCCCACTGAGTGGGCTGAGGAGGAGGAGGAAGAGGAGGACTTAGTTTTGCTGTGTCAGGGTGGCAGAGAAGGAAGAGGTGGAGGAGGTGGGGGAAGAGTTGGAGGAGGTGGAAGAGGGAGGAGGAGGTGGAGGACCAGGTGGAGGAGGTGGAGGAGGGGTGGAAGACAAGGTGGAGGAGGTGGAGGAGGGTGGAGGAGGTGGAGGAGGAGGTGGAGGACAAGGGGGGAGGAGGAGATGGTGGAAGTGGAGGCCGAGGTGGAGGAGGTGGAGGAGGAGGTAAAGGAGGTCTGGAAGAGGAGATGAAGGAGGAGGTGGAAGAGGAGGTGGAGGAGGAGATAGATGAGGTGGAGGAGGAGGTGGCAGAGGTGGAGGAGGAAGTAAAGGAGGTGGAGGAGGAGGTGGAGGAGGAGGTGGAAAAGGAGGTGGTGGAGGAGTTAGATGAGATGGAGGAGGAGGTGGTGGAGGTGGAGGAGGAGGTAAAGGAGGTGGAAGAGGAGGTGGAGGAGGAGGTGGTGGAGGAGGTAGATGAGGTGGAGGAGGAGGTGGTGGACGAGGTAGAGGAGGTGGAGAAGGAGGTGGAGGACGAGGTGGAAGAGGTGGAAGGGGAGGTGGAGGGGGAGGTGGACAAGGTGGAGGAGGTGGAGGAGGAGGTGGTAGACGAGGTGGAGAAGGTGGAGGATGAGGTGGAGGATGAGATGGAGGAGGAGATGGAGGATGAGGTAGAGGTGGAGGAGGTGAAGGAAGTGGAGGAGGAGGTGGAGGATGAGGTGGAGCAGGTGGAGGAGGAGGTGGAGGAGGTGGAGGATGAGGTGGAGGTGGAGGAAGTGAAGGAAGTGGAGGAGGAGGTGGAGGAGGAGGTGGAGGATGAGGTGGAGCAGGTGGAGGAGGAGGTGGAGGAGGTGGAGGATGAGGTGGAGGAAGTGGAGGAGGTGGAGGAGGTGGAGAAAGTGGAGGAGGTGGAGGAGGAGGTAAAGGAGGAAGAGGTGGAGGAGGTGAAGGAAGAGGTGGAAGTGGAGGAGGAGGAGGTGGAGGAGGAGATGGAGGAAGTGGAGGAGGAGGTAGATGAGGTGGAGCAGGTGGAGGAGGAGGTGGAGGAGGTAGAGGAGGTGGAGGAAGTGGAGGAGGTGGAGAAAGTGGAGGAGGTGGAGGAGGAGGTAAAGGAAGAAGAGGTGGAGGAGGTGAAGGAGGAGGAGTTGGAAGAGGAGGTGGAGGAGGACGTGGAGGAGGTGGAGGAGGAGATGGAGGAAGAGGAGGTGGAGGAGGTGGAGGAGGAGGTAGAGGACGAGGAGGTGGAGGATGAGATGGAGGAGGTGGAGGACGAGGTGGAAGAGGAGGTGGAGGAGGACGTGGAGGAGGTGGAAGAGGAGGTGGAGGAGATAGAGGAGGAGGTGGAGGAAGGAGGAGATGGAAGAGGTGGAAGAAGTGGAGGAGGTGGAGGAGGAGGTAGAGGACGAGGAGGTGGAGGATGAGATGGAGGAGGTGGAGGACGAGGTGGAGGAAATGGAGGAGGTGGAGGAGGAGGTGGAGGAAGTGAAGGAGGAGGTAGAGGAGGAGGAGGTGGAGAAGGTGGAGGAGGAGGTGGAGGAGGAGGTGGAGCAGGAGGTGGAGGAGGTGGAGGAGTAGGTAGAAGAGGTGGTGGTGGAGGATGAGGAGGTGGAGGAGGTTGAAGAGGTGGAAGAGGTGGAGGAGGTAGAGGAGGAGGTGCAGGAAGTGGAGGAGGAGGTGGGAGGGGAGTCAGGAGAGGCTGGCACACTTGGTGTAGCTTTGACTGAAAAAAATCCATGTATAAATGCACCTATACAATTCAAACCTGGGTTTTTCAAGGTCAGCCGTAGATTGGAGATTGCCTGGGAAGCCCCACCTGGGCGAAGGGTTTGAGGGGAGGTTGGGGAGGGATGTGTGCAGAAGATGGGTGACCGGCCGGGCTGGTCTGGGAGGTCGTGAAGAGGGCGGGCATGTACTGAGCCTGGGTGCTGCGGGCCAGCTTCGGGCCTGTGCCATGGTCTGCAGAGATTAAGCATGTTTGGAAGTCCATGTAGCATCACTCATCCTACCTGGTGGGCTAGGATGCTGGAGTGGGAGAGGGAGACCCCAGGCGTGGGAAACAGCAGAGCCATTCTCCCGTGGGGTGGCTTCAGAGGCCTGCTAGGCAGCGTGGGCAGTGATCACATGATGACAGGCTGCTCCTCTCTGAGTGCCCTCACACCTCTTTCTCTCCTTTTTCCCTTGTTTCCAGGAGCAAGAAACCCCACCCCCAGATCTCTGGGGAGGGGAGTATTTTATGAGGGGCAGGTATCCGCTGGCACAGGTGGGTGTTGAAGAAAAGTTTGTAGAATGATTGAAGAATGACTGCCTAATTCCTTAACCTCTCTGAGCCTCATTTGATCATTTGTGAAAAGGGGGATTGACTTATTGCTGTTTCCAAACCATATTGCACTGTGGTTTAGGAGAGCTAGAGAAAATTGTCACTTTACCCATTGCAGTTATCCAGGTATCTGATAGTGTGATGCTCCAAGATAGGCATGAGCGGTTGGCACAGGTTTCTGGGAATAATGTTGGGGGACAATTCCTGAGAGTTCCCAGTGAGGGGAAACAGAGGAACTTGGTAAGGGCAGGCTGAGCTCGAAGGGGAGAACGGGCACCTCCCTAAAGATCCAGGTGGTGAAACAAGGTCCCACTAGGTATTTTTACAACACAGTTTCTGTAAACAAGTTGTCATTTATTCCTTTTTGGCCCCAGATGAGTGCTACACAGTGCCTGCTAGGGCAAACATGAAGTGGGTGTGGGTATGAAGCAGTCCCACCACTTCTCCCCTCCCGTGTCTCCGATGGGGACCCACATCATCCAGATAACTAGCTTCTTGGTTCCAGCAGCGGTCTCTTGAATGGGCTCTCAGAATTATGTAGATGCAGCAGGTGGCACTTTTGGGGAGGGTGGAGAGAGGGGCCTGTGATCAGAATTGTTTGCATCTCAACCCCTGCTCTGCTCCCTGGGATCCTCAACTGTGGAGCTCGTCCCTGGGAATGAGGTGGAGCAGCTGGCATCTGCGCTTTGGGCTGTCAGAGAGAAGACACTAAAACCCCGTCGCTGCTCCCTGAGGGAGAGTCAAAGTTCGGGTCACCTAAGGTGGTATTGATCTAAGTCTCTTCACCTGAAAGAGCCCTTGAAAGCACAGTGGGAACTCATCAGGCAGGGAGGGGAGCCTGGGCCAGAGACCCAGCATTAACACAAGGGCCTGAGACAGGGCTGGGGCCAGCCAGGTTTGCTGGTGAGGGGCTGTTCTAGATATCTGACACATGACCGGCAGTGTTTGAGAAAGACTAATCTTTTACATCTGTGTTCTTTCTAAGTCAGGCAGTCCCCTTGCAGAGGAACTAGTGGATTATTTGCTCATAGACAAACTTATCAGCTTCGAAGAAGGAATACCTTGAGCATTATGCACTCCCAGGTGTTTCAGGGCGGAATATCCACCCCTTTGGCCATGGGATGGAGCGCTCTGGGGCCTGAGGTGGCTGCCCCATCCTGCACCCAGTCACATTGTGCCCCAGTCACACTGGCGGTGGGTGATGAGAGCCGGAGTTGGAGTAGAACAATCATGGGGACCACAGGTGGGGAACTGAATCCACATGTGGGGCGGTGGGGGGGGGGCACCTGCATGGGGCTGAAGCCAGGGGAGAGAGAACTTCAGAGGACAGAGCCTTGCATGGAAGAAGAGACACTGATGGAGACAGCGAGATTTGAGAAGGCAGGAGAGACAGAAATGTGCGGGAGTCAGCCGGGTGTGTACCCTGAGAGATCTTGCAAGAAAGGCTCAGAGTCAGTATCTGTTTTTATTATTCTTGGCAAAACTGGTTGTTGACATTTTTTGGGCATGAAAATACTGAGTTAACTAATGAGTAAGGAAACATTTAAAAATGTTCTCTGTTCTTTGGGAATTTCACAAGAAATTTTCCTCCCTCCCTCCCTTCCTTCCTTGTGAAGAATGACTGCCTAATTCTTTAATCTCTCTGAGCCTCATTTGATCATTTGTGAAAAGGGGGATTGACTCTTATTGCTGTTTCCAAACCGTACTGCACTGTGGCTTAGGAGAGCTAGAGAAAGTTGTCACTTGACCCATTGCAGTTATCCAGGAGATAACTGTCGGAGAGATCCTTCCAACAGGGTCTCTCTCTACAGCCCAGGCTGGAGTGCAGTGGCAGGATCACGGCTCACTGCAGCCTCAACCTCATGGGCTCAAACGATCCTCCCACCTCAGTCTCCCAAGTAGCTGGGGCTACTGGCATGCCACCACTCCCGGCTAATTTTTTAATTTTAATTTTTGTAGAGAGGAGGTCTCGTTATGTTGCCCAGACTGGTCTCAAACTCCTGGGCTCAAGCGACCCACCTGCCTTGGCCTTTCAAAGTGTTGGGATTACAAGCGTGAGCACCGTGCCTGGCCAGGAATTCCCCTTCTTCGGGAAGAAGCTGTCCTACCCATGCGGGAGATTCAGAGGTGGGTGCGGGGGAGCTTTGACAGGGGTGTGGGCACAGGTGGTGGTGAAGAACGAATGGTTCCATTTGTGCACAGGAGTGTGTCTGACTCTGACCCCCAGGTCATGGGGGACCCAGAGCACAGTGGGCTCTGTAAAAAGGAAAGAGGTAGGAAAGAAGGATGCAACTCTCAGAGGGGAGTTAGGGAGGGCTTGGTGCCTTTCTTCCTGGTGCCCATCTTTTCTAGTTCTGAGCTGATCTAGCATATGCCTGCCTGGCGCAGGTGGGGGATCTGGGAATATGCAAATAGCCAGCTCACTGGGGTGGGTCACCCTGAGCAGCGTGGAAGGGCTGCATTTACAGAGAGTGCTGCTCGTCATGGTGGCTGCTGCAGTGGGACCATGCAGGCTTTCTTATAATTACAATAGAATGAAAATATTTTAACAGTTTAATACTTTGTTGTTATAGGGCTTTATTCTTTCAAATTATTTTATTTAAAAAAATACCATTCAGTTATTTTTGGAAATACAGAGTACCAAAAGAGAAAACCAACCTTGTCCGGTCTAGTAGCCCCAATTCTTTCTTTGGGGAGAAGCTGTCAAACACTGACTCATGGTCCAGGTAACCCTAGCGGGCATTGAAAGGACAAAAGTAAAAGTTGTACAGCATCTTGTTAGAAAATTCAGGTGCTACGGAGAGGTACCAAATGAAAAACCCAAATCTCTCTCCTCTCCCCAGAGGTGTTCCCCGAGGAAAGGGGGATTTCTTCCAGATCATAGATGAGTATCCTTCCCTCTTCCCCGGTTCCTTCTCTCTCTGTGAGTCAGAAGAGGAGATACTGTGCACACAGTTCCAGCCTTTCTTATTGTCACCTAACAGTGTCTCATGTAGCTGTTTGTCAGTGGATATAGCTCATGTAATTTTTAAAAAGTCTTATGGTGCTCTATTGAATGACTATAATGTAATTTATTTAATAAGCTCCCATTGAGCTGACATTTTTGTGTATCTCATTTTTGTCATAACATACTTGGAAGTATTGCTAACGTGTGTAAGAATGTTCATGGGGTAATTTCCTAGCCAAGAGGTTTCTAGGTCAAGAGGTCCATGCCTTTTAGATGGAAATAGATTTTTCAAATTGCCCCAAGGACAGGCTGAACCGTTTGCAAAACCCCACAGCAGTAGGTGAGAATACCCGGGCCCTTCCCTGGCTCAGCGCCACAGCCACCTCCTCCAAGAGGCCTCTCTGAGCACTCTATTTTAAGCAGCACTTTCTCTTATCCTGATTTTTATTTTCCTTCAGCACACTTAATACTATCTGAAATTTCTTTTTCACTAAAATCTAAATCCCATAAAGACAAAGATTTTGCACAACACAGTGTCTCTCTAATGCCTAGCTTGTGGTGGACCTGTAGATCTTCAATATTTGTTCAATGAATTTATGAATGGATTTTGATTCATTATGTTGTTAAATGTGATAGGGCCAATCCCCTTCGGCTCTCCTTCCCCCTTCCCTCCCCTTTCTTTCCTTCCTTCCCTCCTTTCCTCCCTCTCTCCCTCCCTTCCTCCCTCCATCCTTTCCTTCCTTCCTTACCTTCCTCACTTCCTTCCTTCCTTTTTTTTTTTTTTGAGACGGAGTCTCGCTCTGTCGCCCAGGCTGGAGTGCAGTGGTGTGATCTCGGCTCACTGCAACCTTCTGCCTCCTGGGTTCAAGCAATTCTCTTGCCTCAGCCTCCTGAGTACCTGGGATTACAGGCAACGCGCCACCACACGCAGCTAACTTTTGTATTTTTAGTAGAGACGGGGTTTCAACATGTTGATCAGGCTGGTCTCAAACTCCTGACCTTGTGATCTGCCCGCCTCGGTCTCCCAAAGTGCTGGGATCACAGGCATGAGCCACCGTGCACGGCCCCCTTCCTTCCTTTTAAATGGAATTCCAGTTACTGTTGTAACATCACAAGTTATCCTCAAACTTAGCAGTTTAAAACAGGTGTTTTATTTTGTTTATAATCTTGTTGGTGAGGAATTTGGAACGGCTCTGCTGGGTGATTCTTGCTTGAGGTCTCATGTGATTGTGTTGGATATCAGCTGGGGTTGTAACTCATCTGAGGACTCGACAGGGTGGGACATCCCAGACGTCCCACTCACATGGCTGGCAGTTGTGGCCTGCTGGCAGCTGGGGCCTCAGCCACGTGTATACTTGTAGCTCCTCCAGCACTGTGGTCTCAGGGTAGTTGGACTTCCTACATGATGGCTGCTTCCCCCAGAGCTAGTATCCCAAGAACACTAGGTGGAAACTGCTTGCTTTTTCCAGCCTAGGCTCACAAGTCTCATGGGGCCATTTCCTCTGTACTCAGTTGGCTGAAGCAGTCACAGACCTGCCAGCATTTAAGGGGAGGGGACATAGGCCCTACCTCTTGATGGGAGGAAGACAAGGGTCACACTGCAGAAAAGCATGTGGAAAATACAAACAGCCACACCTGGTAATTCTCGTGTATTTTTTTTCAGATTACTATTAGTATCATTTTGCTGAGTTCCAAAGTAAGTTCCCAAATCCTCCTGGTATTTTAATTGGTTTGCAGTAAATTTATGAATTGATTTAGGGAGAATTAACAACTTTACAGGTTTTTTTGTTTTTGTTTTTGTTTTTGACAGAGTCTTGCTCTGTTGCCCAGGCTGGAGTACAGTGGTGCGATCTCAGCTCACTGCAACCTCTGCCTCCTGGGTTCAAGCAATTTTCATGCCTCAGCCTCCCAAGCAGCTGGGATTACAGGCATGTGCCACCATAAGTGGCTAATTTTTGTATTTTTAGTAGAGACGGGGTTTCGCCATGCTGGCTAGGCTGGTCTTGAACTCCTGGCCTCAAACGATCTGCCCGCCTTGGCCTCCCAAAGTGTTGGGATTACAGGCGTGAGCCACCACACCCGGCCAAGTTTACAGTATGAAACATTCCAATCCAAGCACATGGTGCTACTTTTAATTTCTCCTTTTTGCCTCATTGGAGAACTTTCCAGTTTTCTTCATGTAGGTTCTGCCCACATCTAGTTCAGATGTGCCGTTCTTTTCAGGAGTTACTGTGAGTGGGGTCTTTTCAGCTGTTTTCTCAATGGTTTTGCTTGTTTATAGGAAAAAGGTACTTTAAAATTCTGCAAACAGTCAACTTGCTAACTATTCTAATTCTTTCTAATAATTTAAAAATTGGATTCTCTTGTTTTGTAGACGTGTAACATATCATTTTCCAATAATAATAATAATTTCTCTCATCTGCATCTATTGTTATCATAGATGTTTTAAGTCCTAATTCTTTATAATCTAGTTTGTGGGGTTTTTTTCTGTTGCCAATTTTCCTCGTTTTTTGTTATTATTATTATTTTTAGAGATGGGGTCTTGTTATGTTGCCCAGGCTGGCCTTGAACTCCTGGGCTCAAGTGATCCTCCCACCTTGGCCTCCCGAATAGCTGGGACTACAGGTGTACACTCTGGTGCCCTGCTTTCCTTTTTGTTATTTGAGTGTGTGCGTGTACTGTTTCCCTTCTGGTGCTTTGGACGGTTTAGAGTCTACTTTTAGTTTTTCCAGTGGTTACTCATATAACTCTGTATATTTGTTATGTATAACCTTCTGTTTCTTGATTTAGCAACTCTTAAATTATATCTATTGTTCACTTGCTATGAAAAATGAAAAAATTATCACATTTCCCCTTCTGTCTCCCGAGTTTTTTTGTTTTGTTGTTGGCTACATTTTCACTTTAAATCTCAGGCCGCCTCTGTTTCTAGGTTTATGAATTTTAGGCCATATCTTGAGGACTGCTCATCAAGATGGGGAGAGGAAAGGAAGGCCCTTATGTGTCTTTCCATTTCCCACTCCATGCTGTCCAATTTAGGAGACTGTTCCTTTGACATTGTCACGTTTAAGCATTTACCATCTGTAACCACAGGGAAGGGTTTCTTGCTTTTCTTCCAGCAGGGAGTCACAGCATTTTTTCCATCTCTGGAAAAAATAGATGACATGAAGGTTTTGGGGAAAATGCTACTTATTCTCTGGAGGCTGCCTTCAGCTCTTTCCCTTCTGTTATTCTTTAAGATGGGAGCTGTTAGGGAAATGGTTCAGGGTTTTGTTTACTTGCTTCTCCCTTGCTTCTTGCTTCCAAAAAGCCACGAGGACCAGCTTTGCTTTGCTGTTGGATTTTGGTGAAGGAGTATTTTAATACTGGGGTTTGCTCTGCCACCTTCTTGATCTTTTTTTTTTTTTTTAAATAGGCATTTGATAATTCAGCATATATTGTTAAAAGTGAAGTAGTCCCATCATTGTCTTATTTTTTAATAGAAAAGAACCATTTAGTTTTTAAAAAGTCTTAAGACTCAGATAGATAGCTGAGAACTGGTATCTTATGATGCACAGTGAAGTTTTGAGCAGAGGCTCCCTTTATTTTGTATATAGCTCCAGGCATATGTATTGAGCACGTAATAATGAAGCACAGAGGTCAGGGTTCTTAGATGCAATCCCCACCCCAGAGTCCATTTTAGCCAGTTTCACAGAATTCTATATAGCCAGGATCAGTGCCCAAATCTCACCGATGGGCAGTGACAAGTGAAGACAGCTCTGTGACCATCGCTCAGCATGGAAGTGCCAGCTCCCTGCAGGTCAAACACTAGAAGCTTTGCCACTGCTGCCTACCCTGCTTGTGCCCACTACGTCACACTGCTCCCCTGATTGGCAAAGCCAAGCCATATGCCTGAGCTCTAGCTGCAGGGAGGATTGGATGAGCTTTTGCCTCTACATTTCAGGAGAAGGAACTCATATGGGAGATCTTCCAGTTGTAGGAAGGGTGTTCAAACCATGTTGTGTGGCCATAAATTTGACAGCTATTGATATTTACTACAGTAGTGTTCTCTGCTGGAGGCCGATTGCATCATTGGCCTGCTGTAGCCAAGGAAACATGGCAGGGTGGATAACGTGTCAGGCCAGAGGTGAGGAAATCTGATTGCACCCATGGATTCTCATATTTGCTGTGTGACTGTGGGCAGATCACTTGCTCTCTTTGACCTCAATCTCCTAATCTGTAAAGGAAGAGCTCAGGAAAGATGATGTGTGAGGTCCCTTCAGGTATATTTAGAGCACTTACTAAATGTTTGCTGCGTGAGTGAATGAATGAATCTGTTATTGATTGGGCTTCAAAGAAGATAAATGACACAAGGAAACATTGTGTTTAGGTGAGTTAACTTTTGGTTATGAATTTTATTTAAATTAGAGTGTCTTTGTATTCTAATGGTTTTAAGGTCCTGGAAATTCTTTAGATTTTAGCTTTTTAAAAACAGTTAATTTATGGCAAGAACAAGGAAGCAACAGTTGCCAAGAAAGTTTCAGTTTGGATAAACTATTAATGATTTTCCTAGCATGGAAAACATGAGGATTTTTACTCGCTTTGGTAACTGTCAGACTTCAGAACATCAAGATCAGATAACATTCAGATAAAATAATGGAGAAGATCCTTTCCTAAGTGAGTTAAATTATTTACAATTCTTGGCTTTGCAATAAATGGAATAAATGAGCATTTATTGAGTGAGTTCCTAGAGGACCTTTTCAGCTTCTCTGCCATCTTTGGTAGGACTTGCTCATTGGTGATCAACTCTGTTTTAATATGCACTTGCTTTCCCTTAGGTTTGTTTTTTTTTGTGTGAGTGTTAGGAAGTGAAGGATGATTATTTCTAATTTGTTCTCTTTCTCAGATGAGTGCTATCAAGGTTGTCCTATCTGTAAAGAACCTTGTGCCTTTTAGATGGAAGTCACTATACATATTTGACAGAGTCGGGGCCTAGATATGTCCCCACAGTAAGTCCAGATGAGTCTGATCATGTCTGGAGGGTTTGAAGGAGCTCAGCAGAGGGACAGTGTCTGGAGGGTAAGAAACAGCCACCAGAACTGTGGTCTCTGCTGTCCTTGTTGTGGGTGCCTCACAGAATCCATTTCTCCTTCATTCACCTCAGTTTCCCTTTTCCATTCTTAGGATTGACTCCACCCCAACTCACTCTGACTCTGAATCATTGAATCTCACTGTCTTGACACAGAGATTGTTTCAGGAGCCAATTTCAGTCAGCCTGAGAGAGGGAGTTCCAGGAGCCTGAATGGGAGTTTCTAGAAGCAATGCCCTTGCTTACTCTGGTATGAGGATTTAGGCTGGGACTGCTATAGACATTTAATCATGGTCATAGGAGAGCCTGAGGGGTTCTGTGAGGAGTCCAGGGATGAACTGGGCAGAGCAGAAGGTGAAGAAGAATTGGGACTAGGTGATATTGAGCTCCTGGCTCAAGTTTTGCCCCAACAACAGCACTAGTCTGTGAACTCTTGAATTATGGAAACTGCTAAAAGATGAATGAAGCCGGGCACAGTGGCTCATGCCTGTAATCCCAGCACTTTGGGAGGCCGAGGCGGGCGGATCACGAGGTCAGGAGATTGAGACCATCCTAGCTAACACGGTGAAACCCCGTCTCTACTAAAAATACAAAAAAATTAGCCAGGTGTGGTGGTGGGCGCCTGTAGTCCCAGCTACTCGGGAGGCTAAGGCAGGAGAATGGTGTGAACCTGGGAGGCAGAGCTTGCAGTGAGTGGATATCACACCACTGCACTCCAGCCTGGGCTACAGAGTGAGACTCCGTCTCAAAAAAAAAAAATGTATAACAAATCTAGTTTTGCAGATTTTAATCGCCTTTTATTTGTGATTCTAGAATCAGGCAGCCCTCAGAACCAGGGACAGGTTCAGAGAACTCCAGGGCTGCAACGTGGTCTAAAAGCATTTGTGGATAGCAGGGAAGTGAGGTACAGAAACAGAAGTGAGGTAGAGAGACAGCTGATGGTTAATGGCTCAGTGTTCGTCTTACATGAACAGGATTGGAACAGTTGTCCTGCTGCCTGCAGTTAACTGGAGCTCAGCTGCTATGATTGCCTGAGACTCAGCAATTTGTTCCCAAAGTATCCTCCTGAGTTAGGCTTTCCATTAGTTTGCATACTAAGTTAAGTTGCAGTTCATTACACAAGCACCTCCTCAGCCCAAATTTAGTTTAATTTAACAGAGCCAGTAGGTTCCCTGAATCGTTTGTGGGAATGTGTGATCAAATATTACAAGTGTATAGACCAGTATAGAGGATAATATAACAAATCCTCATTTATGCACCTCTTATGATGAAAAATATAACTCTTTTCTTATGTGCTTCATGGTACAGTTGTTTCCCTCTAAAGGATTGAAGCATAACAAATAGTGCTGGAAGTCTCTTATGATTTTGTGGTCCCATTATCCTTTCTTCTTTAATAGTTTTACTAGAATATGTCTTGTTATGGCTTCTCTGGATTGTTTTTCTTAGGTATGTGATGTACCTTTTCAGTATATTCAGTATTTTTCAGTATATTTCAGTATATTCAGCTTAATTCAATTTTTAAAAATTGTGGTAAAATACACGTAACATAAAGTTTACCATCTTAACTTTTTTTTTTTTTTTAGGCAGAATCTCGCTCTCTTGCCCAGGCTGGAGTGCAGTGGCATGATCTCAGCTCACTGCACCTCTGTCTCCCAAGTTTAAGCAATTCTCGTGTCTCAGCCTCTGAGTAGCTAGGATTACAGGCATGCACCACAATGCCTGGCTAATTTTTTGTAGTTTTTTAGTAGAGATGGTGTTTTGCCATATTGACCAGGCTGGTCTTGAATCCTGGACCCAAGATATCTGCCCACCTTGGCCTCCCAAAGCACTGGGACTACAGATGTGAGCCACCCGGCCCCATCTTATCCATTGTAAGTGTACAGTTCAATATTGTTAAGTATATTCACACTGTTGTGCAGCTAACCCCCAGAACTTTTTCATCTTGAGAAACTTTTACCCCCAACCCAGCCCCTGATAACTCCCCTTCTACTTTCTGTTTCTATGAATTTGGTTATTTTACATACCTCATAGAAGTGGAATCATACAGTATTTGTCCTTTTGTGACTGCCTTATTTCACTTAGCCTCATCAAGATTCATCCATGTTTAGCATGTATCAGAATCTCCTTCCTTGTAAAGGCTGAATTCCATTGTATGTCTATACCACATTTTATTTATTCATCTAACAGTGAATACTTGGGCTGCTTCCACCTCTTGGCTATTGTGAATAGTGCTGCTATGAACATGGGTGTACAGATATCTCTCTTGGACCCCGATTTCCATTTTTTCGATATATATCCAGAGGTGGAATTGCTGGATCTCATGGCAATCCTAATTTTAATTTTTTGAGGAACAGACAAATTGTTTTCCACAGTGGCTGCACCATTTTTTATTCCTACCAGGAGTCTATAAGGGTTTGAATTTTTCCACATCCTCTCCAACACTTGTTATTATGTTTTGTTATTGTTGTTGTTAATGATAGCCATCCTGATGAGGGTGAGGTGATACCTTGTTGTGGTTTTGATTTGCATTTCCCTAATGATGAATGATGTTGAACATCTTTTCATATGCTTGTTGACCATTTTATATTTTCTTTTGAGAAATGTCTATTCAAGTCTTTTACTCATTTTTAAAAATAGAATCAATGTGGGCCAGGTCTGGTGGCTCACGCCTGTAATCCCAGCACTTTTAGAGGCTGAGGCGGGTGGATCACAACGTCAGGAGTTTGAGACCAGCCTGGCCAATATGGTGAAACCCGGTCTCTACTAAAAATAAAAAAAAAAATTAGCCAGGTGTGGTGGCATGCACCTATAATCCCAGCTACTTGGGAGGCTGAGGCAGGAGAATTGCTTGAACCTGGGAGCGGAGGTGTAGTGAGCCGAAATTGCGCCACTGCACTCCAGCCTGGGTGACAGAGCGAGACTCCATCTCAAAAAAAAAAAAAAATTGAGTCAATATGTAGTTTTCAGTGGTTGTTCTGTTTCTTTCTTTGCAGAATTCCTTTTATACATATGTTGAGCCCTCTTTACCTGTCTTCTTTATCCCTTTCTCTTGAATGCTCCATATCTCTTTATTTTTTATTATTAAAATTTTCTATCTTTTCATCTTCTAATTGTATCCGTTTTTTTTTTTGTTGTTGTTTTTTTTTTTGAGATGGAGTCTCGCTCTGTCACCCAGGCTGGAGTGCAGTGGCGTGATCTTGGCTCACTGCAAGTTCGGCCTCCCGGGTTCATGCCATTCTTCTGCCTCAGCCTCCCGAGTAGCTGGGACTACAGGTGCCCACCACCACACCCAGCTAATTTGTTTGTATTTTTAGTAGAGACAGGGTTTCACCATGTTAGCCAGGATGGTCTCGATCTCCTGACCTCATGATCCGCCTGCCTCGGCCTCCCAAAGTGCTGGGATTACAGGCATGAGCCACCGTGCCTGGCCAATTTTATCTGTTTATATATAGGATAGATTTCTAGTTTCATAGCTCTAGCACACATTCTCGTTATTTTCACAAAGTGGCGATTGGTTTGGCCATGTACTTTTTGACATCTGGCTCCTCTTCTCTAGTCTGCCACTTGTATCATCCTTTTCCTTCTTTTTTTTTACCCCTATTACCTATCTTCTTCCCAAGTTGGTTTCTACTCCCAGTAGTTTTGTTTTGCAAATTGGACTCTGCATTTTTATACTGGCTCCAGCACTTTGCACTGATTATCTGTTGGCGATTTTGGAGTTCTTTTGTTCTCAGGGTCTGCAGATGTTTCATTGCTTTCCTTCCACTGTGTGGTACTTTTATCTTAAAAAAGATGCTTGCTTTAATATTACAGTGTCACAGGGTAGGGCTTTCCCTTGTGTATTAGAGCTGTCAATTTTGGTACCATTTCAGGCTTTCTATTTTGAGTGTCCAACATAAAGTGATCTCCCAATGTGTCATATCAGAAGTCTCCTAAGTTTCATTGTTGAGATAGAGGGCAATGAGATAGAGTTTCATTGTTGAGATAGAAGGTTCTGTGGCAAAGGCAGCAGTAGCTTCCTCAAGTTGTTGAACCTCTTTGTGAAATTTAAATGTCTAGTGGTGATATAGAATTATTACATATCCTTTAAGTCCTTCCCTTGGTTAATCACATGTTTTCTTCTCAGCTAAGCATAGTCAATGACATCAATCTTAAACATTAAACATTGCTTAGTGTTTATTTAGGATTAACATTTCAAGATGTTTTCCATTGCCTATCCATAGTACTAGAGGTTAGATTTATAGTGTCCACATTTGACTAACTTAAAAAAATGTATTCTAACTTCATCAGAAGAGTTTGCTTTGGTTTAATAATGAAAAGTGAGAGACAAGGGTGGCCTTCAGCAGCTATTGTACACTGTGGCAAAAATGACGTGGATCATCACAAACTAAATCACTGCAGCAAAAGACTAGTCATGTACCTACTCTTATAAAGCCTACCCTCCACTAAGCAGCATTGTTTTAGAAAAAAGAAATACTATAATAAACAAAGCTTTCATAAAATATCTACCCAGTGGCAGCTACATTTATCCCACACATCATACTGTTGTTTTACTCAAGATCACAAAACTGGACTCTTAAGCTTTCTTTTCATTCATAGGATAATGTTTTCTGTTATCTCTTTTGGCCATTGATAGCTTTGCCTGACAGCTTTAATACTGTTCATATTCCATGCTCATGTTCTTGACCTTTTGTGTCCTCTTAGCATTGACAGCATAATTTCAAAGCATTTTAAAAACTACCAGATGTCTGCATTTCTTCTTTGGTAAATATCGGATTTTCACTTTTTCCATAATTGCATTATGTATCTGTGGAAATTAAACAACTGTCATGGAAAGTCAGCTGGGACTTAGGACAGAAAAATGTTCAGTGATAGTCCTTACAGTGTGTGAGTCAGTCTCACCAGCTTGTCCTGACTTCGAACATTTTATGATCTGCCCAAAAGATTTGGCAGTTTTTACTTAATTGTGGAGCTTAGCCCGATGGAAGGCAACCTTCTGTCCACACAGTAGTGTGCAGTCTCAGTTGTATATCATCATGAAATCTTTTTGGAGGCATTTACGGGACAATTCAAATTCAACTACATGGCAGTACTCTGTGGTACTGCCATGCAGATACGTGTCACTAGGAACCCTTTATGCCTGGTTAAGTTTATGCATGCACAGGCAGACACAGCTGTTTCTCAGTTTGTTTCTTTGCTTGGCAGATAGCATATTTCTTTTGACATTGCTTCTGTGAGGCACCTGAACATCGGAACTGTTAGCATGTGAAGAATGTCAGTGTTAGACCTTAAGAAATTCAGAACCTAAATCAGTGCTGCACCACTTCTGCTCTGAG
Source organism: Homo sapiens (assembly GCF_000001405.40). Lineage (NCBI taxonomy): Eukaryota > Metazoa > Chordata > Mammalia > Primates > Hominidae > Homo > Homo sapiens. The sequence goes on along the minus strand of NT_187660.1, from coordinate 1,820,385 downwards.
GCAGATGTAGCACCTTCCTGTAGTAAAAGATCTCTTTGTTGATTTGCCTGAGGGGTTACGAAGGCTTTCCTTACCCTCAGCCACCTTTGGAGCAGCTTTTTCCTGCTGACCAGTCCTGCCTAGCATTAGTTATTCAAATAACTACCGAATTTTTTATTTGAAAACCTTAAGAAAAAAATGTTAATTGTGGTAAAATACATGTATAAAATTTACCATGTTAACAATTTTAAAGTGTACAGTTCAGTAGTAGGTACATTCACATGGCTGTGCAGCCATCAACATCATACACCTCCAGAACTTCTCATCTTGCAAAAGTGAAGCTCTGTACCCCTTCAACATTTTCCTATTGTCTGCCCCCAGCTGCTGGCAACCACTGTTATACCTCCTGTCTCTATCAATCTGACTACTAACTGTGAATTATTCTGCTCCAAATATCAATTAATATTGAATGTGGAAATGTCCTTACTCTAATGCCTATTTTTCTGGCTTGGAGAATGTTCCTAACAGTAAAACTTCTTATGTCTTTCTTCTGCAGTGTTACTGTATTTTGTAAAATTATTAAATGCCTTAAAGGGCCATGTAGCAATTTTTTATATTTACATGTATGGAATACAATTATTCAGAGCAAAAATACTTTTAATAAAAGCTGTTTTATAAATACAAATTTATATAATATAAAAATAAAAGAAAATATAAAATACAGTTGTATTCAATAGAATGTGTTTAAACAGCTCTAGTAAAAGTTCAATTTCATTTACATAAAATCGGAGTGGAAATGTAAAGAACAAAGAAAGAGAATGGAAAATTTGACATCATTTTGGTAATAGACCAAGACCAATCTTTGTTGATCACCTTCTTTATGAAATTTAAAGTCAGATTGTGGGTTTGAAAAAGTTTTTTGGGGGATTTTTTTTTTTTTTGAGATAGAGTCTTGCTCTGTTGCCCAGGCTGGAGTGCAGTGGCGCAATCTTGGCTCACTGCAACCTCTGCCTCCCAGGTTCAAGCGATTCTCCTGCCTCAGCCTCCTGAATAGCTAGGACCACAGGTGCCCGCCACCACACCTGGCCAATCTTTGTATTTTTAGTAAAGACAGGGTTTTGCCATGTTGGCCAGGCTGGTCTCGACTCCTGACTTCAAATGATCCACCTACCTCAGCTCCCAAAATGCTGGGATTACAGGCGTGAGCCACTGCACCTGTCCAATTTTGCTGTCTTTTTTTAAGCCTGAGGTATGTAATTGGTTTCTGAAGCTAATTTAAAAATTCTCCCATCAAACATGACATTCTTTCTCTGCTAGGTATCTTTGGAGGAAAAATGGAAACTCTCCTCACTAAGTACCTGAGACCAAATTATGTTATGTGTTAGAATGGAGGTAGTCATCTATGTCTGCAGTGGTGAGTTTTGTGTGGTCCTGGGAGCAGGTGTCTGCTCCTTTGTTCACTGGCACCATAGGAGTCCTCTGTGTACGTGCAGCATTAATGGACACTATTATGATTCACCCAGCCTGCTCTTACCTCCTGTTGTAAATCACATGTGACTAACATGTCATGTAGACAGTCTCATTAAAAGCAAGAAGTTAACATGTAGAGAGTCTCATTAAAAGCAAGTCTGGGTATATACCCAAAGAATTAAAAGCAGGGACTTGAAGAGATACTTGTTTATCCATGTTCATAACAGCATCAACCAAAATAGTTAAGAGGTGGAAGCAACCCAGGAACCCATCCTTGGATGAATGGATCAATAAAATGGGGTCTCTCCATACCATGGAATACTATTCATTCTTAAAAAGGAAGGAAATTCTGACACATACTATGACATGGATAGACTTTGAAGATATTATGCTAAGTGAAATAAGCCAGTCCCCAAAGGACAAATACTGTGTGATTCCACTTATATGAGGTACCCAGAGTAGCCAGACTCATAGAAGCAGGAAGTAGGATGGTGGTTTCCAGGGACAGCAGGGGAGCAGTGTTCAGTGGGAGCAGTTTCAGTTTTGCATGATAAAAAGAGCTCTGTGCATGTTTGGTGGTGATGGTTGCACAACAATGTGAATGTACGTTGTGCCGTAGAACCGTAACTTAAAAATGGCTAAGGAGGGCCGGGCGCCGTGGCTCACGCCTGTAATCCCAGCACTTTGGGAGGCCGAGGTGGGCGGATCACGAGGTCAGGAGATCGAGACAGTCCTGGCTAACACAGTGAAACCCCGTCTCTACTAAAAAAAAAAATACAACAAATTAGCTGGGCATGGCTGCAGGCTCCTGTAGTCCCAGCTACTCGGGAAGCTGAGGCAGGAGAACGGCGTGAACCCGGGAAGTGGAGCTTGCAGTGAGCTGAGATCACGCCAATGCACTCCAGCCTGGGTGACAGAGTGAGACTCCGTAAAGCAGCCGGGTGTGCTGGCTCATGCCTGTAATCCCAGCACTTGGGGAGGCCAAGGCAGGTGGATCACCTGAGGTCGGGAGTTTGAGACAAGCCTGGCCAACATGGTGAAACCCCGTCCCTTCTTAAAAAATATAAAGATTAGCTGGGCATGGTGGCACACGCCTGTAATCCCAGCTACTCTGGAGGCTGAATGAGGCAGGAGAATTGCTTGAACCTGGGAGGCAGAGGTTGCAGTGAACCGAGATCGCACCACTGCCCTCCAGTCTGGCAAAAGAGCGAGACTCTCAAACCAAACCAAACCAAACCAATAAACCCTACCAATTCAAGCCAAAAAATAGAGTAAACCCTACCACTTCAAGCCAAAACAGGAGGACCAACTAATTCAGAAAAGCGTAAAAGATAGGCT